>NC_000001.11:191309587-191934587 GCF_000001405.40 Homo sapiens | reverse complement strand
TCATTCAGTATGATACTAGCTGTGAATTTCTTATATATGGCTTTTATTATGTTGAAGTATGTTCCTTTTATCCCCAGTTATTTCAGAATTTTTATCATAAACAGATGCTGAATTTTTCAATTGCTTTTCAGCATCAATTGACATGATCATATGGTTTCTAGCTTTCATTCTGTTGATATGGTATATCACATTGATTGGTTTGCATATGTTGAACCATCCTTACATCCCAGAGATAAATCTCAGTCAGTCATGACTTTCTAATGTATTGTTGAATTTGATTTGCTAGTATTTTGTTGAGAACATTTGCATCGATATTCACTAGACACAGTGGCCTGTAGTTCTTTGTTTGTTTGTTTGTTTTGCTTTTTTGTTTTGTTTTGCTTTGTTTTGTTTTAATGTGTCTTTGTCTGATTTTGATATCAGGTTAATATTGATCTTGTAGAATGAGTTTGGAAGTGTTTCCTTCTCTATTTTTTCAGAACAATTTGCATAGGATTATTTGTTCTCCTTTAAATGTTTGGTAGGATTCAACAGTGAAGCCACCAGGTCCCGAGATTTTCTATACTGGGCTTCAGTCTCATTATTCATTATTGGTCTGTTCAGGTTTTGGATTTCTTCCTGGTTCAATCTTGGCAGGTTGTGTGTATCTAGAAATTTGTCCATTTCTTCTAGATTTTCCAATTTATTGGCATGTAGTTGTTCATAGTAGTCACTAATGATCCCTTGCATTTCTACAGTATCAGTTGTAATCTCTCCTTTTAATTTCTTATTTTAATTATTTGGATTTTCTTTCTTATTTCCTTAGTCTGGCCTAAGGTTTCTCAATTTTGTTTAACTTTTGGAAAAAATCAACTTTTTCTTTTATTGATTTTTTTGTATCGTTTTATTCAATTTCCTTTATTTCTGCTGTGATCTTCATTATTTCTTTTCTTCTACAAATTTTGTGTTTGGAATGCTCTTTCTTTTCTAGTACTTTAGAATGCATTGTTAGATTGTTCATTTGCAGTTTTTCCTCTTTTTTTATGTACATACCTCTAACTAAAAAGTTCCCTCTTAGTATTGCTTTTACTGTATCCCACAGGTTTCGTTATCTTTTGTTTCTGTCTTTATTTGTTTCAAGAAAGTTTTTCAATTTCCCTCTTAATTTCTTTATTGATCCACTGGTCATTGAGGAGCTCATTGTTTAATTTCCATTTATTTGTATGGTTTCCTAAATTTCTCTTGTTATTAATTTCTAGTTTAATCCTATTGCGGTCAGAGAAGATGCTTGATATCATTTCAATTTTTTGAATGTTTTAAGAGTTGTTTTTTGACCTAACATATAACCTATCCTTGAGAATAACATGTGCTGAAGAAAAGAATGTGCATTCTCCTGCTCTTGGATGAGATATTCTGCAAATATCTCAGATCCATTCGGTCCATATTGCAGATTAAGTCTGATATTTCTTTGTTAATTTTCTGTCTGGAATATCTGTCCAATGCTGAAAGTGAGGTGTTGATGTCTCCAGTTATTATTGTATTGGAGTCTATCTATCTCTTTAGTTCTAATAATATTTTCTTCATATGTCTGGGTACTCCAATGTTAGGTGTGTATATATTTAAACATGCTATATCCTACTGCTGAATTATCCCCTTTATCATTATATAGTGACCTTCTTTGTCTCTTCTCATAGTTTTTGTCTTAAAATTTTTTTTTGGTCAAAAATAATTGTAGCAGCTTCTGCTATTTTTTGGTTTCCATTGGCATGGAATATCTTTTTCCATTCCTTTATTTTCAGTTTCTGTGTGTCTTTATAGTGAGGTGTGTTTCTTGTAGGCAACAGATCATTGGGTCTTGTTTTTTCCTTCATTCACTGTTATTGTTGGTAAGTGTGAGCTTACTCCTGGCATTTTGTTGTTTGCTTTCTGGTTGATTTGTGGTCTTCTCTCCTTCTTTCTTTCATTCTTGTCTTCCTCTAATGAAAATGATTTTCTCTGGTGATATAATTTAGTTTCTCGCTTTTTATTTTTTGTGTATCCATTGTATGTTTTTTTGGCTTCCAGTTACCATGAGGCTTGGAAATACTCTTATAACCCTTTATTTTAACCTGATAACAACTTAATGCTATAAGCATAAACCAGCAAACAATCAAGCAAAAATAAAACAAATAAAAACTTGCCTTAACTTCATCTTCTGCTTTTTAACTTTTTATTGTTTCTATTTGCATCTTTTTGTACTATGTCTTGGAAAGTGGTTGTAGTTATTATTTCTGATAAGTTCATCATTTATTCTTTCCACTTAGGATAAAAATAGTTTACACACCACAGTTGCAGTGTTATAATATTATGTGTTTTTCTGTGTATTTACTATTACCAGTAAGTATTTTACCTTCAAGTGGTATTAATTGCTCATTAATTTCCTCTTCTTTTTAATTGAAGTACTCCCTTTAGCATTTCTTGGAGGATAGGTCTGGTGTTAATAACATCCCTCAACTTTTTTTAAAAATTTTTTTTATTATACTTTAAGTTCTAGGGTACATGTGCACAACGTGCAGGATTGTTACATAGGTATACATGTGCCATGTTGGTGTGCTGCACCCATTAACTCGTCTTTTACAATAGGTATATCTCCTAATGCTATCCCTCCCCCCTCCCCCCACCCCATAACAGGCCCCAGTGTGTAATGTTCCCCTTCCTGTGTCCAAGTGTTCTCATTGTTCAATTCCCACCTATGAGTGAGAACATGCGGTGTTTGGTTTTTTGTCCTTGCGATAGTTTGCTGAGAATGATGTTTTCCAGTTTCATCCGTGTCCCTACAAAGGACATGAACTAATCCTTTTTTATGGCTGCATAATATTCCATGGTGTATATGTGCCACATTTTCTTAAACCAGGATATCATTAATGGACATTTGGGTTGGTTCCAGTGAACAGGCAACCTACAGAATGGGAGAAAAATTTTGCAATCTATCCATCTGACAAAGGGCTAATATCTAGAATCTACAAAGAACTCAAACAAATTTACAAGAAAAAAAAGCCCATCAAAAAGTAGGCGAAGGATATGAACAGATACTTCTCAAAAGAAGACATTTATGCAGCCAACAGACACATGAAAAAATGTTCATCATCACTGGCCATCAGAGAAATGCAAATCAAAACTACAATGAGATACCATCTCACACCAGTTAGAATAGCAATCATTAAAAAGTCTGGAAACAACAGGTGCTGGAGAGGATGTGGAGAAATAGGAACACTTTTACACTGTTGGTGGGACTGTAAACTAGTACAACCATTGTGGAAGACAGTGTGGTGATTTCTCAAGAATCTAGAACTAGAAATACCATTTGACCCAGCCATCCCATTACTGGGTATATACCCAAAGGATTATAAATCATGCTGCTATAAAGACACATGCACATGTACGTTTACTGCAGCACTATTCACAATAACATCCCTCAACTTTTTTTGGTTTGGAAAAGTGTTTATTTCTCCTTTATTTTTAAAGGATATTTTCACCAGTTGTTCTATTCTTGGGTAAAAGATTTTTCCCTTGAACACTTTAAATATGTCCTGCCACTTTCTCTTGGCCTGTAAGGTTTCTACTGAAAAGTCTGACTGAAAAGTCTGCTGCCAGACATATTACAGCTCCATTGTATATTAATTGTTTCTTTTCTCTTGCAGCTTTTAGAATCCTTTCTTTATCCTTAACCTTTGTGAGTTTGATTACATGCTTTGAGATGGTCTTCTTTGGGTTAAATCTGCTTGGTGTTCTATAACCTTCTTGTACTTGGATATGAATATCTTTCTGTAGGTTTGGGAAGTTCTCTGTTATTATCCCTTTGAATCAACTTTATAACCCATATATTACTCTCCATCCTCTTTAAGACAAATATCTCTTCGATTTACACTTTTGAGGTTATTTTCCAGAACATGTAGGCATGCTTCCTTGTTTTTTATTCTTTTTTCTTTTGTCTACTCTTACTGTATATTTTCAAATAGCCTGTATTCAAGCTCACTAATTCTTTCTTCTGCTTGATTCATTCTGCTCTTAAAGGACTCAAAAGCATTAGTCAGTATGGCAGTTGTATCTTTCAAATCCAGAATTTCCCCTTGGTTGTTTTTAATTGTTTCCTTCTCTGTTACATTTATCTTGTAGAATTCTGAATTCCTTCTGTATGTTTTCTTGAATGTATTTGAGTTTCCTCAACACAGTTATTTCAAATTTCAATCTCTGTTTCTCCACGATTGGTCCCTGATGCCTTATTTAGTTCATTTGTTGAGGTTATGGTTTTCGGGATGGTGTTGATGCTAGTGGATGTTCTTTGGTGTCTGGGCATTGAAGGGTTAGGTATTTATTGTTATCTTCACTGTCTGTGCTTATTTGCAGCCATCCTTTGGAGGAAATATTTCTAGATATTTAAAAGGACTTGGGTGTTGTGACCTAAGCAGTACCTGCTTTAACAGGCATCCCAAGTCCAGTAATGCTGTGTTGTAGAGGTACAGCCTTCATGGTCTTGGGCAAGATGTGAGAAAATTACCTGGATTGCCAGGCAGAGAGTCCTGCTCTCTTCCTTTACTTTCTCTCAAATATACAGTCTCTCTGTTCTCAGTCACTTAAATCTGGGTGTAGAGTAACACAAGTACCTCTGTGGCCACCACCACTATGACTGTGCTGGGTGAGACCTGAAGCCAGCACAGTGCTGGGTCTTGCCCAAGGTCTGCTATAACACCTCCCTGGCTTCTGCATATGTTTTCTCAAGAGCCTGGGGCTCTACAGTGAGCCGGTGGCAAAGCCTGCTAGGCCTGTGTCTATCCCTTTAGTGTGGCGAGGTCTTCAAGGTCTCAGGTGGGCCCAGAAGTGCCATCTGGAAATCAAGGACTAGAGTAAAAAACCATGGCATTCTGCCTGGTGTTCTCCTGTACCGTGGCTGAGCTGGCACTCAAACCATAAGATTCAGTCCTTCCCACTCTTCCCTCCCCTTTCCAAAGGCAGAAGAGCCTCACTCAGTAGCCACTGCCAACCCTGGCCACAAGGGGTACTTCCAGATAACCAGTGATATTTCCTTAAGGCCCAAGATCTCTTAAGTCAGCTTGTGGTGAATGTTGCCTGGCTTGGGGCTCACTCTTCCTGGCAGTGGGCTCCCCTGTGGCCCATGGAAGGCCCAGAAATGCTGTCCAAGAATCAAGTCCTTGAGTTGGGGACCCCAAGACATTACTTGGTCCTCTACCCCCCGTTATGGTGTTGGTACCTTAGGTGCAAGACAAAGTCCCCTTTACTTTTCCCTCTGCTGTCCTCAGGCAAAAGGAATTTTGCCCCATAGCTCTCACAGCTGGTAATGTGGTGAATCTCACCTGAAGCCAGCAAGTCTCAGAGGCTTATCTAGGCCCTGGACATAGTACCTGCTCCTGGAATAATGCACTGCTGGTTATTCAGGGGTCAAGGGCTCTTCAGTTAGCAGGTGATCAATGCTGGCAGAACTGAGCCCTTTCCTTCAAGACAGCAGATTCCCTTCTGGCCCAGTATGTGTCTCAAAATGTTTTCTGGGAGCAACGGCCTGGCACAGGGGGCCTCAAGACTCTGACGAGTGTCCTATCCTGCTGTGGCTGAGCTGGTATCTAAGATGCAAGACAACGTCTCCCCCACTCTTCTTTTTCCTCTCCTCAAGTGGAAGGAAGGGGTCTCTTTTAAAGCTGGGAGCTGTGCAGCCTGTGGTTAGGGGAGCGGTGATGCTAACACTCCCTTGGTTACTCCAGCTGGTATCCCATAAATCCAAATGCCCTTCCAGTCTACTGTCTCTGGGCCTAGTTCAGCCCTTGGACTCACCTAAGTTTCAGTCCTCGTGGCCTAGACTTCCCTTTTTTCTGTTTTTGAGACAGAGTCTCGCTCTGTCACCCAGGCTGGAGTACAGTGGCAGAAATTCGGCTTATGACAACTTCCACCTCCTGGGTTCAAGCGATTCTCATGTCTCAGCCTTCCGAGTAGCTGGGATTACAGGCGTGTGCCACTACACCCGGCTAATTATTTTATGTTTTCAGTAGAGGCGGGGTTTCACCATGTTGGCCAGGCTGGTCTCCAACTTCTGACCTCAGGAGATCCACCAGCCTTGACCTCCCAAGGTGTTGAGATTACAAGGGTGAGCAGCCACACCCAGCCTAGACGTCTTTTTAAGTTTATTTAGAGACTGAGAGCACTTGGCCCTTGATGGCGAGGTTTGCAAACATTCAAGTTCAGTCTGCTGAGATTCTCCTCTGGCTAGGGCTGGTTTAAATGCTCCCTCTGTGGGCAGGTGTCAGCTGAGTTTGGTCTGGTTTTCCCTTCTGCTCTAATAAAGCAGCACTGAGTTTAGCTCAGTGCTGAATTCCTGTGTTCTCCCTTCCCTCAGGGCTCAGAGATGCCCTCTACACCAGGCTTCTGTCTGCTCCTGGGGGTGAGGGAAAGGATGGTGTCAGTGATACGGGAATTTTTTTTTACCTCTACAGTGTCTCTTTCAGTGATATGAATTTAAAACAAGGTGCTATGAGTTCTCACCTAATTTTTGGTTCTTATAAAGGTGACTTTTTTTTTTCTGTGTAGATAGTTGTTAACTTGATGTCCTTGCTGGGGGGATAATCAGTGGAGCTTTATATTCTGTCATCTTGCTCCTCAACTTGGTAAAATTTAACTTTGATATTCCAAGGAGAGGAATTTATTTGCCGTCTCTCCCTATACGTCTATATGCGTATCTGATAATAAGGTGGTGTGAAACTTTACTGCCCCAGGAAGCAACTGAAGCAAGACTGCCTGCAGAGAAATCAAGGCATTTTGTGGATTCTGGATGATCTGTATTACATTTAGAGAGGCAGTGGGAAGTGTGCTACTTGGGGTGAAAAACCCTCAATATTTGGGCTGTATTTTGTTTCTTGAATAAAACAATGTTAGGCATGTATCACTTGATGGAGAATGGAAAGTTACCAGTACATTATGGCTCCTCATAAATCTTAGAAATCGCCGCCCACACACCCCACTGCCAACAACATGAACACATATGCATATACAAACACAACTCACATCTTATTTTGGATGGGAATGTTTAAAAACTACATGTAGGAGAAGATAAAGGTGACAGTGTTATGTGAGATATTTACCATCTATTTCATATTATACTTTTTTATTCCGCCTAGATAAATGGAGATGAGCACCATCCTGTACATCTGGGAAGGCTGGATGCTAGATGCATTGTGATGATACCACCTTCTATGCAGTCCTCTCAAGGGGCAATGACTTTCTCTCCTATATCACTCATCCTTGAATACAGCAACAGTACATCTTTCTTTTCATTGCCATGTTCATATATGGCAACACATTCTCTTTTAAAACATACAGCATAGGAAAAGCTTGTGCCATGACCTTATACCACTAATTACTATCCTTGTTGCAGGTATTTCTGGGAATACTTGGGTAACTCACCCTCCATTTTAGATTGTAAACCCAGCTACTGTAATTTTCTCCACCACTAATCTTCTCTTTGAGTGTTTTCGATATCTTCAAGATACCCAATTTCCTGGATACACTAAGAGTAGAGTAATAAGAGCATTCTACCCCAGGTACAGGTAATAAAGGTAAAATTGTCTTTGGAGGATTTTAAAACAATAAAAAAACTGAGCGAATTTGGTCTGCTTGTTATTATCACTATGTGGCAGCATTTCTAAGCAATGTCAATGTTCAAAAATCTTTTAATGGGCTACATTCTAATCAATTGTGCTTATTATTAGTTTTAAAATTTAATCTATAGTTAGCTTTAAACTAACATAGTTTTATTAATGTTTAATAAACATTTTAATGCACACAGAAGCTAATTAATAGAACTCCTACTTATATATATAGTTGGCCCCCACACATTTAAAGTTGACTACATGTGTTCATTTTGAGAAAAAGTTCATCATGGTTTGAAATTGTTGGGAATTGTTTGTGTTCTTCCAGTGTTATAATAGTTAATGATTGTACATGAAACTTTAATAAAAGACAAATTTAAGCAATTTTTGTGTGTACATGTGTTGATCATTTCTATGGATTTTTATGGTTATCACTCAAAATAATTTTGGTATATAGAAGAGGGGGTGTTAAAAATTCTCTGGCTGGTGTTAAATATGCGACGTATACCATGACTCAGACACCCTCTTCTGAACCTTCTCAGCAAAGTAACACAAGAAGAGAAAACCAAACACAGCATGTTCTCACTCATAAATGGGAGTTGAACAATGAGAACACATGGACACAGGGAGGGGAACATCACACACTAGGGCCTGTCAGCAGGTGGGGGGCAAGGGGAGGAATAGCATTAGGAGAAATACCTAATGTAAATGACGAGTTGATGGGTGCAGCAAACCAACATGGAACATATATACATATGTAACAAACTTGCACGTTGTGCACATGTACCCTAGAACTTAAAGTATAATTTAAAAAAATAAAAACTTTCTCTTCTCAAGATATTTTTTTCTTCCATCCTAATTCAGTACCCTATGCAAGGCATAGGCTGCCCATTTTTACTTCCAATAACAGCTGCCCTCCACAATCACACTTTCAAGCATTTACTTCTTAAGAACACCTCTTATATTGCAGGGCCAGTCCTGCTAGTCCAATTACCCTACACTTTTCTGTTCGCTTAAATATGTATAATCTATTCAATATATCACTTTTTTTTCAGGGTTCTTCCCTGACTTTTAAAACTTCCTTCTTTATCCAGGTTTGATTCAAAGGTCTGTCATTCTAGTGATTCCCCTGCATGTACATTCACTTCTTTGTATCTCTCTTTCTTTATTTTATTCTCCTGTTAAAAGTAAATGCTAGTAAAATTCAACTCTTCACCTACTCTGTGCATCCCCTTGGGCACCTTAACTTACTGGAGAAACACATTGTGATGCCAACAGTTCTCATTTTAGTTAATGACTATTGTTTCTGCTTTACTACTTGTCCCTAGGTTATTCAATATACCCACTCTCCTAGGACTCTTTCTTATTTTTATGTTCCCTTTCCACCAACCTACAAAATTGTCTCCCCATTCTTCCTTCTGAACTGAACACCTTCCTTCCTTATTTCGTTGAGAACATTGTTGCAATCACATTCCATAAATTACTGTCTTAATATATCTCCACTTACCTGCATCTGCATCTGTTGTCATATACTTTGCCTCCCCTTCTGTTACCGTAGAAGTATTGTGTATATTCCAAGCAATGTCAGACCTTCTGCTCATGCACCGGATCCTGTCCACTTCCACCTGTCTCAGGAAAGTCAATCCAACAATTCTCTGTCCTATATCATATATTGACCCTTCTGCTGATTCATGACCACTACGACCACTACCATAACTTTTGGTGAAGTATTTTTTTAGCTTCTGTGTAGGGAATATATATCTCCCTTGAACCTATGTTTCCTTAAAACTAGTATCCCATTTCTCTTCCCATCTAACAGAAAATCACCTCAAAATTTCTGTCTACCTTCATATTTTCTAATTTTTCTATTCTTATATTTTCTTGAACTCATTCAATTAGTCTTTAATATCTACTACATACCAATGAGGCAACTTTTTTGGTGGCCACCAGTGACTTCCATATTTCTTTATTCAATGGTCAATTCCCAGTTAGTGTCTTACTTGATCTTTCATATAATTATTCATTACCTCCTCTTCTAAACATGTTGTTCATTTGGTCCCAGGACATCACTCTTTCTCACACTCTACATTGTTCTTTCTAAGTCTTCTTTGTGGATCTTAGTACTCTCACAGATATCCAAAGGTCAAACTTAGACCAAGTGTTTAGACCTAGTAACTCTTCTTTGTTTCTTCTATAATGTCATTACCCCTTCTCTCTATAACATCATTCAATCTCATGATTTTATATATAATCACCTTACTGAGGACTCTTTAATGTATATCTCCAGTCTAGAGAGTTACCTTGATCTCAAGACTTAGTAACCTATTTGATATCTCCATACAGTTATCTAGTAGACATATGAACTATACCTAGCCACAAATGTTATAATATTTTTATATTAAAATCAGCAGATTTTGCAATATTCTTCATCTCAGTAAATGACAATCTTATCCTTTGAGTTGTTGAAACTAAAAATCTGTAGTGAACTCATTTTTTTTGTTTACAGCCCATATCTAACCCATTAGAAAGCCGTATTAGTTGTTCCTTAAAATCCATCCCCCCAAAAAAACCTCCACGTTTACTAATCTGATTCACCGAATTTTCTTCAAGTCCTTTTAACCCATCTCTGCTTTTGTTTTTAGTTCCATCCATATCCCTGTCTACTCTAAATACAGAAGTCAAAGTTATCTTTTTAAAATGTAAAACAAATCACATCACCTCCATACTCAAAGCTCTCAATGATTTCACATTGTATTTTCAGTCATAGCCACAGTCCATTCAGTGGCCAACATAGCCAGACAGTTCAGACCCACTGCCATCTCCATGATCAACTTTTCTCTCACTCTTCTACCTATGCACACTGACACAGGCACACCTTGCTTCTATATTATTTTCCTAAACACCAAAATGTTCTCCAACTCAGTGACTTTGTACCTAATATTCCCTCTAGCTTAATAGCTCTTCCAATAAACATCTGCATAATTCCTGCACGCATTTACATTGGAGAAATATCAATGTGCCTGATCACAGTGTTCTGGGAGAAACCCATGTAAAGCATTACTTGAAAAGTTATATCGCACCTATTCATTTTGTAAAATACAAACTATTCTGAATTCTGAAACACATCTTGCCCTAAGAGATAAATATTGTGGAGCTGTGTAAGGATTGCATCACCAAAACCATAATTTTCTTCTTTATGGAAAATTTAAGGTTTGTTTGAATCTTAAATTTAGGGTTTGTTTAAAGGGTAGTTTTTTACTAAAGATTTTTATTTTTCTTTAAGGACTGATGCTAGAACCTAACATCTATGTAAGATACAATTCTCCTGGATTTTATCAAGATCCTTAACATAATCCTTCAGATAGTGGTTATTGTCCTCATTTTCAGAAGATAAAACTGAGACTCAAATTATATAATTAAAGATGACAGAGTTTAGGGAAAAAATTAGAATACAAAACAAGACAAAACTAAGATAATGGAAGCAATTATGGAGATATTAAAATAATTATAAACTTCTTAGTAGGTAAATTTTAGTCTAAAATATGTTCGTAAATCATTTTTAATACAATTAAGGTCAATATAACTAACAAAAATTTTATTAACTAAAATATTTTATTTTTAAAAGTTGTGGTAAATCTACAGTAAGAACAATGGGAAGCCTTTGATAACAGACACAGGTTGTTTTATATCTATACAGTCAGCACACAGGGATTCAATAAAAGGTTTATCTGGCCAACTGAAAGGGATTTTTTTTTTTTTTTTTTTTTTGAGACTAGTCTCGCCTTGTCGCCTAGGCTGGAGTGCAGTGGCGCGATCTCGGCTCACTACAAGCTCTGCCTCCCGGGTTCACACCATTCTTCTGCCTCAGCCCTCCGAGTAGCTGGGACTACAGGCGCCTGGCTAATTTTTTGTATTTTTAGTAGAGACGGGATTTCACTGTGTTAGCCAGGATGGTCTCGAACTCCTGACCTCGTGATCTGCCCGCCTCAGCCTCCCGAAGTGCTGGGATTACAGGCGTGAGCCGCTGTGCCTGGCCAGAAAGGGATTTTCAAAGAACTACATAAGATATTGCCATTATTCTCAAGGAACACAAAAGTTTTATTAATAGAGATAAGAGAAAAATAAGTCAATCTGTTGTTTCACTTTATGCAATTAGTTTTCCTACGATGTGACTTCTGGCCTTGTCTTAATTTGCATGTCATATTATGAACATCTAAAGACTGATGCAATAAATGGGCTTTATTTTGACTACTCTTTTGAAAGACTACATGAGAGAATTATTTATAGGAATATATCATATACCAAATTTTATTCTGATATGGCTAGTGACTAAATTAAATATTTTTACATCCTAGTTTACCTTTTCTTTTTAAATCCAGGTCATGTAGGATTAATTTATATTTACATGGTAATTGCTTATTACTTTAACTTTCTGGCTATGTTTATAAAAGATATTTAGCATAATACTATTCATATCAATTTATTTGTGATAAATTGAATCAAGGTTTAGTTTTAAATCACATTATTTTTCTATTCTTTGGGTTAAAACAAATAAGTGAAATTAGTTTCCTTTGTTCAAGTTTCACCTTGATATCTATCGTATAAGTTCATTTTTCCACTTAACCTGTCTATTTCCATTTCTTCTGGTGAAGCTCTCAGTGGAACTGAGAATATTTTAGTACAGTTGTACAACAAGGTAATGCATGCCAGCCTTTCTTGAAGTTTCTAGTTATACCTTCAGAGGAAGTAATATTATAACAAGCAAATTAAAGAGCCATGAAAATGTAATGAAAACAAGTTTATGTCAAAGGAATAAATGGTAGCAATTGAAAATAAGCCACCTGTTTCTCATTAAGCAAACAAGTGATGTGGCACATAATTAAGGGGCTGAAAAATGTATTTTGCACCCCAGGATCTTTTATAATACTAGAATTTTAGGCTGCTGAAAGTGATAGCAAGGGAACCATGCACCATTAACAGTCTCTTACAGGATCTTCATTATAGTGAAGAGGAATTCTCAAAAACAAAAGGCATTCATCAGGTGACTGTAGAAAATGCTTCCATTATTTTGGTCCTAGAGATAGCAGAGAAGGAAACCAGTAACAGACACAATTAATAGAGGTTATGTCTTTTCACCAGCAGTCCCCAACCGTTTTGACACCAGGGTCTGGTTTCATGGAAGACAATTTTTCTATGGATGGGGGATGAGGGGAGCGGTGGGGGTGAGATTGGATGTAGAATGGTTTCCGGAGAAAATTGTTCCACTTCAGATCATCAGGCATTAGATTCTCATAAGGAGCATTGCAATTTAGGTCCCTTGCATGTGCAGTTCACCATAGGGTTTGAGCTCTTGTGAGAATGTAATGCCTCTGCTGATCTGATCTGACAGGAGGTGGAGCTCAGGCAGTAATGCTTTGCTACCCAGTGGCTCAGCCCCTGCTGTGCAGCCCAGTTCCTAACAGGCCAAGGACTCTTACCAGTCTGCAGCCTGGGGGCTGGCTACCCCTGTTTTACACCTTTTCTATAGTAGTGGTTCTAACACTTTTGCATGTAATAGAATTACAGGGAAGCCTTGCTCAAATGAATATATCAGTTCCATCCTGATTTCTGGCTCAGTGTGTTTGGTGTAGGGCCACAGATTGCATTTGTAGCACATTCCCAGGGGGTGCTGCGGCTGTTCGTCCAGGAATCACAATGTGGTCACCACTAGCTAGAGAATCCCTAAGGGCAGTGAAAAAAAGTTTTCAGAGATTTTAAAAAACTTTAATGAAAAATAGATATATGAGCATGCATAATCATGCACCTTAAATAATTTCACATAATTAGAAAATTTGATTTGTCTCAAATTTTATGTAGGAGGTACAGAACTTAAGTGAATGTATACCCAACCTGCACATCAGATTGTTGAATTCATTCTTTTAGCCCACAGTGATTTTCATGCAAATACACACATACACAGGCATGCATGCTCTCACACACAGCTATTTGTTGATGTGTATTTAGATAATTCTTTGCAAAAGTTACTTTTCTTTCTAATAAAGTCTATCTGGTATTTTAAGAATGTTGTGAAAGTAAATAACATAATAAAATAATGCATGTGAATATGGAGCACACATGCCCTTATACATCACACAGAAATAAACAGCAACAACAAAAGCCACTGGTGGAAAGATTGGGAGATAATAGCAAGAGAAAAAAGCCGGTGGTTCCTCCTCAATCTTTTGTTCTCCTAAAAAGCAAGAGCAGTGTTTATCATTCACGTAGAACCGTGTCTTCTATTCAAAACACAGTGAAGGAAAACTGCTTCATTTTTACACAGAAAAAAAGTGCCATGGTTTTCATATTTCTGTCCAGTGATGAAGCTAAATGTAATTCACCCAGTCTATAATCTATGCTTCAAAAAATCACTGAGTCTAAAATGACCACCCAATTGCTGGCACTTTAATAAAATAATGGCAGGACATATCCTATGTTGAAAGATAGACAAAGCAGTGCCTTAAAGAGAAGTCATACCTTTGGTAAAAATTAATTCAAACAAAAATTTTCCTAGCAACACACTATTTTCTGGATATTAGTGTGAATAGACGTTAAAGGTACCATAAACTGGTAAAATGATCTGTGAACAGATGCATGAACAAAGAGGAACTATTTTATGCAAATAATAATAAAGGTATTATATCAAAGACATGACCAGAGAGCCACACATGGCAATAGGACAATAAGAGTAAGGCACTAAGAAGATCAGCAGAACTAGAAAAATAAAGTCTGAAATGAATTAAGCAATTTTGTCACATTAGAAACTGTTTCTTCAGGTATTCATATTATCGTTACATGTCTGAAATAGGAGGTACTTGCCAATGTGTTGGAGTTGATATTCTGGTGCCTCAGTGTAGTTGAGCAAGTAGCTCCCCCAAATAACATTGACTGTCCTAAGTGTATGTTTTCTATTATTTATATAAGTAAGTGTGGTTATACAATAATTTATTTAAGGCTTATAGCCCATGCTGTGGATATTACATATAAAAAGTGAAACATAATTCCTGAAAGCTCATGAAAAATAAGATACAATTGTTTCAAGCTAAAGGAAATCATAGTCTAAAGCAGGTGTTGCCAAATTCCTGCAAAGCACAGATGATATTTGATTTCTGGTCTGTTCTTATAGGCCTAAGAGCCAAGAATGTTTCTTATATTTTAATTGGTTGTGGCACAAAAAATTTTAAATGCAACAGAGATATAAGGTAGCTTGCAAAGTTTAATATCTTGATTGCATGGCACATTAATTAAAAAGTTTGCAAACACTTGGCCTGTAGTTATGATTTTTATATTGATTCATTTTTAAATTGACTTATCAGAGTGCAAGGAGAAAACATTTGAACTTTCTATGTATGTGTACATGCACATAATCTTTTCAATATTTTGTACATGTTGTATTATGTGCTTATAATATTTATACCAGCAGACACCATTAAATAAATAAATGTTCACATATTGAATGTGCTGCTTCAACTTCTCTTTTACTAAAGTGGCAGGTGATCTAAAACATTAGTCATATACTGGTCTAGATAAGTTGAACAAAAAAGATTAAATACAAAATTATTTGAAATGGGTGAAGAAATAAATTATGTGCTGATGATAAAATTTAATAAGAGTACAGAGAAGGAGAAGTTATTGAAGCTTTGAGTTGTCATTTGGTGAAGATAGCCATAAAAGTTACAAAGGAAGTTATGGCTTGTGCTGTAAAATACACTTTTTCCATCAACATTGAAGTCTGAAACTGTGTTTTTACTCTTTTGTTTCACTTAGGTGAGTTTAATTAGGAGTTTCAAGAAGAAAAATAAAAAATAAATACAATCTCTTAGATTACCGTTAACATGATTAATATTAATTAATCACTAATTAATGTCTATTGTATCACTTTGTTTTTTGAGATAACATTTTTATATGACTGACATAATCTCTCAGGAGTAATTTTAACTCAGGGACAGTATCTATAAACAGTATTTGCTGGTAAAAATTGATATAAATATTACAGAGAACAATTTAAATCTAAAATCTAAAAAGTGTGCCTATAAATGTTCTTCAATTTACAATGGGATTATGTCTGGATAAATGTACTTTCAACTTGACAATAGTTTCAACAACCCATGGGTTTAGCCAGATATAATCCCATTGTCAGTTGAGGGATATACTGATTGAGTATCACTTTTGCACTATGGTACAGTAAAAAAAATTGTAAGTCAAATCACTGTAAGTCAAGGAGTGCCTATATTTTCAAGATTAAGTAGTTTTCATTTTAGAAATTTGCCCCCCAAAATAAACTCACATATGCACATTACCTTAATTACATTCAAAATTAAGTCTCCTATACCACTAGAGTTCTCACTTTATAGTTTGCTGAGTTCTTCCCTTTCTTTACTATGTACTAATATCAACATCTTAATGCTTACATACTCCATTTTCAATAACTGTTATGTCCTAACACTGCAAAACATGAAAGTTTTTGGAACTCCATTCATTAATAATTTAGTGGAATATTGCAGTTGTTTGAAACAAAGTGCAACAAAAATTTAAATGTATTTCAAGCAGAATAAAACCAAATTGATGACAGAAACAAAGAAATAAATAGTTCTGGTGAATTACTTTTCTTGAATATTCAATATTAGCTCTTCATAAAAAATTGTATTTTGATCACTCTTCCTGGGTATATATCAAGTTTTTTCATTAAAGACTAATAACCCAATTTAAAAATGGGCTATAGACTTGAATAGACATTATAAAAAATACAAATAGCCAATAGGCACATGAAAAAACACAGGAAATAGGTACATGAAAAACCAATCAACATGACTAATCATTAGGGAAATGCAAATGAAAACCACTATGAGATGTCACTTTACACCTGTCAAAGTGGTTATTATTTTTTTAAAAAGAGATACAATTATTGCCAGTGTGACATGGAGAAATCAAAATTCTTGTACAGTGTTGATGGGAATGCAAAATGGTTTAACCACTATGGGAAACAGTTTGGAGTTTCCTTAAAAAATTGAAAATAAAACTACCATATGACCCAGCAACCTCACTCTGACTATTCATCCAAAATTATTGAAATCAGGATCTGGAAGAAATATTAGCACTCCTATGTTCATTGCAGTACTATTCACAATAGCCAAGATGTGAAAACAACCTAAATGTCCCTTCACAGATGAATGAATAAATAAACTGTGGTCTGCATAAATGACGAAATACTGTTCAGCCTTAAAAAAGAAGAAAATTCTACAGGATGAAACAATATGGATAAACCTGGAGGAAATTAAATGAGGTGAGACAGTCACAGAAAAATACTGCATGATTCCACTTATGTGAAATACATAAAATAGTCAAATTCCGAGAGTCAAAGAGTGGAATGGTGGTTACCAGAGGATGGGATGTGGGGGAAAAGAGAGAGTTTCTAATCAGGGGGCATAATATTGAGTCATACAAGATGCATAAGTTCCAAAGATCTGCTATACAACAGTGTACCTATAATAAATAATAATGTACTGTAAGCTTCAAAAATTTTAAGATGGTAAATCTCATGCTAATTGTTCTTACCACAATAAAATAAAATACATATTTTTTTAAATATGCAGTCTTGAAAACAGATTGCATTTTTTGTTGTTGAAATGTTTAAACAATGAATTGAAAAAAGTATTCTTTGTAAAAATTGTTTAAAGAACATGACTATATATACAAATATTTTATTTATGTTAATTTTCAATATTTAGATAATAGATAAGTTATTATTTTAATGGACATGTGGACATGGGCATAAATTATATTAAATTTTCATAAAATTTATTTTTGCAAATGAGTTTTCAAATAGAAATATTTTGTCCAAATTTTTTATCAGAAATTAATATTTCAAAGCATTTAAAGATTAAATTGCATTGCCATTTAAGGTTCTGGAAAATTAAGAAAAAAAAAGATTATTAAC
The DNA here is from genome assembly GCF_000001405.40 of Homo sapiens. NCBI lineage: Eukaryota > Metazoa > Chordata > Mammalia > Primates > Hominidae > Homo > Homo sapiens. The sequence goes on along the minus strand of NC_000001.11, from coordinate 191,917,004 downwards.
AAAATGTATCAACAGAAATGATGGAGACAAGCCATCGGATATACGTTTTGCTCCTAATGTTTTTAAGTGCCTTTTAAAATGTACACATGCACATACGTACACGTGAACATACCAAAATCTATATATGAGGCTGGTGGAACATCAAAATGACAATATAATTTAACTATGAGTGCCAGGAGTATACCTGCTTTTATTTTCTCCCTTGAACTTTTCTATATTTGACATTTTTAAAAATAGTCAATATCTATTACCTTTCATAGCTGACAAAAAATTGATTAATATATGTGAGTCTTTTAACAGTTTGAGAGGTGGTACATTGGTTTGAAGATTCTGGAGCCAGACTGTGTGGATTTAAACTCCAGTTGTCCCTCTTAACACCTAAGTGACCTTACACTAGTTACCCAAACTCTCTAGACCCTAGTATTCTGACCTGTAAAAATGGAGATAGCGTTAATAGTTATCTCACAGTAATGTTATATGAAAATTAAAGTTAGTGTTTATGGTATGTTTAGAATTGTATCTTATATAAAGAAAACAATGAAATTAGCTATATATTATTACTCTTGTTATTACCCCAAATCAGAAACTAATTATTTAACATGTTTTAATCTTATTAAATTTCAAATTTTCTTATTAAATTTTTCATTTTATTTTAAGTAATTTATATTCTTTATGCCAGTGAATGTTACTTTTACTTTATATTGAAATAATTTAAAAAACTATTCATATTTACTAACACAAAATTTTGGAGAAAATGTACAGCTTTGATTTGTCCTAAGTATGCATCATTAATACCAGTATTTTATTTTCATATGGTTCTTTCTGTATTTATTAAGATTGAGTGATTAGTTTTACAGATATATAGCAATATTTCTAACTAGATTATTTCTAACCCTTTGCCTTAGAGTCTTTCCTTTTATGTGTACTTCATGATTGTATATATTTTCTAGGAGTAGCAATTAGAATAAAACAAAGTATTCAGGTTTAGATGAGCGATTTTTTTGTTTATTAATAAAGTATTAAAATAGTCTCCTTAACCTCAATATCTTTTTGGTTGTTGTGACATAATAAGTCTAATTTCAGATATAAATTTTTTCTTTATATCCACATCTATGTTTAGATCCTGGTGCATTAGATTGGACAATGCATATATTCACAGTTAGCCAATATCTTTTGAGAATGATCCTATAACATTTTCATAGTTTCTCAACTTGTATTTCTTGCCTTTCCAAGGTAAGACTGAATTAAAATAGCACCAAATCAAACCAACCAGCAAAGAAAATGAATTCCAATTTCTTGAAATCCTTGCAGTTATATGCAAGGACACAGGCCACCAAACTATGGCCTGAGGCCTGTTTTCGCATGGCCAGTATATTAGTTTCCTAGGGCTGCTATAATGTACCAAAAGCTGAGTACCTTAAAAGAAAAGAAATTTACTGTCTTTTAGAGGCTACAGATCAAAGTGTTGTCAGGGCCATGCACCTCCTGAAACCTAGAGGGCCAGTCTTCTTTGCCTCTTCCTAGCTTCCATTAGTTTACCAGAAATCTTTGTCTATCCAGCTTGCAGCTGTTGAACTCCAGTCTCTGCTTTTTTCTTCACATGATGTTCTTCCCGTGTGTTTCTGTCTTTAGAAAGCCATCTTCTTAAAGGGACACCAGTCATAATGGACTAGGAGCTAAACGTACTCTACTATGACCTTATTTTAACTTAGATAATCACATCTAAAATGACCCTATTTTCAAATAAGCTCTCAATCTGAAGTACTGGGGTTTAGGACTTCACTTTTGTTTTTTAAATTTTTTGAGACACAATTCAACCCATAACAACCAGCAATGAAAGAAGAGTTTTTACATTGTTAAGGTTGTAAACATATTTATTTCCCTATGTCATATCATATACACTTTGCACTGAATTCTATCTGCTTACTAAACACACTCTACACCAGAATTAATCATCAGCAGCTTGCATTCTTGTTTCTACGTACATTTGCAGTAATTGGTGCTGTTGGTGCCATATACAAACTGATCACCTCTGATCATGCTTTCTCCTCAGTGTGCTTTGATTCTCTTTGTTCAGTCTATCTGAAATGTCATCCCCTCATTGCCATTTCTCAGAATTATAACATATTCACTGTTAATACCTAGTTTATTCAGTTTGCACTTTCCTAATTGCCACTAGAATAAAATAATTATTCCCTAAAAATTACATGCATTGATTATTTGCATTGCTTATTGTATATATTTAATGTTTTATACTGTTATTACTTGAACAGGACTTACTATACATCCACATTTACATTCTAAAGTGCCTAACACAATAGTATAACAATTTTCCAAAAATATTTTATTGATGATTTATTGAATGACTTAAGCAAAATACTGAATTGAATTATCCAAATAATTGTTTCCTTTCACTATATCGCTTGACATGAGTACATAGTAGGTAGGTAAATATAAAACAAATAATTAGTGCAAAGGTTCAGATGTTAGAAACCACTAAGTGTTTATAGGCCAACAAAAATCTGTTTGAAAAACTGATGATAACAGCTATTTAACCTTATTGTATCTTTTTCAAAAACATATTTATTTCTATAATTTATAGTTATTGCAATTTGCTAATGTAAGACTTTCTATATGATGCTGGAATTGATTTATTTAAGGGCTAAATGGACAATACTTTAAAAAATTCATTTTCTGTAAGAAATATAAAATTCTACATATATAAAAAACAATAGTAATAAAAAGGATAGGTATTAAAATTATACCCAAATTCTATCATGGCAAAACCACAGTTTCAAATAATTATTAATTCCATAAGCAGAAAATATGACTTCTAACCTCTTTTTGAAAATAAAAACAATTAGTAATTTATTATTTATTGCAGTTATAACTGTACTGCTGAATAGAATTTAAGATAAAATTTGTAACAGTGCTCATAAGGATTAACAATTTAGTTTTCCTTGAACACCATTGTGTCCTCTTCCTATCTGTACTTGCAATGTTAGCCAATCTAAACCATTCTTTATTAAATCTAAGGTAGCTAAACCCATAGAATCTCTCTAAAGGAAGCTACTTACATTTCACAAGCAAAGAAATCCATTTTCAGGATGTTTCTGTATTATGACAGCAAGATTAGTTCAAAAATGAAAAATTCAGACAATCAAGCAGCTGTTTCATATACAAAATGCCAAACATCTGCTTCTCCTGAATTTTTTTCTCACTGATTTGATTGAAACAGCAGGGTTGATTGTGTTGTGCAAATATAGCCTCAGAACAGGAAAATTAAGGAGTAAAAATCTTGACTTTATTGTAGACTTCTTAAAAATCCTGAATTCAGAGACTCTGAGGTTATAGTGTCAGCTACTTGAACAGCCTGCCTTCTATTATATTCTTAGCCAATTCAGTAAGATGTTTACCAAAGAACTCTGGAACTGAAACATAATTTTAATTAGCATAGTCATTAGCATTTTTGTTCCCCAGTGACCTTCAATACATGATTTCCCAAGTCTAGACAAATGTACTAAGGACTGCTCAGATGTTCATTACAATCCCAGTTCCACATATAAACCAGTTATATGCCTCAAGAGATGACCATTTACTAGATAAATATTTGCACATTATAGTGAATGGCATAGAACCCTATCTCATATCTTTCATATGAATGTGAAATATAATCTGAGTTCCAGTCAAATGAGTTGTGCTTATTCACATTTCTGAAAACATGCTGTTTTTACCACCTGCTATGCTTTGCTTCCATAGCTTACCACAACATTTGAAAGAAGTTGGAAATCATTAAAATAATAATTGGTATGTTCATAACAAATATCAGTAGCCAGTCAGCTATCAACAAGAAGGCTGTCATGGGATGATAGAGTGGAAAAACATCAAACAGAAAGGAAAAGAATAGAAGAATGTCAGAGGCAAATGAGAAGTAATACAGAGAATAATCTCATACCAAAATCAAGACCAAGCTTCAGTGGAAATAGCAGAATGATGTCCTATGAAAAAATGAGAGTTATTGATATGGTTTGGCTCTTTGTTCAGCATGGGGGCAGTTTTCCCCCATGCTGTTCTTGGAATGGTGAGCAAGTTCTCATGAGATCTCATGATTTAAAAATGGCAACCCCCACCCCCCATACACTCTCTCTCTCCTGCCACCATGTAAGACCTGTCTTGCTTCCCCTTTGCATTCTACCATGATTGTAAGTGTCCTGAGGTTTCCCCAGCCCTGTGGAACTATGAGTCGATTAAGCCTTTTTGTTTATAAATTACCCAGTTTCAGGTAGTTATTTATAGCAGTGTGAAAATGGGCTAATACAGAAAATTGGTATGGGTGTGGCTGGCCAGGTTTCATTAGTGCAGGCCCCCATTACTACTGTTTCAGTACTGACTAAGTAGCTAGGTTAAATATTAAAAGCTGATAGAGCCAGTGCCCTCATACAAAGGTTGGAATGTAACAAAAGTCCACCAAGAGTTTTGCCTAGGCCTTTCCTTGACCTTGAAGCATGACAAAATAAAGAAGAAATTCTTAACAAGACCCATTTAGGATTGAACAAGTTTTATTGGGGGTATGAAGAAACTCTCCAAAACTCCATGATTTAGCAGGAGACAAGATAAGGGTAATCATCTGAGCACCTGGACCCATTTTGATTAAATAAATTTACTGAGGTCCAGAGGAAGGTGTTGGTACTCAGATCTTAGTTATAGATTTGAAGAAGTTAACCACTTATGTCTTCAGATGAATGCACACTTACACATAGACATTGAACTTAGAAGGTATATAAGCTTTGGAAAACTATGTAATTTGAGTTGGTCCGGCAAGAGTTTCTAGGCCTTCTCCCTGTAACAGATTACAAAAATAAAAACGCTCTTCTCTCCCAGTTCATCTGCATCTTGTTATTAGGCCAGGAGAATAAGCAGCCCAAACCTCAGTTTGGTCCCAGAACACCGGTAGAGTGGGGCACTGCTATAAAGATACCTAGAAAAGTGGAAGTGACTTTGTAAACGGGTAACAGGCAGAGGTTGGAAAAGTTTAGAGGGCTCAGAAAAATGACAGGAAGATGTGGGAAAAGTTAGAACTTCCTAAAGATTTGTTGAGTGGTTTTGACCAAAATGCTGATAGTGATATGGACAATGAAGTCTAGGCTGAAGTGGTCTCAGATGTAGATGAGGAACTTATTGGGGACTTGAGCAAAGGTCACTCTTGCTATGCTTTAACAGAGATACGGGCAGCATTTTGCCACTGCTGTAGAGATCTGTGGGACTTTAAACTTAAGAGAGATGATTTAGGGTATCCGGCAGAGGAAATATCTAAGCAGCAAAGCATTCAAGATGTGGCCTGGCTTTTTCTAAAAGTGTACAGTCAAATGCATTCATAAACAGAAGATCTGAAATTGGAACTTATGTTTCAAAGGAAAGCAGAACATACATTTTGGAAAATTTGCAGCGTGACCATGCAGTAGAAAAGATAAACCCATTTTCTGGGGAGGAATTAAAGCAGGCTGCAGAAATTTTCATAAGCATCAAGGAGTCGAATGTTAATAGCCAAGACAATGGAGACAACGTCTCCATGGCATTTCAGAAATCTTCACTGTAGCCTATCTGATATGGTGTGGCTGTGTCCCCACCCAAATCTCATCTCCAATTGTTATCTTCATAATTCCCACAAGTTGAGGGAGGGACCTGGTGGGAGGTGACTGGATCCTGGGGGGTGGTTTCCCTCATGCTATTTTCATGATAGTGAGTGAGTTCTCACAAGATCTGATGGTTTTATAAATGGCAGTTTCCCCTGGGCTTTTTGCTCTCTCTCACCTACTGCCATGTAATACATGCATGCTTCCCCTTCCACCATACTTCTAAGTTTCCTGAGGCCTCCCCAGGCATGCAGAACTGTAAGTCAATTAAACCTCTTTTCTTTATAAATTACCTAGTTTCAGGCAGTTCTTTATAGCAGTGTGAGAATGGACTAACACATGGTAAATTAGTACCAGTAGAGTGGAGTACTGCTATATAAATATCCAAAAATGTGGAAGCAACTTGGGAACTGGGTAACAAGCAGAGGTTGGAAGAATCTGGAGTTTGGAGGACCCAAAAGAAGATAGGAAGATGTGGGAAAGTTTGGAACTTCCTAGAGACTTGCTGAATGGTTTTGACCAAAATGCTGACAGTGATATGGACAATGAAGTCCAGGCTAAGGTGGTCTCAGATGGAAATGAGGAGATTATTTGGAACTGGAGAAAAGGTCACTTTTGCTATGTTTTAGCAAAGAGACTGGCAGCATTTTGCCCCTGCCCTAGAGATCTGTGAAACTTTGAACTTGAAAGAGATGATCTGAAATTGGAACTTATGTTTAAAAGGGAAGCAGAGCATAGACGTTTGAAAAATTTGCAGCCTGATGATGTGATAGAAAAGGAAAACCCATTTTCTGGACAGAAATTCAGGCTGGCTACAGAAATTTGCATAAGTAATGAAGAGCTAAATGTTAATCACCACGACAATAAGGAAAATGTCTCCAGGGCATGTCAGAGATCTTGGCAGCTGCCCCTCCCATGACAGACTCAGAGGTTAGGAGGGAAAAATGGTTTCCTGGGCCAGGCCCAGAACACTAGTGCTCTGTATTGCCTTGGAATAGGGTGCACTGTGTCTCAGCCATGGCTAAAAGGGGCCAAGGTACAGCTTGTACAGAAGTCAAGAATTGAGGTTTGGGAACCTCCACCTAGATTTCAGAGGATGTATGGAAATGCCTGAATTTTCAGGCAGAAGTCTGCTGCAGAGGCTGTGCCCTCATGGAGAACCTCTTCTAGAGCAGTATGGAAGGAAAATGTGGGGTGTTACCCCACACAGAGTCCCCACTGGACACTGGCTAGTGGAGCTGCGAGAAGAGGGCCACCATTCTCCAGACCCCAGAATGGTAGATCCACTGACAGCTTGCACCATGTACCTGAAAAGTTGCAGATGGTCAAGGTCAGCCCATGAAAGCAGCTGGGAGGGAAGTTGTACCCTGCAAAGGCACAAGGGCAGAGCAGCCCAAGGCCTTGGGAGCCCCCCATTTGCATCAGAATGTCCTGAATGTGAGACATGGAGTTAAAGATGATAATTTTGGAGCTTTAAGATGTAATGACTGCCTGTTGGATTTTGAACTTGAATGGGGGCTGTAGCCCCTTTGTTTTGGCCAATTTCTCCCATTGTAATGGGGACATTTATCCAATACCTGCACTTCCATTGTATCTTGGAAGTATCTAAATTGCCTTTGATTTGACAGGCTCATAGGCAGAAGGGACTTGCCTTGTCTCAGATGAAACTTTGGATTTGGATTTTAGGTTAATTCTGATATGACTTAAGACTGGGGGACTGTTGGGAAGGCATGATTGGTTTTGAAAAGTGAGGACATAAGATTTGGGAGAGCTTGGGGAGGAATAATATGGTTTGGCTGAATCCCCACCCAAATCCCAATTTGTAATTGTAATGCCCTTAATCCCCATGTTTCGAGTGAGGGACCTGGTGGGAGGTGATTGAATGATGGCAGCAGTTTTCCCCATGCTGTTCTTGTGATAGTGAGGGAGTTCTCACAAGATCTGATGGTTTTATAAATGGCAGTTCCCCCTGGGCTTTTTGTTCTCTCTCACCTGCCACCATGTGAGAAGTATCTGCTTCTCCTTCTGCCATAATTGCAAATTTCCTGAGGACTCCCCAGTCATGCAGAACTCTGTGTCAATTAAACCTCTTTTTTAAAAAATAAATTATCTAGTCTCAATAGTTCTTTATAGTACTGTAAGACTGAACTAATACACTGTTCCATCACAGGCCCAAAGACCTAGGAGGGAAAAATGTTTTCATGGGCTGGGCTCAGGGCCCTGCTGCTCTGTGCAGCTTGGGGACAGGGTGCCCTTTGTCTTAGCCACTCCAGCTCCAGCTGTGGCTATAAAGAGCCAAGGTACAGCTTTAGCCATTGCTTCAGAGGTTGCAAGCCCCAAGCCTTGGTAGCTTCCATGTGGTGTTGGGCCTGCAGGTGTGCAGAACACAAGAGATGAGCTTTGGGAGCCTCCACCTAAATTGCAGAGGATGTATGGAAAGGCCTGGATGTCCAGGCAGAAGTCTGTTGCAGGGATGAAGCCGTTATGGAGAACCTAGTGCAATGCAGAAGAGAAAAGTTGGGTTGGAGCTCCCAACACAGAGCATCCACTGGGCCACTGCCTAGTGGATCTGTGAGAAGAGGGCCACCATCCTGCAGACCCCAGAATGGTAGATCCACCATGGCTTGCACAGTGATACTGGAAAAGTCACAAACATTCAACAACAGCCCATGAAAGCAGGTGCAGGGATTGTACCCTGTAGAACCACAAAAGCAGAGCTGCCCCAGGCCTTGGGAGCCCACCTCTTGCATCAGCAAGTCCTGGGTTTTAGACATGAGGTCAAAGGAGATTTTTTTGATGTTTTGGATTTAATAACTGCCCTGTAGGTTTTCCGACTTGTATGGGGCCTGTAGCCCATTTGTTTTGACCAATTTCTCCCTTTTGGAACAGGAGCATTACTCAATGCCTGTACACCCATTGTACCTTAGAAGTAACTAACATACTTTTGATTTTAGAGGCTCACAGGTGGAAGGGCCTTCCCTTGTTTCAAGTGAGACTTTCGACTTGGACTTTTGGTTTAATGCTGAAATTAGTTAAGACTTTGCGGGACTGTTGGGAAGGCATAATTGTGTTTTGAAATGTGAGCATTATATCTGATTTGGGAGGAGCTGGGGCAGAATAACATGGTTTGGCTCTGTGTCCTCAACCAAATCTCATCTTGAATTGTAAACTCCATGTGTCCTGGGAGGAAACTGGTGGGAGGTGATTAGATTATGGGGGTGGTTTCCCCCATGCTGTTCTCACAATAGTGAGTGAGTTTTCATGTGATCTGATGGTTAAAAAGTGTTTTTCAGTTCCCCCCTTGCTCTCTCTCTCCTGCTGCCATGTAAGACATGCCTTGTTTCCCCTTCTCCTTCCACCATGATTGTTAGTTTCCCGAGGCCTCCTCAGCCATGCAGAACTGTGAGTCAGTTAATCCTCTTTTGTTTACAAATCTCCTAGTCTCAGGTAGTTTTTTCAGCAATGCAAAAACAGACTAATGTAGTTATTCAAACATTTTGTCTACACAGTAAAGATTCTAAACTGTTTATTTCTCACAAGTCTTATGCGTATGTGTGTGTGTGTATTTCTCTACTAAACCTGCACTGAAAGAGGAAAACATTATTAAAGTCATATAGCAATTGAAGACATGACCTTCAGCAAGTAATATTCATAATTAACAAATATTACAATTATATTTTGTTAATCAAGATGGAGAAAAACTAAAAAAAAAACCTTAAACTATAAATATGGAAAGAAGAAACAAAGAAAGAAGAAAGAAAGAGAGAGAAAGAGAGAAAGAAAGAAAGGAAGGAAGGAAGGAAAGAAAGAAAGAAAGAGAAAGAAAGAAAGAAAGAAAGAAAGAAAGAAAGAAAGAAAGAAAGAAAGAAAGAAAGAAAGAAAAGAAAGAAGCAGAAAAGGAAATTTAATTACAGGTGCCTTTTCAGTGCTTCCCATACTTTAGAATAAATTTCTTCTAGTTTTCCAGCTGTGAAGGCAGCCATTGTTCTCAGGGGAGCTAATTATACTAAGAAGCTCGCCTTCCTGGTGGGCTCTAATAAGCACAGTTCATTGCAGAACTTTACCAGTGTGTGTCAAAGACCCACAACTGTGTGAGGCTGATGCTAGGGGCATGCCATACGAAGCTCTGTAATTTAGTTGCAGTAAACACACACTCCATTACTAGGACACTGGTGGAATAGTACAGGAGCCTCAAGAATGAGAAGTTATGATTTCATTAATGCTGAACTGTAGGGGTCAAAGAACTAATGAAAGGGCTAAAGGGATAACGATCCCACCTATGATAAACACTATTTACCATGTAGTCTTGAGCAGACTTCTATGTTAGCAGGAGTCACATGGAGGGGACTGTGTTAGCCATCTGCTCACTGTGCTAGTTGCCATTTTTTCCTGCTTGCTTAGATACCATAAACAGTGACCTAAAGGCAATGAAAAGGCAAACAGTAGTGTGCTGGGTGGGACTTACAAAAAAAACTTAAACATAGGAACATATAAACAAGTCTGCCTATAATTTTGCAATCAGAGCTTTATAAAAACAATGCTTATTTTATTTTACCCATCAATTTCTAAATGTTTGCCTGATAAGTTTATTTCTCAAACATGTAGTTATGGAACATAGGTTTAGACTTCATGGAATATAATTTTGAACATAACTAAAACAATAACTAATAAAGATATTTATGTGAATGTTATGAGAGAATTTCAAATATCTCCAATGAAACACAACTGCTATCAGTGGACATACCCAAATTGGCAACCTATGATTTTGCTATAACCTTATAAACTCTTTTTTTATATTGTGAAGTTATATTTTGATTATTTTAGTATTTAAAACAAAGTATTTTAGTATTTAAAACTAACGAGTGTTAGTGAGTATGGAAAAATGGTACTTATTTTACTGTTACCATAATAAGAAAACTTTTAAAGAATTCCTGAATATCTAATTCTTTTTTCATAGTGCCTCATGCTTCCTTCTTTCTTGACTCCCTCTGAAAGACTGTAAAAAAACAACCTATCTGCAGACAAATTTGATGCCCTATAATGTAATATTATTAAAAAATACAGTTCTCTCTATATTACTTTAATGTCAAATAATGGAATTAGAAGATAACTATCCAAAACTTTATAACCATTATAATTTATGTCTAAGTCCCTGAAATTTCTTTTAGATAACAAGTTTTGCTGTGCTTAGCTGTGGATATATAGAAGATTGCTACCTTGGTTGTACTGAAACATCCATGCTCCATGGGATGATTCTCTGAAATTTTCCACTGGCAATTCCATGAGTGAGCTTCATAATGACCTGTGGAAACAGCCTGGTTTTCAACACATCCCTGTTGCTTCAATTGAACAAAGTTGGCCAGCTGTAACAAATAGCACAGCAGTTTTCTTTTTCAGTGTCCAATTCAAATCCATTTCATCCCACTTGGGAGGAAATTGCGATTTAGTCTTAAGATTTATGACATGAAAGCAGATGTACTACTCAAAGTTTATGGAATTAACAACAACAAAAATATCTGCACTATGTTTATAGAATAAAATTAACCCTTTATGAAATGAAAGCAATTTTCTTATGGAATACCCTGGTATAAAAGCAACAATAACAAATACATGAAAGTTACTGTTTTAGGGAAATAAAAACAAATTCATAGTGGAATATAGTTTAAAAAACACAGATGCACACGCTTGTGTAAAAAACAAGCAACCAATAAATAAATTCGGTTTCCTGATATTGAAATGCTATTATCAAAAGACAAAATTACAACAAATTTAATTTAAAGATCCTAATTAGCTTTATTTGCGATTCTAGAATCAGGCAACACTTTATTCTACAAAGCAGAATGAGCTTTCCAATGTTCTGAGCAGAGGAGTTTGGTTTTATAGATAAAGGTGGGCTGGAGAAAGCAGAAACAAAGAACAAAAAGTGAATTGTTCATTTTAGAGTTACTTTCTTTGTAAGATGGGAACAGGGAGACAGAACAATAGAGAAATAATTGGTTGTTGGCACCAGGTTACTTCCTGTTACTTTTTTATAAGAATTAAAAACAGAGGAAACTCTATTTAAACAGGTCAACTGAAACTAGACTGGGAATTTGACTATTGTCTCTCATTCTGATTACCTGGAAGGTCAGATAAACAGCTCAGTTTTGGCTTGATGATGTGGAACTTTAGCAAGAATGACTCCATTTTAGTTTGGTCAGTTTGGCCTAGTGCAGGAGATTTGACCAAACCAATGGCTTCCTATAAATATTGTTTAACCTGTAAAAATTCTGACTATGTAGAACTACTTATAATACACAAATATCATGAACAGTTATACTACAAAATGTCATCAGTATTTTCAAAAATGTCAAAATAAATGTAAAGCTTTGAAATTAACTGGTATTTATTAGTACAGTGACTATAGTCACATAATTTTATTATCTATTGATATTCATCCTGTAGAAGTTTTATAAAACACACAAACATACAAGCATACATCTTATTTTATATTATGTTCAGCCATTTATGGTTTTTTTTTTCCAGTTCAAACGACTCAAATGAATTATTGGGAAGTGAACTGAACAAGGCATATGTAAATTTAAGTTCTAAACATGACCTGCATTCTTTCATTACTATTGCCATGACTGTGATAGTTTTCATATTTACATAAACTGTCTTTGGTAATTACATAGATAAAAGTCTACCAAGACAAGTTAATATTTTAAGTATATATGTGTGTGTGTGTGTGTATACATACATAATACATGTATACATGTTTGTGTCTATTTATTAGAACTGTGAAGAAACACCATAAAAGTATTTGAAGACCATAAAGTCAAATGTGAGAAAACACAGGAAAGAATTTTCTTATTCTTACAATGTTTTGCAGACCTCATTTACCTATGCTGAAAAATTCCACCTGACCCAAAATATAATGCCAACTTACAGAGAAAAAAAATATTGAAATCTTTTTCTAGGAGACAGTTGAAGTCCCTTCAGTTATGACTCATGTCAACTAGTATTGTGTTTTTCTGATTTCTGCATCCCAAAATGACTGACATTTGTGGTTTTATTCCCCAAATCATTGTTCCCTGTCCTCAGAGTAGCTCTGTGCCCTAAAACCCCAGAAAACTGTTTCCCTTCTTAGGGTTCAAAGTCCATTTTTCCTGCTGCACATCAGTTAAGAAAGAGAAAATCTCTGTTTCTTTTAATCATTGGATTTAGTTCAACAGACGTGAGGAGAAAGGAAATGAAGAGGCTGTAGGGCAGGAGAGAAAGAGGTGATGCGATCTATCATAATAATTTCTCATGGCCCTGAGCATGAAAATTAGAAAAATGTTAAGTATTTTTGAAAATAAGACAAAAATAAAGGAAAGGAACATAACTTGTCATGGATTAGCTTCAGTGCTAGGTACTTTATATGTTTATCTTTAATCTTCACACTGTGGAATAACTAATGTCTATATACATTTTTTTTTTTTGAGACGGAGTCTCGTTCTGTCACCCAGGCTGGTGTGCAGTGGCGCAATCTTGGCTCACTGCAAGCTCCGCCTCCCGGGTTCAAGTAATTCTCCTGATTCAGCCTCCCGAGTAGCTGGGACCACAGGTGCCCGCAACCATGCCTGGCTACTTTTTTTTTGTATTTTTAGTAGCGACGGGGTTTCACCGTGTTAGCCAGGATGGTCTCCATCTCCAGCCCTCGTGATCCTCCCGTCTCAACTTCCCAAAGTGCTGGGATTACAGGCGTGAGCCACTGCACCCGGCCTATATGCATTTTACAAATAAGAAAACTATAGTATACATTGTAATCAGTATTTATACCCTTGAATAGCATAATATAAGGTTTTGTTTGTTTGGTTGGTTGGATTTTGAGACAGGATCTCACTCTGTTGCTGAGATCTCCCCAGTAGCTAGGATGACAAGCATGTGGCACCACATCTGGCTAATGTTTGTTTGTTAAAAAATATTTTATACAGATGGGGCCTCACTATGTTGCCCAGGCTGGACTTAAATTCCTGGTCTCAAATGATCCTCCTGCCTCATCTTCATAAACTGTTGGGACTACAGGCATGAAGTCCCATGATCAGCCTAGTATGAGATATTTAAAGTAATCTGAGGTGGCAAAATGACACCAACTAAGTGGAGATTGGTGCCATTCCCAATACACCTATAAAAATGCTCAATATATACAGATTGGTAGTATGTCTACCAACATTCTAAGGTTCGATAAACATATAACATTTAATGATTTCAATTAGACATATTGTATTAGCTAAGAATGAGTTGAGTAAAATCTTATTGGAGAATTTATTTCTTTGTATTTTTAAACAGTATTTCTATCGGGGATATCATAGCAGGAAAGGGTTTGTGTTTAAATTTTCATCATTTTTTCTTTTTCAGTTTTAAATAATTGTGTAAGTTTTGATGAGTGTTATTAGATAATCTGGCAGAAAACAGAAGATATTTTCTTTTTTGCTTCAGTTGCAGTATAAAGTTCCCTAACATCCTGTTCTATTTCAGAGGCTTCTGAAAGCTAAAGCAAAATGCTCTTCTTACTGCTCCCAGAAGAAAAAAAATAAAGAAACAATGATGGTTATTTTTAAATTCATCTTACGAAGTGGGCAGACCATGATTAGTTCTATAACCTGCCAGCCTCTTCCTCTGGGAGGGAACTATACACTGGTTGACCTTAAGATTGATTGTTAAGATCATTGGATTAAAAGAGAACTAGGCCGGGCATGATGGCTCACAACTGTAATCCCAGCACTTGGGGAGGCTGAGGTGGGTGGATCACGAGGTCAAGAAATCGAGACCATTCTGGCCTACATGGTGAAACCCTGTGTCTCCTAAAAATACAAAAATTAGCTGGATGTGTGGTGGCGTGCCCCTGTAGTCCCAGCTACTCAGGAGGTTGAAGCAGGAGAATTGCTTGAATCTGGGAGGCGCAAGTTGCAGTGAGTCAAGATCACACCACTGAAACAAAGAAAAGAGAACTAAAATGTGAGGAATATTGTATTTATTTGAGCAGGGACAGGCACTTTCTCTCCTCTAACTTGTATATTGTCCTAATTTGTAAAGGATCATGAAGAACATCTTTTAGCCTTTCTTTCCACTCTCTTTACATACCTCATGGAAGATGTTAAAGCTACAAGTTTATTAAGCTGTGTATTGCTGGAGGGTCGCCTTGCTTCCTTGAGAGATACTGTTCATCCATGGTGTACACTCTGCTTGGACTGAAGCTGACAGAGAGAGAGGGACTGACCATTCTTTTGGTCCTACTAACACAGGATTGTTTGTTCCTTAGCTCAGCTAATCCAGGTTCTTGTCTCACAACTATGGAGAATTAGGCACCCAGACACATTGGAGGGTGAGGAAGGTGGAATTAATTAAGCAAAAGGAGAACTCTCAATAAAGAAAGGGGGTCCTACAAGCAGGTTTCCACCTCACGAATTGAATACCAGGGCCACTACACATGAGCTGGAGCCCAGGCTCCCCTGCTACATAAGGCACGAATTCCAGGTGGCTCCACCCCATTCCCCAAATGCGTACATGGGCATGCCCAGGCAAGCCGTAGGTAGTTTCGGAAAATGCAACATTCCTTTGGTTAAAAGGTATTATTCAGAAAGAATCCATTGGGAAAGGTGGGCAAACAGGGGTAGAAGTTTTCCCTCTGGGTTGTGGGTTTCATCTGGGACCAGCAGCGCGGTCTTTCAGCCTTCAAGCTGTTTTAGGGTTGAAGGTGAGGTTTCACTGGGGACTCTTTCCTATCTGCTGAGGGCATTTGTCTGCCTCCTGCCTTTATCATTATCTCTGATGGCCATGCTTGGGAAAAGTGTGACAAATTTAGAGAAAAAAAATAAAATAAAGAGGCAAATCTTATAGTGGCCTCCATACACCACATATCATCTTATTTCCTAGGAGAATTTCTAATTCCAAATTGCATTCTTGTTCAGTATCCAGTACAAAATATTTACCTATAATTATTTCTCCACTTGACTGGAGGTGTTTATGTGTCGTATCTCATCAGCAAGGAATTCAAGATGGGTGTGAGCTGATCAGGACCAATTAACATGGGAATTGTCCAAGGTTTCCATCTGGATACCTTGGAGAATAGCATTATAAAAGAGAAACAGTGATGACAAGAAGACAACCTCATTTGGCAGTAAGAAGAGGAGTAAACGTAGATAAGTTATATTTTGGATCTGCATAACTTTCAGATCTTCTTGCCACACTGACGGATTTATTGCACAAGTATTGGGTATAAGAAATTGGGCAAGTAAGGAACATTACACTTCAAAATTCTGATGGAAGGGGTTATAGAAAGTCTGGCGTAAAAGAGAATTAAGGGAAGCCTTTCATCTTCTATTCCTTTCCATTAATATTTAAGAGTATACTTTCACAAACATGGCTAGCAAAGCTGAATATATAACATTGAAAAAATAATTTAATTACAAGACACTCATATGCTAGTGAGGAGAGGCAGATGAAGAAATAAAATTTACTAATTAGTGATAATGAGTAATACAACAATAATAGAGCCGGTTAAAGCAGGGAAAGAGAGATGAAGAATGGTATTTTATGTGGGGATACAATGGTCTCTTATGCTAAGGAGAATTTGGAAAAGTTTGGGGCCAGGTGTGGTGGCCCATGCCTGTAATCCCAGCACTTTGGGAGGCAGAGGCAGGCAGATTACTTGAGGCCAGGAGTTCAAGACCAGCCTGGCCAACATGGTGAAACCCTCATCTCTACTAAAAATACAAAAAAATTAGCCGAGCATGGTGGTGCACACCTGTAATCCCAGCTACTTGGGTGGCTGAGGCATGAGAGTTGCTTGAAGTGAGGAGGCAGAGGTTGCAGTGAGACGCGATTGCACCATTGCACTTCAACCTGGTGACAAAGCCAGGTTCTGTCTCAAAAAAAAAAAAAGTTTGGAAGGAAGTGAATGCGGGAGTTATGAGGATATATGGGGAAAAATTCATGCAGAAGGGATGATAAGAACACAGAACTGGAGGTGAGAATTACTGAAGAATATTCCTTTAAGGCAATTGAAAATATGAATTTTGAATTTAGAAGAGTAAACAAAGAATAACACATATATTTAACATCAGGACACCCCAGAAAGTATATCGTTAATTCATATTAATTAATTAAACATATCCTGTTTGCTGGATCTATGAGAGTCATCACTTTGTATAGGAGAATACAAGAATTAATAAGACTCAGTCTATAGTTTCAACATGGGAGAGAGATTACTGAATAGATCAATGTTATGCTCTACAATAGAGAGTACTAATAACAATGTTAGATATATTGATGGCAGAAGTTTTGAGACAATTGAGGGGTAACTGACTGGAACAGGCACGGGCCAGGGAGGCCTCCTGGTGAAGATCTTAAAGAATAAGTACAAATAGATTTAATAGAGGCTAGGACATGAGAGGCAAATGGCAGGGCATTTTCACAAATCTTATCCCAATTTAGTTCTACTAGAGAGATAACTGGGAAACAGAATGTCATAACATGAAACTTGAGGAACAGATACTGTCTAGATGATGGGCAATCTTGTAGGACGAAAACATCTATTTCACCCAGCAGGTAAACTGGGATCCTTTAAGAAGTTTTAAAGAAGTTGGAACACCATCTGGTTTGCAATTTTACAGGAGCAGTGCAGTTAAATGGAATATTGTTTTAAAAGAAATAGATTGGAATCAAAGGGATTACTAATGATGCTATTGTGTGGGCGTGGGCTAGAAATTATGAGGGCATTCATTTGTGTAGTCAAAGTAGACTTAGAAAGGGGGACAGCATTACCTGAAAAAGAGAATATGAGATCTTAGTTATTCATTTACTTTATATAAGTACAATGCCTCCTGGTGGTCCAAGAACTAAACAAGGAACTTGAGTAAATATTGGTAAATAAAATAGAAATTTCCTACTTGTGTGGAGAATAAAAACAAATGGGAGAAATAGAAAAAGTATATGCTCTTCTGTAGGAAATGTAGTTTTATTTTTAAATGCTTTTAGTTAATGTGTGATTGGCATACAATTAAATAATAACAATATAATTAATATGTAGTCTTATTGGTCCATACATAGCCCATCCCCCACTGCCATACCAATGTTTAGAGGTGAGCAAGGTGAGCTTTCTCACCATCTAAGGGAAAGCCTGAAGAAAAAGCTTAAGCTACTGTAGAAGCTCTTTTCCTAGATGCAAATGGTTGATTGTTTTGTTGCTGGTTTACAGTCCAGAAAAAAACCTATAAAGCTATTTTCCTCTGTTTAAAAAAATATTGATGGAGATGTTTTTTTTCTGGATTGGAATTTTAATTTTTGATAAAACTGATACGTATTGAAAACAAAAGCCATCAGTTAGCTATCTCGAAGGAGAAAAATTAACATCACATGTCTTAAGGCTGAAAATAATCAGCTGATTATGATGCTGTGTCCACATGCTAGTGTAGACTTAAATATGCTACTCTTTTTATTTGTTTTCACTTGTTTATTTGTTTTAGTGCTCTGGTTACAAATGCTCGTGTTTAACTACAAGACGATTTACAGGGTGCAATTTTGTCTCACATAAAAGGCTTTTCATGAGCATATATGTAGTATGGGAAGAGAAACATGTGCATAATATATATTTTGATCAAGTCTGTGAAGTATATATACAACTCAGTAATAGGGAGTCAGATGGGGACATTAGAAAAGAGGACATGTTTCTTTGAGGACAGGAAATTTAAGCCAAGGAGTGAAATATGAGACTTAGGATCATGCAATTGAATAAAGAAATAATGATTATAGGAGAGATTTTTGACTAGAAATAAACATGGGAATCATTTGGATAAGTGATTCGACATGAATAAAATTATGAGAATAAATGAAGCCACCTAAGAGTATAAAGTATATATATGCAAAGTAAGAAAGACAGAGAGCAAAGGCATAGTACTGAGGCATCAAAATCCTGAAGAAGTATGTGGGAAAAAAGTAAGATTTTGAAGAAATGTTCATAGAGTAAAAAAAGCAAAAGGAATCAGTGAAGAAACTGGGAGGAAGTGTGTTTAAAGCAGATGGTTGTCAGTCAATTCCAACCAATATTGCTAAAAGATCAAATGTTATAAAGACTGAGAAATGTTCCTTGTTTTTACAAATGATCATTGGTAACACTAAGAGAAATAGTTTGAGCAGGGTGAGAGGGTAGAGCCATCTGGTAGTAAATTTAGAAATAAAGAATGCTATTGACAAGTAATTCAGAGATTAAAGTTTGGACACTAATTTGCTAGGGTCTATGAACTAAAAATAAAATCCTAAATCCCCAACAGACTGAACAGACCCCAGTTGGCCATGGGGGCCCCAGAGAAACCTTAGAAACTGAGTTCCTGTCCATGATGGGATAGGAGGTTGGACACACTTCATTATACACTCCCCACCTTTTGTGAATTAAACACAACTGACTAGCATTAATGTTAAAATAGAGGTCATAAGACTGACAGAACGGACTCTTTGTGGCAAGAAGATATCTAGTTATAAACAAGACCTCAGGTGATACCAGGCAAGGATTAAGTCATTCACCTCTACGCTTAAAGAATAAACTATGTTCTAACTGCCACAAGGTTTTATTGCTGCTGCTGTTTTGTTGTTGTTGTTTTCTCCTCTAATAGCTAAACAAGCACTGGCTTTGAGATAAGCAATATTAAAACAATTGCTGCTCACCACCAGACACTCGCTAACTGACCCCTGTTTCATAAACCACTAACTACAGCTTTGGTTGAACAGGACACTGATTTCTGCAACTTTCTCCTGGTAAGAGAACACCGCCTATAGACTGGTTCTAGCCAGTTTTACAGAGGCTGTGCATGTGAATGCCTTCATGTCCCTGCTTTACCTTTCGATATATAGGGCCTAATTTTAATACCTTTAAATGGTTTCTCCACTGACAGGTGAACATGGGTCATGTGTAACATACATGTCTATTTACTATGCATGTATTATGACTACCTTCATAGACAGTCGTGTTTCCTCCTGTAACCTGTTAAATATTTATACTTGACCAACCCGTTTAACATAAATTACTGTTCCACCCTCCCCTCCCTTGAAGGGCTTACTTTTGGATTCTCAGCCTGTGGCTATGCTTCTTGCCTGCAGGCTGTAATCCCCTTCTTAAAAAGTCAAGCTCTCCTTTCCAAATTTGTAAGTTTTGTGATTTTTTAGTTAACAGGTCTGAATGTTTGCATCCTCCAAAATTCATATATTGAAACCTAGCCCCCAAAATTATGATGTTGGAAGGTATGGCTTTTGGGAGGTAATTGGGTTATGAGGGCAGACCCATGATGAATGGAATTGGTATTGTTATAAGGGGGGCCCAAGGAAACTTGTTTGCCTCTTCGACCATATGAGGACAAAGGTGGAAGGTGTCATCTATGAGAAAGCAGCCTCTCACCAAATGGCAAATCTGTTGACACCTTGATCTTGGAATACTCAGCTTCCAGAGCTGTGAGAAATAAATTTCTGTTGTTTATAAGTTTCCAAAATTATACCATTTTGTAATAAAAGCCTGAATGGGCTAAACATAAGATTGTCTATCCCTTCCTATTTTTAAAGAATTTTCTCATGATCTTCAATATTAAAAAGAATTAGTTTTGCGGCACAGCTCTAACTACAGTATCCTAAAAAGAGAGATTTCTTTTTTCAATGCCTCACCAGCCAAGGCACAGGTACACAGGACAGGTTAGGTAATCGAGGCAAATGACACAAAAGAAAAAGATGTTTTTAAAATGCATTTCCACCAGGAGGAATGAAGCATGTAACCACGGCCGAGAGAGGGGTATAGTCACATGTTCACAAGGAGCAGAACTGATGTCCTGAATAAATTATTCCTGCTACTTATTTTACAGGGCATCCACCTCTTCTCAATTGTGAAAGCTCTCTAGTTTTTTGTGGTTTTTTTTTTTTTAATTTTTTTAAAAATAGGATTTCTTAGTTTTGCATGAAATAGCCAGAATTTGTTTATGTTGGTTACAATAAAAAACTCTGGGGAAGATGTTGGTCAAAGGGCACAAAATTTCAGTTATGCAGGATGAATAAATTCTGGAGATCTAAGCTACAGCATGGTAACTCTAGTTAATAATACCGTAATGTGTACTAGAAATTTACTAAGACTGTAGATCTTAAATGTTTTCTCTCTTTCTCTCTCTCACACACACATACACACACACACTATGTGAGATGGTATATGTGTTAACTATCTTGATTGTGATAATCATTTCACAATGTGTATGTCACTGAGAAGCTTAATTTCAAAATAGATTTTAAGACTTTTTTTTTCTTTTTCTTGAGTTTTAAGACATAACATTGAAACAAACAGCAGAAGCCTTTTCCCTTAGCCTTAAAATAGACTCCACATCCATGTCTTTCTCACTATCTATACTACCTTCACATTTATCTAACTGTATGCTAGTATGCAATTATGTGCCTTCTTAGAAGTTTGAGGGGCTAATCTTGAGAGAGACAGACCAAGCCTGCAGACCCAGCTGAAAAATTCCAGAGATACTTCAAGGGGACTAGTTAACAACCAGGCCATTGTTGAGATGACACTGGCCTGCCCTCCAGGTGGAGTGGGGCCCAAGATAGTCACTGGAATAAGACACACAGACATTGTACTCAGCAAAATTCTTGCATGATTTCCACATTAAGATTTACCTTTTTAAACCCTTTCCTTCCCCCTGAAACTCAGTTGCTTTGGATAGGAATCCATCCACTTCCTCATTACTAGATTTGGTTAATAAAATCACTTTCTTTCTACCAGACCTCAATCTTGTTAATTAGACTCTGCAAGTGGTGAGTATCCAGACCTTCCTTTGGTTACATATTCAAATATCAAAATATGTTGCACACCTTAAATATATACAGTGTTTATACAATGTTTATTTGTCAATTATACTTCAATAAAACTGGAGTGAAGGAGCTCTGACTTTCAGAAGCAAGTCTTTCAGGAAGCCTAAGAGAAGGAAAGAGAGAAGATAACAGTATGCTGACAAAGCAGGGTCATGGAACATTTTATTTACATTGTTTTTAATTGTGAAAGGAAATTATATTTTTATATAACAAGATTTTGAAGAATCATACTCTCTATGGTGATGCAATAGGGTCTGTGCTAAGCACTCTTAGAATTAAGCCCTAAGTGGAGAAGATTTGTAACATTGAGGTTTTAGACTTGACAACAAAAGCCAACTACAGGCTATGATGGTTAATGCTTAGGTTTTCCAAGGGGGGAAACTGGGGGAGATGCCATTAGGTATTCTCGTTTTCTGTGTGACTAGGTGAGAGGTGGGGTTTAGGGTGAAGAACGATTGAAAGTTTTGAAGATTCTATGTGGAGAATCAACTAGGAAACTATTAGATTAGTACCCAGATTGCCAAAAATTTTGCAAGGCTCCAAAAGTTATAGATACTGACCTGTTCTTGGCACTAGTGCACACAATTATGTCTTTCTTTATCTTCATAGACATTTAACAATACACAGACAAAAGTAAGCTTTAAGTACTGGCATCTGAATTTCTTTTCTGGCAGTTTACTAACTTTCACCTCACTTAAAAATGTTATTTACTTAAATACAATCTGGATTTTAAAGATATCTTTCCCTATTGCTATGACAAAGTTATAGGTATGTTAATTACATCTCTGCCTATAATTATAAATATTTCAAATACTTTTATTTACTACAAATTCCAAATTGCAATCCTTAAGTGGATATGTTAACTTGCTGTACCAAAGATTCTGTTGGGATTTTAGTCTGGGCGTTGCTTTTTATGTGCTTTCTGTTCTGTAATTTGGAGTAGGACAGCTTCTCCTCACACCCTATGTGTTTTTTAAAAAGAAGAAATTAAGATTTATTGAATCCTATTCCTTGATAACTATTTCAATGCAGTGATTTATTTATTCATTCTTTAAATAAATTAGTGTTTATTCTGACAGTGAATATTTCCTTAAACTAATATGTATCTAATAGGTTACACTATTTAAATTTATTCCATGAAAACTGTAAGCAAAAGGAGATTTTGTTGAATAATGAAATAAGCAATCCCTGAGGGTTTGAGTTTAGTAGCTTATTCTGCCATTGAACCAATATGTAACTTAAGGCAACTCATTTTCCAGCTTTTGGTAAATTTTCTAATCCATAAAATAGAGTAATAAGTCTGACGTGCTTTGGGGTTTTTCTGAATAACTCCTAATGCATTTTTTATAAAACAATTTTAAATGATAAGGGTGACTATCAAGTTGAAGGTGTTTACAGGCTAATTTAACTAAAACTTTCAATCATCTATAATATAAACAATACTTAGGAAAATATATAACTGATATGTTTCCCTTTTTAACGTTTAGTGTCTTCAGTTTATTGTGCTGTTTGGAATTAATAGCTTAAGATAGTGGGCCAAACATTTAACATTTTGAAATAAGAATTAATAAATGTCCCCAAATCCTCTTGGAAGAACCATTTCAGTTTAGTCAATTTGCTAGAAAATATGCATATTGGTCTTTTTAAGCCCCAACTTAAGCTGAACCTGAAGAATGAGAAAAAAAATAGAAAATATTTGTGAGGCATTAAGAAATAGAGCCTTATATTTTCATAAATTTAAAGAGGAAATATAGTATGACATATTCCTACTTTATTGTAAATACTTATAAGCAGGTTTATAATAAATTAAAAAATTTTTACAAATATGTTGAAAACATGTTAAAAATCTGTCTGATTCTTAAATGATAAAATATCTAGGTTTCCGAATAAATAAATTTTAACTCCCCAACACAAGTGTTTCCATGAAAAAGTTTTATTTATAAATGGGGATACATTTGGACAAAAGTTAAGATCTCGTTTTGATTTTGGAGTTACTTGTTCTACTACCTAATATTTATATAATTAGTTATTTCAAAATATTAGAAAGCTCACAAGTTTTGTATGATTTTTACAAAACAATCTTAAAGCCAGATTTATTGAGACAATATGTACAGAAATGTAAAATTCAACCTTTTTAGGTTCACGTTAATTCTGATAAATGCATAAGTTATGTAACCACCACTGCAATCAACATACAGAATACTTCCACCTTTCCAAAAAGTTCCCCTTGCCCCCTTTATAGTCACTCCCTTTCCTACTTTCTTGACACTCAGCTCGTGGAAACCACTAATTTGTTCTCTATTTCTAAACCTTTACCTTTTTCCAGAATTTTATATACATGAACTATTTGGGTTTCTGAGCTGTGCCATTTTTTCTTCTCTCTAAAGAACTTTTAACATTCCTTTCAAGGCAGGGCTACTGGTGACAAATTTCAGTTTTTGTTTGTCTGAGAAATTGTTTGTTTTTCACTTTTGAAGGTTAATTTTGTGAAATACAGAATTTCAGGTTTTTTTATTCAATATTTTAAACACATCACTCCACTCTATTCTTGCTTGCATAGTTTCTCATGAGAAATCTGATGTAATTCTTATCTTTGTTCCTCTATGAGTAAGGTGTTTTTTCCAAGATCACTCCCCACCTACTTCCTCACACCCCTGGCTTTTTTTAAAATTTTCCCTTTATCTTTGGTTTTCTGCAGCTTGAATATAAGAGGCCTACATCTAGATTTGTGTTATTGTTGTTATTTATTCTTCTAGGTGTTTCCTGAGTTTTCCAGCTCTGTGTTTTGATGCCATTATTAGTTTTAAAATATTCTCAGCCACTATTTCGTACATTCCTGCTGCTTTTCACATTATGCATATTACACTTTTTATAATTGTCATAGAGTTTACAGTTCTTGGAATTTTGTTTCATATTTTTTATTTTCTCGCTCTCTATTTTTTTTTTTTTTTTTTTTTTGGTCTTTGCTTTTTGTTTTGGGGAGTTTTTATTGACCTATCTCCAAGTTCTCTGATTCTTTTCTTGGTCATGTCCACACTACTGATGAACCCAATTAAATGCACTCTTTATTTATATTACAGTGTCTTTAATTTTGAACACTTACTTGTAGTTCTTTTTTGGAATTCCCATCTTCCTATTACATTTACTATCTGTTCTTGCATATTGTCTAATTTTTGCATTGGAACCTTTACTATCTAGTATTAGTTATTTTAAATTCCCTATTTTACAGTTGCAAAATCTGTGTAACATATGAGTCTCGTTCTGATACTTTGTCTCTTAAGAATGTGATGGGTTTTATTGTTTTTTTAATTTCTTATTTTATGTAGTAACCCTTGTAAATTTTTATTGAAAACAGAATGTGAATTATTTGACAATAGAAACTGAGGAATCCTGAATATATCTCTGATCTATCTACTTTTCTTAGTCCCTTTTCCATAACTTTGGACCATATCTTAATTTTCTTTATTAAATCCAGTGCCCTTTTACTCATTTCCTCACACTGTGGACGGTATTAACTAAAAATAAAAGTCTTAGCACTACATTCTTCTGATTAAAATAATTAAATGTGTACTTATGTTTATTGTTAAGATACAGAAAGTTGTAGATGATAATTTTTCCAACTCTAGACAAAAGAAATGGGACAAACAGAGAGACAGTAAAAGAAAAAGAAAAAGTATAGTTTTATCAGAAAAAAAAAAGAGATCTATTATAACTTCCATTGGCAGAATGGGAGAGTAAGAGTGATTCACACTAGATGGGGGTAAGGAGAAACTAAGAGTAAATAAGTTTATGATAGATTCATGTGACTTGGTATGATGTATTAGAATTCTAAAGTCTTCCATCCTCAGTGTGTCTACAATGCACATCTACTCTTTCCCACAGCTTCACTGACTGGAGAGGCACAGTAAACCAGAAGGTGAAGTTGGTTCAGCAGAGATAAGAGAACTCTCTGTAAGGCACACTTGGTTTTCAGCAAATGCACTGCAATGACCCTCCATAGTCTAGAACTCTCCATAGTCTAAAGAAATGGAGAGGCCAGGCGCGGTGGCTCACGCCTGTAATCCCAGCACTTTGGGAGGCCGAGGCAGGCGGATCACAAGGTCAGGAGATTGAGACCATCCTGGCTAATGCGGTGAAACCCCATGTCTACTAAAAATAGAAAAAATTAGCTGGGCGTGGTGGCGGGCGCCTGTAGTCCCAGCTAATCCGGAGGCTGAGGCAGGAGAATGGCGTGAACCCGGGAGGTGGAGCTTGCAGTGAGCCGAGATCCGGCCACTGCACTCCAGCCTGGGTGACACAGCGAGACTCCAGGTCAAAAAAAAAAAAAAAAGAAAAGAAAAGAAATGGAGAGCCAGGAGAACTCCCCCAACAACCCGAAAAGCTGCAGTTAAGCTATGAAGAACAGAAAATATCCCATAGGTTGAAAAGCTACAGGGGGCAGAAACACATAAGTTTCTGAAATCTTACTAATGCTAAAATTCCAGATACCGTAAGAAAAAATTCTGATCCCATCTTCAAATTATTTGAAATCATTAATATATTAAAGCTGACAAGTTACAGCAAAATCAAGTTCCAATTCAAATACATGTTGAATTCACTCAGCTCCACCCTAGCAGCCTGAGGCAAAAAAAAAAAAAGAGCATGCTTTCTTATATGGGTAAAAATTACTTCCATTAAACCAAGCTTGTTCAACCTATGGCCCAATGTGGCCCAGGACAGCTTTGAATGTGGCCCAACACAAATTCACATACTTTCTTAAAACATGATGAGATTCTTTTGTTTTAGCTCCTTGGCTATTGTTAATGTTAGTGTATTTTATATGTGGCCCAAGACAAATCTTCTTCCAGTGTGGCCCAGGGAAGCCAAAAGATGGCACACCCTGCACTGAAATATGTCAGGGGTCAACAAACTATGACTCATGAATGAAGTTTTGGTAAAGCCTGTTGGCTAGAAATTATTTTTACGTAATTATACGCTTTAAAATTAAAAGGAATTTTCATGAGACATCAAAATTTCATCAAATTCAAATGTTAGTGTCTACAAATAGGGTTTTATTGGAACACAGACACCAATTCCTTTGCATATTATCCATAGCTGCTTTTGTGCTACAATAGCAGTGTTGACTAGTACCAATCAAGGCTATATGGACTGCAAAACCTGAAGTATTTACCATTTAGTCCTTTATAAAATTATACTCCAACTACTGATCTATACTGTGTGTATGGCATTTTTATATATATTCTGTCTTAAATAAATTCTTTTATTCTTTTTTAAAAAATCAGAAGACAAGCTAAGATGCAAGAAAATGTGACCCTTGATAAAGATGGAAAACAGGAAATGAAAGTGTACCAGGAGAGCCACAAAAGTTCCAGGAGTTCCAGATGTTCTTTTTCTTTCCCCCGGCCAGGGATCTGAAACTAACTCGGACTTACTTGAAAAGGTGAACAGCCATTATCACATAGGAAATTTAATCAGAGAGAGATGATAATTATAAGAAAGAAATATGAGGAAATGCTAAAAGTGAAAAATGCAATATCAGAAATGAAAAATTTGTTATATACACTAAGAGTAGGCTGAAAAGAATCAATGAATTTGCTAAAAAGGTCAACATAAATTATCGAAACTGAATTACAATTAGGAGAAAAAACAGAAATGAAACAGGGCATTTGGCATCTGTAGGGTAGTATCAACTAACCTAATATGCACGTAGTTTGAGGCCCAGAAGGAGAGGAGACTATGAGTAGGGCAGAAAAACATATCTGAAATGACACTAGCTGAGAATTTTCCAAAATTTATGAAAACATCAACCTACTTATCCAAGAAACTCAGTGACTAAAGCAAAATACATACAAAAACAAAACAAAACCCAACTATACCCGGACACATTGGTTTCACACTGGTGAGAGCACAGAGAAAAAAGAAATATTAAAAGCAGCCAGAGGAAAGAGGCATATTACATGCAGACAGTGACAAGACCAATGGATGACTTCTTGGCAGAAACGAAGGAGGCCAGAAAACAAAGGAAAAATGTCTTTAAAGTGTTAAAGGGGGAGAAAAAACAAAAACAAAAACCCTGCCAATCTAAAAGTCTGCACCCAGCTAGATAGGCAGCCAGCAAAAGCAGCATAGAGTCACCTGTCTTTCATCACTTTCCACCAATGCCTCCCACTCACGAAACAACCAGAAAACAGCTGGCCAGGGAGCTTTTGAAATACACTTTTGGGATAACAGCCTCCCTAAAGCAAAACAGACCACAGAGAAACAGATATGAGTTCTGAGAAGACATATCTCATGTGAGTTCTGAGAAGCAAATAGCTTGAGTTGTTACCAGTTTGAGGCAGCTAAGTGAGGAATGAGCCATTTACTTACTCTCTTAATGGGTTTGCTCAATGCCCAGTGGATGGCAGCCAAATGACTCTTTATTTCGTTGCGCTGTTATCCTAGCTGATTTCTGTTTACAATTTTCCTTTTATGGAAGAGGTGCCCTGCTCTAGTTTTTAGTAGTTAATGTGGATGTCTGTCTGTGTCTTACCTTACTTATTTCCAGACTCAGTTAGCCAGGCTTGCAGGCAAAAGTAGAGAGGTCATTAGACATCAAACTCCACTTCATTACAAGTTGGTTATTTGTCAGCTGAGTGTGATCATCATAGAAGTAGCTCATGAATAGAGGAAAAGTTAGTTTATTTCAGCTAATAATATGCTAAATAAACATTCGTACACAGTGTATAATTACTATATTTTTATCATACGTAGGACGTTAGGACATAAATTTTGCTCAAGGCCAATGAAATAAATGGCTCTACTTTTGTAAATGAAGTGGACAAAAACCTTTTGATATTATTTGTTGGAGTCTGTAAATACATTAACTCCTTTTATTTTTCTAATTAAAATATACTCCATTTCAAAAGCTGAAATTAAATATTTAAATATAGAATAATTGGCCTGTACTATTAATAGGTATGTGCGAGGATGAGTGAAAAAGCCTGCAAGTGAAATCAAATCAAAGAAAAAATTGTGTGGAATAGCCTGAGCTCATATATAGTCTGCAGCACGTTCAATGAATCTATGTAATTTTTTCTTGAAGAAAAGTGGCCATCAGAGTTTAGAATTTAGGGTTTGAAAAACTGATCTGGCAATTGCAAATCCTATATCTAAAGTGGTATCTATGTAATAGCATTTTGAACAGGTATTATATCTGGCAAATGCTACAAGTATATGCCAGATGTAAGACTATTTTAACCCTATGCTCAACATATCCTTGGTGTTACATAATTACTTGTTTTGAAAACCATTCTTACTGCAACCACTTTTTTGCAGTTACATAACTTAATTTGTTTCAGATCCTGCTCTAAAAACTTTGTGCAAGGTAAACTATTTAGTCACATCACGATGTAATAATAATCCCTATGTTATAAATGAATAGAGTGAGATTTACAAAGATTTTGCTTTACTTGAATCCATAATCCATATATGTAGTTGATCTTAATTCAATGTGGATTACATAAAATACCAGGAAAAATGTGAGAATTAGGTATTAAGAAACACAGTTCATTTGAAAATTGAGCCAATTTCTATGTTTAGTATTTGTATTAGGTGTATTTTAAAATAAAAATGGTGAATTTAACAGAGCACAAGGAAAGATAGAATACATCAATTTAGGTCTTTATCTGACGTTTTCCAGGCTTTTGACCTTGGGAGACACATTTTATTTGAAAACTCATGATAATAAAACTGTTCTGTTTTCCTCCGAGGGTTATTTTTGAAGATCAAGTTTCATATTAAATGGAAAAATACAAAGAAAACTATAATTGTTGTAAAGTAAAATTATCAATGTTATTGCTATTAATTTAAGGTTAACCCAGACATATTTTTTATTTCTTTAATTAGACTAAATTTTGACTTTGCAAAATGTGATTTTTTTCTCAATAATTAGAAATAATCCAATTAAAGCAATTTTTTTCTATGTTTGTTACTGTTTTGGAGACAAAGACCCAAATATGCTCCTGGCCACAAAATTGACACCTATTAGATACATTTAATGTCCATTAATTTCATGAACAGTTATACTATTCATTATGTAAAGACTTAATTCACACAAAGTAGCAGATCAAAATTTTATATTTAATATTGTTTGATTCACAGTTTTGAATAAAAGCTGTATATTTTTCTTTATGTAGTTGAATATAATTTTGTTGCTGAGCATTTGTTGGGCTTTTAAAATTATTTTTTATTAATCTTCCCCAGTTAGGGGGCTTGCTTACTGGGGCTTATAGTCCAAGTTTGTATAAAATGTTACCAGTATAGACATGTGAGAACAATACAAGGATGTTTATAACCACTTTCACTTTCAAAAACAGTAGTTTGAGACTTTCAACTGACTACTAAATAGCCTTAAAAATAAAACAGAAAAATCAGATGGTCATCATCTCTAACAAGAAAATAGGACTATTTGAATGAAATAGAAATCATTATACATCTGACATAAAAAGTAAGAGGGCTAAATTCTGAATTTAAACAAAAAATATAGTACTTCAGCTTTCTATCCCTATAAAATAGAAAATTGAGATGAAACAATCTACTATTCATCTGGTGTGTTTTGGTATCTGATATCTGTAATGCATGATAAAATATTGAATTATTTTCATACTGATCTCCCTGAATGTTTCCCTTTCCCCATCAGCGGCCACTCTAGCCATACAGTTTTTGAGGCCCTCCCTAGTATCATACAATGAGGAATTGAGACACGCCATAGCAGTGGTTCCCCAACACTCTTCTTCTAGTCACTGGCATTCACCTTGACTGATTACTGCTTATTAAATATCATGAATATCACGCTGTATGCAAAGGCTGTTAAGACAGATCATTTTGTAAAAGTACATTTACAGGCATCAACCGTGAACTAAAATAACTTAAAACAGAGAGCAAAACACTATTGGCTGAAACAAAGTAAGTGCTCATATTTTCTGAGGAACATTATTCACAGTTTGCCCACTTGTAGTTGTACTGTACAAATCTACTTTATTGTTATTTTGTAAAAGTAAGTCTTAGTTCATTTTAATATGTAAATATAGAAAATGAAATAATTTATTTAAATGGCAAATTAATCATTTTGATTATATGTATATTTAAAAATTATATAAAATGTATAATAATTAAAGTTTTGATTAAACACAAATGTTACAATTGTATAAGAATTTGATAAATATTTGCATGACACATTGAAGACTTGGAAAATATTTACCTATGACAAAAGAAGAAGTACACAAAATAAAATATTGCATAAAATAAAGGATTTTGAAACAAAAAATGGGAAAAAGCTTTAAGCATTTACATTAAAATAGCATTTATGTTAAAAATATACATGATATGATTGTTAAATTCATGGAAACATATACTATGTAAATTTCATAGCATACTTAATGAAATTAATCTATAGTTTTTATGTTTTGAATTGTTGAATAATTCAAGTAATTTTGAGGTTAATATTAGCCAACTTTTAAAAAGAGAGTGAAGAAATATTTCATTCAGTGTTGCTGGGAGTGCAAGTTAATACAAGTATTATAGTTGATCCAAGTATTTACCCATTCATTGTGGGTAAATGTGTATCATAACTAAAAGTAGTTATTTTTGACCAAACAAAATAACTACTGGGAACTTACCACAATGATATTTGAAATATAATATGTACACATAGTTTAATCACCACAATCATAGTTTATTCATATTATAAAAGACTTAAGAAAATTTATTCATACTTAGAATGCTGGTTAAATCAATCATTATAAATATAAGAGATTTTTAAGCACCTGTTAAAATGATTATGGCACTCTACGTATAACAATTCTGAAAGATACCCATTATATATATGTTGATAAAAGTAACCCGTGCATAGGATGCTTTAATGTTACGAATGTAGTTATGAATTTCATAACAATAGGATCCATTCTGAAAAGTATGTCCTTAGTTAAATTTGTCATTTGAACTTTAAAGAGTGTACTTCTGCAAACCTAGATAGTATAGCCTACTAATTCACCCAGGCTATATGGTATAGCCTATTGTTCTTAGGCTACAAACTTATACAGCATGTTACCGTATTGGATACTGTGGCCAATTGTAACACAGTGGTAAGTATTTGTGTGTCTAAACATATCTAAACATAGAAAAGGTACCATAAAACTATAGCATTATAATCTTATGAGACCACCATAGTATATGTGGCCCATTGTTCACCAAAACATAATTATGTGATGCACGACTATATACACACAACTACACACACAAACAGTGGTAACTGTGTTACTACATTATAATGTGATTCGGGGTGATGTTTACTTTCTTTCTTGTAGTTCTGTATATTGCTTGAACTTCCTTTTATGTTGTAATAACTCACTTGTACTACCAAGGAAAGGAGTACGTTCAATAATAAAAAATACTGAAAGAATAAATTACTGGATTTACATGACAGATGAAATGATAGGTTTCCATCATATTTCAGTTAGTACTTCCAAATAAAGTGTGATGGAACAATATGAATTATATGGTATTTCCTAGAAAAAATAATAAAAGATAAAGCTTGTTAGAGAAATTCAATATTTGAAGTGGTAGAACTCAATTAGAAGTGTAAAGAGAAAATTTAATCAAAAAAATTGAAAGAATGTTGTTAATATCTGAGTGTAACCTATATGTATTCTCAGAAGAATATT
Organism: Homo sapiens; assembly: GCF_000001405.40. Classification (NCBI taxonomy): domain Eukaryota; kingdom Metazoa; phylum Chordata; class Mammalia; order Primates; family Hominidae; genus Homo; species Homo sapiens. The sequence goes on along the minus strand of NC_000001.11, from coordinate 191,884,801 downwards.
GTAAGTTCACACAAAAACTTGAAAATCAGGCAAAGAGCTTGGTAAATTGCTCAAATGAAGGGAATAATCAGATAATTAGATTTTTTTAATGGAAACAACTATAGGACAAGTTTTAATAGAAATGCAAGTCTCATTTGACTGGAAAGAAAGTCGTATATATGTATATCTTGAAAAATAATTTTCCCTCTTTTTAAATCTCATTAATACGGTAACAACGGCAACGCACGGGGCTCTGGCCATTGCCATTCTCCCTACTTTCATCTGACTGAGATCTGACTGTCCTCCTTTCTGGTACTTGAGCGGGTGGACTATTCTAGTATTTCAGCAATGATCTCCCCTTATCCAGGAGCACTTCTGACAAAACCTATATGTCTGGTTCTTTCATGTTTTGGGGGTATCAAGCAAACTGTAACTTGCTCATATATGTATATATACATATATATATATATGAACAAATCTTTAAAATTATTACAAGATGATTCAGGAGAATATCTAAATGAATTAGGGTTAGGTTAGATTTATTAAATAAAACAGAAAAAGTGCAAAACCAAAAACATGAGAAAGTTAAATTCAAACATAATAATCAATCCCTTTTCATCAAAAGACACTGAAAGAAAATGAGATAGAAGGTGAAATTTGAGGATAGACTTCTGTAATCTCTATAGATGATGAAGTTTCTACCCAAACTATATAAAACAATACACATCAGTAAGAAAAAAAAATCAAATATCAAGTGGGAAGGGTGAAACTATTTCTAACCATTATAAATGTATCAAATGTGAAAATAAGACAAGTAATACTCAATGTAAAATCATTTCTGCAACCACAATTTTACAAAAATTAAGGATTCTTACAATAACAATTGTTGGCAAGGATAAGGGAACAACGAATGCTCATATGTTGTTGAAGTGTATAGTTATACAACCAATTTAGAAAATAGTTTGGGACTATTATAAAAAAACTACTTGCATATTCTACTATTAAGCATTATAATCCTATTACAACAGGTAAAGTTTTGATATATGCAAACAAATTATCAACAGCATTGTTTGTAATAGTAAGTAAACTGGAAACAGATATCCATCAATAGAAGAATACATTTTGGCATGTCCACAGAAGAGAATATCTTACAGGAGGAAAAATGAATTAACCACAGTTGCATGCTGCATGAATAAATCACAGGAGCAAAATATTGAATGTGAAAGTCAGGGTTCTCAAAATTATATATATTATGAAACTATTTTGGTAACATTCAATTGCAAACAGAAGACATAAATAATACAAGTATTTTCCAGACGTAACAGAAAAATAAACATGAAAGTCAGGATAGTGTTGGCCTCAGAGGAAGGAGAGTAGGTAGATTAAACGTAGATTGATTGCATATTGGTAGATGCAAATATATTATGAATGTTCTACTTTTTACGCTGCATGTTTGGATGCAATAATGTCCATGATAGTATTATGCTGTATTATTTTGATATTATACATATATATGTAATACATGTATATATATATACACACACACAAACACTAAAGTATAATTAGTATTCTTTCTCTTTATCATTTCAATTGTTTATATTTTCTCCCCTAGTTGGGATGGGGAATTTTGGGATTATTATTAGATATGAAGTTGCTTATAATAATAAAATTACAACTGTCAAAGGGTATATCCTTGAATTAGAACCTACTTATTGGCATGCTAGTTGTTGCTGATTCAGTCCCTGTGGGATGGTGGGTTGTGGTATGATCTATTTATATAGCTTAATCTCATATCCTTTGAGAGATCTAGGCTCCATTTTCCTAGAGCTGATAATTCTGCATCAGAAAAGCTGTTAACACTGAATAAATAATTGTCAAGTGCTGGTAATACAAATGTCATTTAGCAGTTATGAAACGTTGTTTTTAACCCATAAAATTCACATTTATGAGTTTCCTCTTGAGATTCTAAAGATAATGCCTTTTACATCATTCATTTCATTAGAAGTTCGTTAGCTTATCTAGAGCAGATCTGATCTTCCCTTATAAATGGATCTTTATCTACTTGAGTCCACAGAAAATGGGACCCCGCTGGATATAATTTTGACCTTTATTTGTAGACTAGGGATCACGAACATAAAAAGCAATCAAAAAACACCCAACTCCACCAACAACCAAAGAAAACGGAATTAATACACACTGAGGAAAAACATTGTTTTAGCTTTTGCAGCACTTTATTCCTGTGTTCTCCAGAAATCAGCACAACCATGTTATTGTACCCATGCAAAGTTTCTCAGTAAAATTTAATAAGCAATGGAGTAATCAAGCAAAGAATAGAGATAAAGCAGATGTATGCATGTCAAATTAGAAAACCAGAATGCAAACCGAGAGTTAGAAGCCTTTTTCTCTCACTTACTTTTTACTTAAGTGTATGTATGTGTGTGTGTATGTGTATATTATCTATATATCTGCATCTCTATAGTGACATAAAATGCAAGTGATTACATGTATATAGGCATTTTATATCATACATATTTTTCAAGGTTTGAACCTTTCAGGGATAAACTAAATTCTAAAATTGTGAGACTAAGTCTTTATCTTGTGAGCTATGATGCCTACTTATCCATTTCCAGAATGTTCTGGAGTCTGGCACTTTGAAGGAGACAAGTGTCCCTATAGATTCATCATATATCTGTTGGATATATCTGATTGTTTCAGGCAATATGAGATTTTGACTATGACATAATGACAAAGATAGGTTCCTGCTTTGGAGGACATTAGAGTTTCATCAGCTCTCTTCAGAGTGCTTTTAAATTCATTACATTTTCTTCTGTACTTGGTACTCCTAACTAATTTCATCTTCCTAGTATGGTGAAACCTAGAATTAACCCCAATTATTGTGCTATTATCATTTAGTATAATAGTGCCCTTTTACATAGTATGCAACTTGGTGATATTCTACCTCCTGTCTCTCTTCTTCAAAAACTAAATATCAGCTGGGTGCCGTGGCTCATGCCTGTAATCCCAGCACTTTGGGAGGCCGAGACGGCAGGATCACGAGGTCAGGATATCGAGACCATCCTGGTTAACATGGTGAAACCCCGGGTCTCTACTAAAAACACAAAAATTTAGCTGGGCATGGTGGCGGGCGCCTGTAGCCCCAGCTACTCGGGAGGCTGAGGCAGGAGAATGACGTGAGCTCGGGAGGCAGAGCTTGCAGTGAGCTGAGATGGCGCCACTGCACTCCAGCCTGGGCGACAGAGCGAGACTCCGTCTCCAAAAAAAGAAAAAAAAAATCAATATCAACTCTTCTCCATTTTATACCTTATCTTCCACATGGAGACCAAAGTAAATTTTCAATTACAAGCCTTTTCACTGCTACAGAACCTGTATTTATTTTTTAGTAAAATGTAAACTTACTCTCATCACTTAAAAAAAAAAAAAAAACAGGAAAAAGAAAAGTTTAAATCAAATCTGACTCCACTGCCCCATCTAGATAATTTGTTTTCTTGAAGTTAAAACCATTACCCATTTCCAAAAATTTTGCAATAATATCTTCCTTATTTGAATTTTCTCTGATTAGCTTCACTGTTTTTATTATCCATCTTTCTAGCCATTATGCATTCATTTAAATTCTACTATTGTTAATTTATTTGCTTGTGTTCTGGCTACTTTATATATTTGATTCAAAAAGAAAATAAATTATTTTCTGTCTGTGTATTATGAAATATATCCCAGAAGGAAAGACTATCTCTCTCAGTTTGTATCTTACCTTTATAGGCAGGCTATCTAATCTGTGTCCCAATAATAGTTCATCTGGAGGTTCAGTGAAGTGAGACAACTTTATAATATGCCTGTATCTCAGGATTTGGAATTAGGCCAGTATGATGTAAAGAATAGCCTCCATAATCCCCACTTTTTGGTGTTCACACCCTTGTGTAATCTCTTCCCTTTGAATGTAGACAGGCCCTGTGACTTGCTTCTATCCAATAGAATATCGTAAAGAAGTTTACGTGTGTACATAATTATTTTACATGCAATTGTAACCCACTTAGCTAGGAAATTATCTTTTATTAGCTGCTATAAAGAAGCAATCTGTCATGTAGTATGCTGCCACATGAAGGAGAGACCTCCAACCAACAGCCAGCAAGAAACTAAAGCCCTCACTCAAGTAGCCCACAAGAAGCCGAATGCTGTCTATAACCACATGAGTTTGGAAGCAGATCCTTTTCCCAATCAAGCCACAGATGAGACCAAAACTCCAGTCAACACTTGGCTTACAGCTTTGTCAACCTGGATACAAAAAATGTATCTAAATTGTGCCCAGACTTGTGACCCAGAACAACTGTGAGATAAATATGTGTTGTTTAGGACATTAAGTTTGTAGTAATATTGCTTTGCAGCACTGGAAAGCTAATACTGCCTGTTACGAATTTCAGCTTGGCTACTAAGTACCATGACTTTTATGATGTAATTGTGTCCCTATATAAGGTATATATGAATTCTAACCGCATTTGCTGCATAGAATAAATGAGGCTAGGCATATATAATTTTCTTACACATTGCATGGAAAATGGTAGATGCTAAATAAATGTTAACAAATTTTTCACTTTACCTCTTTCTCATTTAACTCCTCATAAACAGGTGTGACTTAAGAATTAATAGTGTGTGTACCCCAGCTAAGTCACATGTGAGAAACCCATGTGGCTAATGACAATAAAACAACACAGTAGAATTGGTGTTGAAAGTTACCTATAGAATCCTTTGCAATCTCCATGTTTTTTTTTTTTTTTTTGTTATAAAGCAGTGACAACAAAATCATATAGGGCTCGTATCCAAATAGACATATTTCTATAATTATATTTGTATAATATTTAATTTATACTAAATAACATTTCAAAGGTCTCAATTTTGTATTTTGTCCAAGGCTGAAATATGTTTTCTTAAAATAATTTAGATCTTTTCAATTTAGTGTCACATTTTAGAAAGTTAGCAAATATGAATACAAGTGACCAAAGGACCTAATTTATTTGTTTTAAGAGGACACTATGAATTTTTGAAACTTAACATACTGATGAGGAAGGTTATTGGGAATTATAGAAACATATGATACACATTTATTCAGAACTCATTCCTCATTAAGTTGGGGAACAGTTTAGCAACACTCTAGTTGAGTCACTTGGCATTCTTTCTTATGCCCATAGGATATAATCTACTTCAGGTATTATGTGAATATCATTGCAATTTCTTGGCAAGAAGTAATTATAGAAAGATGAATTTTTAATATTGAAGATCAAATAATAGAAGAATATTTTACATGTGACATTAGATGGTTCATAAATGAATTTTCCTTTATAGCAAACTATGAGATAAGATTTAAGCCATATTTTTTTCAAAGTTTGCATGTTGAACTGAAGTTTAACTCAACTGCAATTTAGTGTCATGTAACAGTGAACTTCAAAGAAAAGTATTTGATCATAAGATTATTTTATCTTAATTTGTACACATAAAAATTTCTTTTTTTCTGATGATATTTCTATTTGGGAACTGAATCAGGAAGTAGATTTAACATAAAATTTCAATGTGGAAACTAATAAATAAAATTACTAATTTCCCCATCTCAGTTCTAACCTTTGCTGACTAAACTATATTATAGGTTGACAAAATATTCTATTTGTTTAGTCATTTGAAAAATAGCTTGACTGCTTAGTTGTGGCAGTTGAGGAACACAACTATAAATCCTAGCATAATACTCACTCCTCTAAATTAGAAAGACAAAAAAATTATTTTATAAATCTATAAAGATAAATATAAGGCTTAGTCATAACATATACTAAAACTATTTTCTAATGGCATTTGAATTATATCTTTTTTTAGCTTGGTTCAGTAAAGGCAAATAATAATTAAAGTGTATTTTTCTTAGACTTTTTATCATATAAAAACACAAGGTATTATGATAATAGTTATTTTTCTTTATATTTTATAAACTTCTTTATGTTAGATCATTATAATTATATATTTATTAACTATAAGCTCAAAGTTCCTAAATGTTATAAGATTGCATGTAATTATATTATACATCATCAATATACTTAAATAATAATTTTAGCTGGGCATGGTGGCTCGTGCCTGTAATCCTAGCTCTTTGGGAAGCTGAGGCAGGGGGATCACTTGATCCCAGGAGTTTGAGAAAAGCCTGAGTTGGTGAGATCCTGTCTCTTCTAAAAAATAAAAAATAAAAAATTAGCCAAGCCAGGTGGGCACCTCAGCTTCGGGAGGCTGAGGAGGGGAGGCCTCCCCAGGAGGCAGAGGCTATAGTGAGCCATGATTGCTCCACTGCACTCCAGCCTGGGTGACAGAGGGACACCCATCCCAAAAAACAAAGAAAAACCATTAATTTTACACACTGAATAATTTTTTTAATAACATAAGCATTTTTAACCTAAATTCCTTGTTTATTATAATACTAAGGAAAAATCAAATTAAGCATGTATACATCCCACACACACATACACATATAAATGTGTGTATAAATATATACATATAAATATATACATATATAGAGAGAGAGAAAGAAAGAGTTTATTTTCATGATGAAAATATGAAATCTGGAAGAGCAGTATTGGGTTTGTTGTAGAAAAATGAGTTCATTCTTGTAGAACAATCAAGGTTTAGTGAAATAAAAAGTTTGCAAAAATTGCTCTTGAAAACATGGGAGTATTTATATGGATGTTTTAAAAAATACTGGTAATATACTAATTTTTATGGTAAAAATATGTAGTAAAAATATGTGCTCATTTTAATATACTCCTTTTTAAAAATGTTGTCAATGTAGACTTTTTATCTTTGTTACCAATTGATATCTAATACATCATTGATTTGATTCATAGACACCTATTTAATAGAAATAATAGAAAACAGAAAGCTTTTAATAGAAATAATTGTCCACTTTAACTGCTTTCTATTAAACAGCACAAGCAGTTTTTTATTAAACAGTTAAATGAACAATTATTTAAAATATCAGCTTAATATGGTTTCTTAATAAAGACAAAAAATGGTATATTTATAAGAAAGTAACTATCAACTTAAGAAGATATACTACTATGACAAGGAGCTAAAATAACATTATTTAGCTCATGAGGTGACAGAAGCTAAATCATGTAAAATCACTAGCTATCAGTGCTGTCAATCGTTTCACACATTTTCTTTGTCAAATTTATTTATGTGACAGGTACATAATTTCAGGAAAAAAATGCTATAAACCTTTGTATCTAGCATGCTATAAAAACAACATAAATTTGCCTCCCACTATTTTTAGTATTCAATATAGTAACAGTGACTTGAATACAGGTATAAATTCTATACATCACTAAAGCAGTGAAGCACTCAATAAATTCAAAATGCAAGATATCAGCTGACACCTAGTCTGTCTTTGGTTGGTGTTCTTGTCCTTTCTAGAGCACTTTCACATTTCATAATAATAAATATGGAATATCACAATATTATTAGGCAGAACAGTGTTTATTTTAAAAAAATATTTCAGAAGGAGCATTCTCCCATGAAATTTTATCCCGAACACCTGTGTTTCTGTAAATTGCTATGCTGTTGGATTTCATTTATCAATTTCCATAAATATATCTGTATCTAGTCAGATTGTTTACCTTTTTGTGATTAACCCATTATAGTCACCTATAATTAAATGGGTTTCCTCTATAAATTACTCTTCATTATTCAATATATGCTTGTTAAGAACAAGGGTCTATGTCTGACTCTGGCAAAGATGACCAGTGACTTCTAGGAGCTTATATTTCCATATAGAAACAAAACATGCCACTCAAAAAATTTACAGTAAAAGAAATGATATCATATCTGCCATAAGATTAATAAATGTTATGTGTAACAGTAAGTGTAACAGCATTTAAGAACACGGAAAGGAGGGAGTTAATGTATATATGATGTAATCAAACAGAAACTGAGTAGACTAAGGAGGCAAACACACTATCTCTCTAGGAATACTCTAGAAATAGGCATGTGACTTGATCTTAGGGCAGGTCAATATTTTTTGTCTTTTGTTGAGGGTTGTGAGAAGACAAAGGAGAAAATATCTAGCAGTCAATAAAGAAGCCATATTTATTACACATAAAGATTTTTTTCTCCCTCAAGTGAATACATCTCATTGTTACATACTACATGGAGAGGTTATTACATAGTATTTTAAAAATGGCTAGAACAGTTTTGTGAAGTTAACATTAAAGGGCACAAATTGAAAAGGGCACAGAATTAAATGATGAGTTAATGCAGTTTCACCATGACAGATGGCATGCGGAATCAGTACAGACTGTAATTGTATCTAATAGCAGACCACTACAACTAAAGTTGAACTTGTCAGATCCTCACAGGAAAAAACAGATGTTTTGTTGGTTTCATAATCCCAGTCTATTATACATTTGGAAAAGCTATAGCTAATGGCTTTTTATTCATGTTATTTCTCTGACATCCAAAGAGGGTATTTTTTGCTTATACAGTAAGGCACATAGATGGAATGAAGAAAAATAGCATGAGTCAATCTGCTTACTCTTGTAACCAAAAAATATTTTGCTCTTAGATCTGTAATAACTGTAAATTATAAAATACTAAATGTTGGCAAAATGCCCAATTAAATATTAGCATTTATCTACAGTTGTAAGTAAATGATTTACATATTTTTTCTGCTATTCATAATTTGTTCAAATAAATCATGATGTGAATTGACATCATTTTTTTGACAGTATTTTTATATTTCACAAAATTTAGTAATTTCTATGTATCTCATTCTGCTACGTGCTTTAGAATATATACAACAATCTGTGATTTTCAATATTACAATTTAGTTGGAGTAAATAATGAGTTCAGATATTTAAATTTTTTAAAGTTTTGTATAAATAGAAAATTTATCATTATCTATATTAATAGAGAGCAAAATATAATGTAGGAGGCAATAAAGTGACACAATTATATGTAAAGGCAGTAAGCATAGCAGATTAAGAAGAAAGGAAATTGTAAATTTGAAGAGTATGCTTGAGAATGAAGACATAAAGAAAGAGGTAAGATTTTGACAGGTTGCGAGTAGAGAAAAAGGTACTTACTGGGATGGAGGATTTCAATGGTTTGAATGATGATGTTCCCTTCAACATTTTTGTTGAAACTTAATCCCCAATTCAACAGCATTAAAAGGTGTGACCTTTGGGAGGTGATTTAATTATGAAGTCTCCACCCTTCTCTCATGAATGAGATTAACACTCATTCATGAGAAGGGCTTGAGGTTGAAAGGACACTCTCTTGCTCTTTATAGACTTTCTTATGGTGAAGACGTAGGCTTCCCCTGTGGAAGATGCAGCAACAAGGCAACAACTTGGAAGCTCAGACTGGACCCTCACCAAACACTAATCCTGCCAGCAATTTATCTTGGGTTTTCAGTCTCCAGAACTGTGAGAACTAAATTTCTGTTATTTGTAAGTTTCAGTCTGTGGAATTTTGTTATAGCACAAATTGATTAATATAAAAATAGTTTTCATTTGACAGTTACCATTTATTGGAGGCAGAATGTATAAAGAATATGGAACAAGCTCTAGACTTTCATTGCCTCAGTTGAAATGCCAGCTTAACAACCTATTTATAGTACATCAAGAAAATTACTTATTTCTTCTAAATCACCTTATGTATTAGGCTGAAAAATAATCATTGGATGTATTTATACATATATGTATATACACATTATATATATATATGTATATTTGGCAATTATCTTTCAGAAAAGATACATTTTATTTGTATTTTTTTTTTTTTATTTTTGAGATGGAATCTCGCTCTGTTACCCAGGCTGGAGTGCAGCAGCACAATCTTGGCTCACTGCAACCCCCGCCTCCTGGGTTCAAGCAATTCTCATGCCTCAGCCTCCCAAGTAGCTGGGATTACAGGTACTCACCACCATGCTTGGCTAATTTTTGTAGTTTTAATAGAGACAGGGTTTCACCATTTTGGCCAGGCTGGTCTCAAAACCCTGACCTCAAGTGATGCACCCTCCTCAGCCTCCCAAAGTGCTGAGATTACAGGTGTGAGCCATTGCACCTATCCAGAAAAGATACAGTTTAAATTTCCCTCAAGGTTGTAAAATAACTGGAGTAATATTATAAATGAATGCTTGCAAATTGTGCCATTGCGGGTATGGGAAATACATTCTCTATTCAAAATACCAATACTCACAGACTGGTAACATAGCCAATGTAATTAATTACCAAATGTAATTAATCTGGGCAGAAATTATCTTTGTAATTGAAATAAAATTTCTTGCAATAAAATATTCAGAACTCAAGGTACAATTCAATTAATTTCAACACATGCATTATCCATGTAATCAACACCCCAATAAAAGATACAGCAGTTTCATCTCCTCAATAAATATCTATAATCATTTTCCAGAAAATATACATTGATCATAGGCAACCACTTTGTGACTGTCTATGACTACAGATCAGTTTTATCTACCCTTGAACTTCAGCTAAATGGAATTATAAAACGTGCTGTTTATATCTGGCTTCTTTCACTCAGAATAATGTTTTTGAGATTCATCCATGTTGTTGCGTATACTATAGTTTGTTAGCACATTTTCATGTGCTTATTGGCAATTTGTATATCTTTTTTGGTGATATTATTAAAAATATTTTCAAGTCTATTGTCCAACTTTTTACTAAGTTGTTATTTATGTGTGGGAATTATTTATGTATTCTAGATACAAGTTGTTGTCAGATAATAGACAGAAAAGCGTTTTCTCTAAGTCTCTGATGGTTTTTAAAATTTCTTTTATGTTTTGACAAACATAAGGGTTTAAGTTGGTGAAGTGAAACTTAAGTGTTTTCTTCCATTTGTTTACTATTTTTCTATTCTCCCTAAGAAAATTTGCATATTTCAAAGCAAAAAAAAAAACACTTCATAAGTTTTACATTTTTCTATTTATATCTATAATTTATTCTAATATCTGTTCATGGTGTGAGGTCAAGAATTGTTGCCCCTATGTGTTTGTCCTATTTTATTACCACCATTTATTGAAAAAGAAAGAGAAAAAATTTACATCCACCAATAAATAGACTTGATGGCTTTTCAAAAAATCACCTGGATCTATTTCTGCACTCTATATCCTGTCCCATAGACCTGTTATTTTTTTTCTTGAATACCACTCTCTTAATGACTGCAACTTCATGTTAAGCTTTGAAATGGAGACAAATATGTTCCTTAACTGTTCATTTTAAAGACTGTTTTGGCTATTCTATATGCTTAAAATATTTGCCTAAATTTAAAATCAGCTTGTCAATTTCTTAAAAAGTACTTTTGGGAATATTTTTTAAGTTAAGCTGAATCTATAGACCAATTTTGGGGAGAATTTATATTTTAGTTTTATTGAGTCTTTTCAAGCATGAAAGAAAAAATATCTCTTTAATTATTTATGTCAACTATATTTTTCAGCAAGCTATTATGGTTAAGTTTAATCATCTTTGTCAAATGTGGGTCATTACATATATTATTATCGCTAATTTTATTGTAAATGATACCTCTATTTATTTTCAACTGTTTTAGGGCTGGAGTATAGTGCTAGAGTGTTTGTATGTTGAACTTGTATACTGTAGCTTTTTCTAAATGCAGTTATTAGAGCTTACTGAGACTTTCTTCATACACAGTTGTGTCTTTCATGAGTAATAATGGTTTCACATCTTTCTTTCTAATATGTTGCTTTTAATTATTTATTGTCTTATCATTTTTGCTAAGATATTCAATATAATGATATAAATCCTGAGAGAGGACGTTCTTGCCTTCTAATCTTAAGGCAGAATATATTTAATATATTATTATGATGATATTAACTCTAAATTTTTATAGGTGGCATCATTAAAATTAAGAAAGTTCCCTTTTATAGCAAATTTTCTTACAATTTTATTTTCATTTTTCCTCATAAATGATTATGAATATTGAATTTTAACATTTCATCTTTTTTCTGCTTCTTAAAATAATCATAATTTTCTCCTTTATTCAATTCCATTAACTGATAAATATTGATTGATGTTTGATTGTTACACTACATTCTTGACATTATCCCCAGTTGGTTATATAGTATTACACTTTTATATTTTGCTGGATTTGTTTTGCTAATATTGATAGCGCCAGGAGGAAGTCAAATGCCTAGGCAGATAAGGGCAGGTCCCCAGTGAAACCCCACCTCTAAGTGGAAGACAGTTTAAAACCTGAAAGCCAAGCTACAAGTACAATGCATGGACCAGATTGAAAACCTGCCTCCCTGTTTGGCATACTTTCCTCTGACTGATCCCCATCCTTCATCTATTTTACACATACCTACCCTTCCCTAAATGTTTTTCTACACTTTGAGTGGTGTCTTTGCTTTAATCTTTTTTGCATACTCACAAACCAATCAGCCTCACTCCCTTATTCTGAGCCAATAAAAGCCCCGAACTCAGCCACACTGGGAAATAAATCACCTGACTGTGGGGGTGGGAGAGCAACCCCCACATGCTCTCTCTGCTGAGACCTGTTCTGTGGCTCAATAAAATTCTTCTCCACCCCTTTTCACCCTTTGAATTGTCACCGTATCCTCATTCTTCCTGGATGTGGGTACAAGCTATAGCTCCGGCTGGCCGAGTGGGTGGGGCACCTCCAGCAGCAGGCCTAGGGCCAAGCAAGGCTCTGACAGGGGTAGGGGGCATTACCAGCCACGGAGATCTCCACTTGGCAATGTGGCCAAGAAAAATCCTGTTTATTTTCTGGGGGCTTGTCCAGGATATAAGAAATGATGAGCAAATGTGGCATCTTTCTTCTTTCTTTCATGGTCATGATGGCACCTATCTATTCTTTTACAATATTGGGGGTGTTGTTGCAAACTACAGCAATATTACTGGGTAGAATGAGCATTTGGCCCAGCCATCAGATATGCAATTAAGAATGATGCAATTTCCATGTATTAGAAGCAGAAAGGAGGCAGCAAATAAAAGTTATTTGTTGCTGTTATTGTTGAAGGAACCCATTTACATAAAGTAAGAGGCTTTTTCGCCCAGGCCCCTCTCCATCCCCTGCTCTTAAGCTGTTTTTTTTCTTTTCTCCACCATGTCAGGTGTTAGTACAGCCCTGCAAATACAGGGAGCTTTTCTATGGGAGGGGTATTTTTTTCATTTTGGAAGGCCTCTTACTAGGCCAGGACGCCAATTCATGGGACTCCTTTTCCTCTCCCTTTTTTGAGGAGATCCCAGTTCCACAGCTTCAACTTAGCATTTGGCTTATGATAAGGAGGGCCACCTGGGACTTAATTTCAGGAGTCTATGCACCCTGCTGAGCACCTCTTTGTCCCAAACTCAATTCCAAGCTTCTAGGGCTTTATCCCTAATAAGGAAAACTGGATCTGAGGGATCCAGAGGCAGACAACAATGGAAGTCAAGGGGTACAGCACAGGTGAGCATGACTAATTCTTGCCGATTAGGCCCCCCCTTCCGTCATTTCATGGGTGGAGGTTATGCCTGTGTCCATGGCATAAATAAGGTTACTGACAGCAGGGGGTATATACCAGAGCATAGGTGAGTGCAGATAATTCCTACCCCTTAGGCCTCCCTGTTAACATGGGTGAAACCTGCATTGGCACCCATGTATGGCCCCTGCTGAGGTTGCCAGAACTTGGGGATATAAAGGCAGAAGAAAGGGGACGCCTTTTCTTTCTCTCCCTCACACACCCTGGGTATTCACTGCAAAGAGAAAATAACTAAGGGATGCCTTTTTACCCTCTTTGCAGATGGGTAACCAACCACCTTCAGTCTGTACTTTTCTTGAATGCATCCTGAATCACTGGGACTCCTTTAAAAAAAAAAGTCTTATTTTTTTCTGTTTTCTCCTCTATCTTCTCTTCACGGATGGATAATTGCATCTCTGTACCACAGGACACTACCCTCTGGGAAAAGTTCAATTTCCGCAAACTTGAAACTGCTTGACTTAAAAAAAAAAAAAAAAAAAAAGTCCTGGGAAGAAATTACGGATCTAACTGAGCAAATCTCTTTAGGAAGGACAACTTTTACAGTATGCAAATATCCTCTTTGTCCACTTCCCCTTTAAAGAACCCCAGGGTCAAAAGGGAAACCAGAAACCTGACATGGCAGCAAAAGGGTAAAAGGGTAAAAGTTTTTTGTTTTTTTTTTTTCTTTTAACCAGTCTGTCTTTTGGCATCTCTCTCTCTCTCTCTCTCTGTGAAAAGTGGTTGTAGGAATGGTAAAAATCAGTTTATATTCTCTGTAAAGTTTTGATTCATGGACAGAGGATTTGTGAGGCTAGTCTTCCTAAGCTGTAGCCAATCTGGTGTGCTTTGTGTGCCTTTTTCTATGGTTCTGTCATAAGAAGAAATACCTTAGGATAGAACACAGGCCTAGGACCCCATAAGCCTGCTGTTCAAGCCAGCCTCATAAACTGGTCAATAACAAACTTTGCTACAGGTCTCTGAAAAACAAAAACAAAAACAAACAAACAAAAAAACTGGATGAGGTCTCCATCTTGTTTTATGTCCTTCAAAGCTTGACCTTGTAACCACGTGGCAGTACTTTCTTTTGGTCTCTACCATTTGACAATGGCAGCCCGGGTTCCATCCTGGCTCAGGGAATGAGTGTTTCTGGTTATTATCTGTGTGACTTTTACAATTTGCTGATTCTCTTCCCCTCCATAAATGACTTCTAGTTTCCTCTCTTAAATCTTCCTTTCTCTAAGCTACCTTTAAAGATTCTAGATTTTGTGAAAACTGGTTACCACATCTTTAAAAATACCTCATACACTCATGGTTAAGTCATAACCATAGTTGAGGCTTGCTAGTTTTACCTGTGAGGTTATTTTTGGTAAAGTTCAAAAGCCAGAAATATTGGCTTTTTTTAAAGAGTGCTATGGTTGAAAGTCAGCTTAATTAAAAGCGGATATCCAGGCTATAGGTATATTTAAAAGGTCTCTATATCTTTTCTCTTCTTGGATCTTGTTTTGCTGGAAAAATATTTTTCTTCTCAGTTGACTGAATTATTTTTCTCCATTTTTGTCTTGCAACTATTAATGCATGCATGAAAGGCCCTAAGATAACTTCTGATAGCCTAGGACTCCTTGGGAAAAACAGAAGAGGCACTACAGACCCCATTTGGGAAAAATAAACTCCTCTGTTTTCCTCATGGAACCCCAGGAATTAAAAGCGAAAGATCCTTGAAATCTGTTTTTGTCTTCCAGACATATTTGGTTTTTAGACCCTAGAAACTGCATATTTTTCTAGCTCTGTTTCTTGAAGTGTTCCAACCTGAGACCAATAATCCACTTAGGAGATTGGCAGATGAAAAACCTTAAAACTACTGAATCTTTTGTCTGTCTGTGTAGATATATATGTGTTATGTTTGTGATGTTTATATAAAAAAGAGCTCTAGTTGATTGGCTTAAAGATAATAAGTACTTACATCAAATATTTTTAAGGAAAATGAAGCTGTAATATCTTTTAGTTCACATACTTTGATCTTTGAAAGATAAAAACAGTTTTAAAGATTATTGGTAACATCCAAATGTCTTCAAAATGTAAACATGTGGTCGAAATTATGTTCAAATATTAGGTTTGCTAAATGCTTTAAGGTCATACACTGCTTCTTTGGCTTTTGAAATTTTTTCATATTTGAGTAAAATCTACCATATTATTATCCAAATTTTTTTAAATTTTAGTTTTTCCTCTTCTTGGTTAAATTTGCCATAGGATGATTTCTCCCAAAATCATTTCTAGAGAGTAGAAATTGTTAGTAGTTTATGTGGGAAGCAATACAGGAAAACCAGTAGGATAACAAAGACGTGACACAGGAAGAGAAGAAAGTCAACATAGGTGAGGTACTACTACTGTGCATACTGCTGCTGAGGATAACCAGAACTCCGTTATGCTCCAGACCTTTTGGAAATGCTGTTAAAAAGAAAATGCCTCTAAGTTTTGTCACTCAAAAGACAAGATAACTGGTTTATTTATTGACTGTTCCATTTGTCATTGATAAGTGAGAAGGATTGTTTGGCCAATGAAAACCTCAGGCAGAGATTTAAAGTAAAAACACTAACAACAGCAACAGCAAAAAGAAACACGAGTGTGAAATTATAAAATTATAAAAATCTATAAAATTAAAGAGATATAATTTACTAGAACCCAGCGTTAATCACTCTACTTACATCCTTCTCTAGTATATAAAATGGCTCTACACACTTTAACTCCAGACTCTATGTTCCAAATTATTTTATTATTATCATGTATTTCAGCTCTATCTCATTTTAATACCCAAAGGCATTATTATTATTACTCTCTATAGTTAATATCAATGGATATTTGTCCCATATTTACTACTTTTTAAATTCTTTAATCTTTATTTTTATTTAGTTTACCATATCAGTTCAATTCCTTTCAACTTAGTGTATTCTTTATAATTTTCTTTTGGTATAATCTTCTGGTAATAAAATTGTTCACTTTGGATTTCTTTCATAAAAGTGTCATTATTTCCCTGTCATTCTTAAAAGATATTTTCACTAATAATTTAATTCTAGATTCACAGTTATTTTCTTTCAGCACATTGAAAATGTCTCTAATTTATTTGGCTTTTCATTGTTGAGATAGATAATGTATTGTTAGAATATTTAGCCCTCCTCCATTTTTCCTCTAGATAATTTTATAATTTTCTCTTCCCTTTTATTGTTGGAAAATTTCATTATGATGTCATAGAAGTTTTTATCCTAGTTTTTTTAATGGTGTTGTTCTGCCCTGCTAGGGATAATTTGAGCTTTATGAGTCTAAGAATTGCATTTTAGCATTGCTTAAAACAGTTTTTCACATTTTCTTTTCTAATATTTTCTCTTTCCAATTCTCTCATTTTAAAAGGGCATGGAAGCTGTAGGGTCTCAAAATACTTTCAAAGTTGTATTCCTATTATTAATCTGTGCAACACAGATAACCAAGCTAACCATGATTTATTTATTTATTTATTTTTGTTTTATTATATTTATTTATTTATTTATTTTTGAGATGTAGTCTCGCTCTGTCGCCCAGGCGCAATCTTGGCTCACTGCAAGCTCTGCCTCCCGGGTTCACACCATTCTCCTGCCTCAGCCTCCAGAGTAGCTGGGACTACAGGCGCCCGCCACCATGCCTGGCTAGTTTTTTGTATTTTTTGTACAGACGGGGTTTCCCCATGTTAGCCAGGATGGTCTCGATCTCCTGACCTCATGATCCTCCCACCTCGGCCTCCCAAAGTGCTGGGATTACAGGCATGAGCCACCGCGCCTGGCCAACCATGATTTATTTAAATTGTTACCTTCTTGTGACTATAATATTGACAGTGCTAGCTGTTTTTTTTTTTTTTGTATAACTTGCTTTCTCTATCAGCAATAATAAAATACGATTCTTTCTTTATAATAAATAAAAGACCAACATAGATATGGAGTTTGTTCAATTCCTCCCTTCTACACTCCTATTTCATCTTGTTTATATGTCTATTATAGTATTACTAATCATTATTTTTATGATAAAAATTAGAACCTATGTAAAAATTATCTTTAAGGCATATGCTAAATAATATTAGGATAAATATCTCTCTGCCTTAACCTCAGTTACTTCAAAATAACTTTACATTAGCAGATAATTAATAATCATTGTGGGAAACAATTGATGTGAGCTTGCAGCAAGCAGGCAGTGCAATTTAATGTTCTTGTAGCTCCAACTTATATGTGTACATTGAGAGTGTGTATTTTCAATGCCTCTTAGTCCTTTTTTTTCTTTATTTCTCCATGTTCAATCCAATTTCCAGATTCAAGTACAAAATCAACAAACCAAAGTATAGGTGGAAAATATACCACGTGAGTTTCTCAGACACCGTTTGAATGGAGACTGGCATCTCTTTAAGAACTACTTCCCTTTCTCCACAGCTTAACATCAGAAACTTGAAGGTACAGAATGATGTTGGCTCTGTACACATTTATAATCTATGGAGAATGTCAGTTTCTTAAGGGTGAAAAATGTATGGTAGAAAAATATATGGTAATATCCACTTTAAAGTATAATAATCCATCTGGTTTACTGCCTCCTTAGACCTCCTCTACTGAAGTCTGCAGTAACATGATTCCTCCACACCCTCAGACCAAGTGCAGTTCTATCACAGGATTTATGCAACCTGCAGGAGACACGTGTCTAGAATTTACAAGGAACTCAATGCAATTAAATAAAAGAAAAACTAAGCATCTCATTAAAAAATGAGAAAGAGACATGAAAAGGCACATTCAAAAGAAGACATTCAAATGGCTAGCAAGCATATGAAAAATGTTCATCACTAATCACCAGAGAAACACAAATTAAAACCACAATGAGATATTATATAACACTAGTCAGAATGGCTATTATTAACAAGTAAAAAATAGCAGATGTCAGCAAAGATGCTGAGAAAATCCTTATACATCGTTGATAGGAATGCAAATTACTACGACCTTGTGGAACAGAGTATATAGATTTCTCCAAGAACTAAAAACATAACTACTATTTGAATTGCCATTCCTCTACTGGATATGTACCCAAAGAAAAATAAATCATTACATCAAAAATATACCTGCAGTCATGTGTTTACAGTAGCACTATTCACAATAGCAGAGATATGGAATTGACCTTTGTTACTGCTTGCCTTTTGGATATAAGCAATTTCAACAGGGGTGAGATGATATTTCATTGTAGTTTTGATTTGCATTTCTCTGATGATCAGCAATGTCAAGCACCTGTTCATATGCCATTTGCGTGTCTTCTTTTGAGAAATGTCATTCAAATCTTTAGCCCATTTTAAAAATGGGATCATTAGGTTTTTTTTTCTGTGGAGTTGTTTGAGCTTCTTATATATTCTAGTTATGAATCCCTTTTCAGAGAGGTAGTTTGAAAATATTTTATCTCAATCTGTGGGTTGTCTCTTCACTTTGCTTATTGTATACGTTGCTGTACAGTAGCCTTTGAACTCGATGTGATCCCATTTGTCTATTTTTGTTTTGGTTGCCTGTGCTCGTGAGGTATTGCTCAATAAATTTTTGCCCAGACCAATTTCCTGAAGTGTCAGCAATTTTTTCTTGTAGTAGTTTCACAGTTTGAGGTCTTCGATTTAAATCTTTAATTCATTTTGATTTGATTTTTGTATATGGTGAGAGATAGGGTGTCTAGTTTCCTGCTTCTGTATGTGGATACCCAGGCTTCTCAGATTATTTATTGAAGAGTCTGTCGTTTTCTCAGACTATGTTCTTGGCACGTTTGTCTAAAATGTGTTTAATGTAGGTGCGTGGATTTGTTTCTGGGTCCTTTATTCTGTTCCATTCATCTATGTATCTGTTTTTATGCCTGTACTATGCTGCTTTGGTTACTACAGCTCTGTATTATAATTTGAAGCCAGGTAACGTGATTCCTCCAATTTTGCTTTTTTTTGCTTAGGATAGTGATATGGTTTGGCTGTGTCCTCACCCAAATCTCATCTTGAATTGTAGCTCCCATAATTCCCACTTATGGTGGGAGGGACCTGGTGAAAGATAATCGAATCATGGGGGCAAATTTTCCCATACAGTTTTCACAGTAGTGAATATGTCTCATGAGATCTGATGGTTTTATTAGGTGTTTCCCCTTTCACTTGGCTCTCATTCTGTCTTGCCTGCTGCCATGTAAGATGTGCCTTTCACATTGTTCACTGTTGGAATATAGAAATGCTACTGAAATTTGTATGTTGATTTGGTATCCTTTAAGTTTACCGAATTTGTTTATCAGCTCTAATAGTTTTCTGTGCAGTCTTTTTACCATTTTTGAGAAGATTATATTATCTGAAAACAAGAATAATTTGACTTCTTTCTTTTCAATTGGTATGTTTTTTTACTTCTTTCTCTTGTCTGGCTGCTCTAGCTAATAATTCCAGTACTATGTTGAATAACAATGGTGAAGGTGGGCAACCTTGTCATGTTCTTTATCTTAGAGGAAAGGCTTTCAGTTTTTCCCCATTCAGTATGACACTGGCTATGGGTCTGTCATATACAGTTTTTATTATATTGAAGTATGTCCTTCCTCTCCCCAGTTTTTTGAGGGTTTTTATCCAAAAGGATGTTGAGCTTTGTCAAATGCTTTTTCAGGATCAATTTAAATGATTATATGATCTTTATCCTTCATTTGTAGATATAATGTATCACATTAATCAATTTGCATACGTTGAACAACCTTGCATCTCTGGGGTAAACCCCCCTTGGTCAGATGAATGATCTCTTTAATGTGTTGTTGAATTTGGTTTGCTACTATTTGTACACTATATTTTGCTCAGGATTTTTGCATCAATATTCATCAGATATATTGGTATATATATTTTTTTATGGTGTGTCTTTGTCTTGTTTCAGTATCAGGGTAATACTGGCCTTGTAGAATGAGTTTGGAAGTATTCCATCCTTCTCTGTTTTTTGGAATAGTTTGAGCAAGATTGATATTAGTTCTTTTTTAAATGTTTGATGGAATTTAGCAGTGAAGCCATTGAGTACTGGGCTTCTTTTCTTTACTGGGAAACTGTTTATTACAGCTTCAATCTTACTACTTCTTATTGGTCTGTTGAGTTTTTGGATTTCTTTCTGATTCACTCTTGGTAGGTTTTATGTGTCTGGAAAGTTGAACATTTCTTCTAGATTTTCCAATTTATTGGCATATAGTTGCTTGTAGTAGTCACTAATGATCCTTTCAATTTCTGAAGTATCAATTGTAATGTCTCTTTTCATTTCTAATTTTATTTATTTAGATTTTCTCTCTTTTTTCCTTAGTCTAGCTAAAGATATGTCAATTTTGTTTAACTTTTCAAAAAGCCAACTATTTATTTCAGTGATAATTTGTATTTTTAAATATTCATTTCCATTTCATTTATTTCTGTTCTAATCTTTATTACTTCTTCTCTTTTACAAATTTTGGATTTTTTTTCTTGCTTTTCTAATTCTTTAAGTTGCACTATTAGATTCTTCTTTTGATTTTTTTCCCCTTTTTTTAATGTGATGTAGGCACACATAGCTGTAAAATTCTCTCTTAGTACTACTTTTGCTGGATCCCATAGGTTTTGGTATCTTGTGTTTCCATTATTATTTGTTTCAATAAATGTTTCAACTTCCTTTTAAATTTCTTAATTGCCCCACTTGTCATTCAGAAGCATATTGTTTAATTTCCATGTCTTCACGTAGGTTACACATTTCTCTACTATTTCTTTCTAGTTTAATTTCATTGTGGTCAGAGGAGATGCTTGATATTATTTCAATTTTTTGAATGCTTTAAGAGTTATTTTGTGATACAATGTATGGTCTATCCTTGAGAATGATCTATGGGCTGAGAAAAATTATGTGTATTCTGCTGCCATTAGATGAAGTGTTCTGTAAATATCTACAAGATCCATTTCATCTATAGCATAGATTAAGTCTATTTCTTCATTGCTCTTCTGTCTGGAAGATCTATCCAATGCTGAAACTGAAGTGCTGAAGTCTTCAACTATTATTGTCTTGGGGGTCTGTCTCTCCTTTAAACATCTGGGGGTTCCAATGTTTGGTGCATATATATTTAAAATTGCTATATCCTCTTGCTGAATTGACCCTTTATCATTATATAGTTACCTTCTTGGTGTCTTCTTATAGTTTTCATCTTGAAATCTATTTTTTTCCGATATAAGTGTGATGACTGTAGCTGTTCCTTGGTTTCCATTGGCATGGAATATCTTTTCCAACCCTTAATTTTCCTTCTATGTGTGTCTTTATAGGTGAAGTATGTTTCTTGTAGGCAGCAGATCAATGGGTCTTGTTCTTTCTTTCATTTCAGCCAGTTTGTTTTTTGATTGCAGAGTTCAGTTCATTTACATTCAATGTTATTATTGATAAGTAAGAACTCACTCCTGACATTTTATTTGTTTTTTTGGTTGTTTTGTGGTCTTCTCTTCCTTTTTTTTCTTCTAGTCTTCCTCTAGTAAAGGTGATTTTCTCTGGGGTTTAATTTAGTTTCTTGCTTTGTGTGTGTGTGTGTGTGTGTGTGTGTATTTATTGTACGTTTTTTCATTTGAGATTACCATGAAGCTTCCATATACTCTCTTATAACTCATTAGTTTATAACCAGATAATGAGTTAACACTGTTCACATAAACCAACAAACAATCAAAAAGAAAACTAATAAAAACTCTAAGCTTTAACTTCATGCCACTGCTTTTAAACTTTTGGTTGCTTGTATTTATATCTTATTGTACTGTGTCTTGAAAAGTTGTTGTATGATAGTTATTATTTTTGATTCGTTCATCATTTCATTTTGCTACTTAGGATAAGAGTATTTTACACACCACAGTTGCAGTGTTAAACTATTCTGTGTTTTTCTGTGTGCTTTTGTATCTTCAGATGATTATTTATTGCTCATTAGTGTTCTTTTCTTTCTGATTGAAGTACTCCTTTTAGCATTTGTTGTAGGATGGGTCTGATGTTGATAAAAGCCCTCAGCTTTTGTTTGTCAGGGAATATATTTATTTCTCCTTCATCTTTGAAGAATATGTTCACTGGATATTTTACTCTAGCATGAAATATTTTTTCGTCCAGCACTTCAAATATGTCATGCCACTCTCTCCTGGCCTGTAAGATTTCCACTGAAATGTCTGTTGCTAGATGTATTGGAGCTCCATTGTATGTTATTTGTTTCTTTTCTGTTGCTGCTTTTAGGGTCATTTCTTTATCCTTGACTTTTGGCTATTTGAATTTAAATGCCTTGAGGTAGTCACCTTTGGGTTAATTCTACTTAGTGTTCTGTAACTTTCTTCTACTTGAATATTAATATATTTCTCTAGGTTTGTTCTCTGCTATTATTCCTTTAAATAAACTTTCTACCCCTATCTCTTTCTCCACCTCCTCTTTAACACCAATACCTCCTAGATTTGCCCTTTTGAAGCTATTTTCTAGATCCTATGTTTTTTTTCTTTTGTCTCCTCTAACTGAAGACAAGAAATAACGTGTCTTCAAGCTCACTAGTTATTTCTTCAGTTTAATCCATTCTGATACTTAAGAACTCTGATGTATTTTTTATTATGCCAATTGCATTTTAGCTTCAAAATTTATGCTACATTGTTTTTAATTATTTCAGTCTCTTTGTTAAATTTATCTGATACAATTCTGAATTTCTTAGCTGTGTTTTCTTGAATTTTGTTCAGTTTTCTCAACACAGCTATTTTGAATTTTCTATTTGAAAGGTTACACATCTCTGTTTCTCCAGTATTGGTCCCTGGTGCCTTATTTAGTTCATTTGTTGAGGTCATATTTTCCTGGCTGGTGGTGATGCCAGTTTATGTTCTTCAGTGTCTGGGCATTGAAGAGTTTGGTGTTTCTTGTCTTTGCTGTCTGTGCGTATTTGTACTCATCCTTCTTGTGAAGTTTTTTCAGATATTTCATAGAAGTTGATATTGTGATCTAAGCCCTATCTGCTTTAGGGGGCACCCTAGGACCAGTATTTCTACAATTCTTGTAGAGTCATAGAGGCACCACCTTGATGGTCTTGCACAAGATCCAAGAAAATTCTCTGGATTACCAAGCAGAGACTCTTGTTTTCTTCCCTTATTTTCTCCCAAACAAACATAGTCTCTCTCTCTCTCTGTTCTGGGTGAACTAATGATGTGGGTGGAGTGACACAAGCACCCCTGTGGCTACCACCACTATGACTACACTGTGAATCCAGCACAGCATTGGGTCTTGCCCAAGGCCTGATGTCAAAACTCCCTGGCTACTGCCTATGTTTTCTCAAGGCCCTGGGGCTCTATCAGCTGATGGCAAAGCCAGGCAGGCCTGTGTCCTTCCCTTCAAGGTGGTGAGGTCCCCCAGGTCTTGGGTGAGTCCAGAGGTACCATCTGAGAATCAGGGACTACAGTCAACAACCTTTGAAGTCTAGCAGGTGTTCTCTTGTACTGTGGCTGAGCTGGCACTCAATCCACAAGATGCAGTTCTTCCCACTTTTCTCTCCCCTTTCCAAAGGAAGAGAAGCCTCACCTAATCCACCCCAGGACATGAGGAGAACTGCCAAACTACTATTGATATTCCCTTAAGGCCCAAGGTCTCTTAAGTCAGCTTGTGGTGATAGCTGCCTGACCTTAGACTCACCCTTCACGGCAGTGGGCTCCCCTTTGTTCCAGTGCAGGTCAAGAAATGCCATCCAGGACTCAAGTTCTGAAACTGGGGACCCCAAGGGCCCACTTGGTGCTTTATCTTCCTGTGGCCCTTCTGGTATCTAAGGTGCAAGACAAAGTCCTCTTTACTATTCCTTCTACTGTTCTCAAGCAGAAAGCAGAAGGAGTTTTGCTCCATAGCTACCACAGTTGATAATGTGCTGAGTCTCACCTGAAGCCAGCAAGTCTCAGAGGCTCACCCAAGGCCCTCGACGTAGTACTGGTATTACAGCTGGTTATTCAGGGCCCAAGGGCTCTTCAGATAGTAGGTGATGAATGCTTCCAGGACCGTGTCTTTTCATTCAAAGCAGTGGGTTTCTTTCTATCCCAGGGTGTATCTAGAAATGTTATCTGAGACCTAGGGCCTAGCATGGGAGTCTCATGAATATGACCAGTGGCCAATTCTGCTGCAGCTAAGCTGATAACCAAGATGCAAGAAAAAGCCTTCCCCACTCTTCTCTCTCCCCTCCTCAAGTGGAAGGAAGGGGTCTCTTTTGGAGCAGTGAGCTATGCAGCCTGAGGTTAGGGGATGGGTGGTGCTAGCACTTCCTTAGCCTCCCCAACTTGTGTCTCAGTATGGCATGTGCCATATCAAGTTTACTGTCTCTGGGCCTAGGACTTGCCTACAAGTTGCAGTCCTTATGGGCCTTTCAATTTCAGAATGATTTCACAGTCATTTATGTTAAAATGTTTATAGTGCTTAAAACTATTGCAGTATTATTTCTGAGAACATTATTTTACCTTTTTATTGATTTAAATATAACTTTTTTGTTTTATGATAGAGGTTAAATTTGTCACATAATTCTAAGTGAATACGCAAGAGGCTATGTCTAGGTTTTAAAACTATTGTAGGTATTTATAAACATACACACGCAATTTAAATTGATGCCAATGACATGATGACATTCACCCAAAAACAGAAGGAGAGAGAGGAAGGAAGGAGGAAAGAAGGAAGGTAAGAAGAAAGAAAAGCGAGAAGGAAGGAAAAAAGTTTAACACAAACTGTAAGATCTTTGAAACATTTGGAACTGACCTCAACTGACTTATTTGTAACTGTTTACTTTGTTACTCTTCTAAAATTTTGCTCACAGACTCAATATTTATTATGCAACTTCACAATTTCAGAGTCACGTCAATTAAGTTATAGTGAATTGGAAGTAGAGATTTCAAAACTTCTAATTTGTTGATTGATGGTGGCTTCTTACATGCTTAAACTTTGTAGGACTAGGAATTAGATTTCACTGATCTATTTAGAATATGACACTAACCTACTACTAAATTATTCTTTTTAATTAATGTCCAGTAATTTAGGTAGTAAATATTTTCAAAGAAGTTTTATACTGAAAGACAATGATTCAAGTGTTCTCTTTCCACAGGTCACTCCCAAGGGTGAACACTCTGGAGAGAAAGATTTGCTCTCAGTGCTGATTTATGAACTGCAGCGTCACAAACCAGCATTAATTTGTAGTTAATTTTTCCCCAAAGCTTTTCGTTTACTTACAGTCATCTCTTATCCCTGAAAAAACAAAACACGTATATTATTGTGCTTTATACTTTCCTAAAGAAGAAAAAAATTCTAAGAAAATTATATTTAGTAACTTATTGTCTTAAGAAAA
Organism: Homo sapiens; assembly: GCF_000001405.40. Taxonomy (NCBI): domain Eukaryota; kingdom Metazoa; phylum Chordata; class Mammalia; order Primates; family Hominidae; genus Homo; species Homo sapiens. The sequence goes on along the minus strand of NC_000001.11, from coordinate 191,858,940 downwards.
TAACTGCAAAATATCTGTCTAGTGTGATAAATTATACGTGTAAGTTTATTTTTTTTCAGAAGCAGAAAACATCATTTCTCTAGTAAGTTCACAAAGATAATTAAGATACCCAGATGAAATTCTACAAATGGCTTTAAAAGTTGATGGGGAACTGAATGTTTAGTATTAATGTATCATAATTGAAATAAAATAAAGATAATAGAGAAATAAAATAAAGATGCTATAACCCTCAAACTTTCACCATAAATCTTTTTCTTTTTAGCAACAATATCTGAAACACTTCTGTACACTTGATTTTTAAGTGTACAATGACATACACATTGGAATAAAATGAATGAGAAATCCCCATACAAATGATTTTGCTTCCATGCCTATTCTTGCATTTCTCTATGAGCCTCCCTTGAATACTACTTTCCTGATAAATTTTAGGAGTGTGGCCATGAAAAAAATATTGTATATAATGTGACTGTAAGTGATGTGTACTATCCAGAGGTCCTTGCAAGTTTCAGATGGGTTTGGGGACCTTAAAGAAAGGGTATCCAATCTGTTGGCTTTCCTGGGTCACACTGGAAGAAGAATTGTCTTCGGCCACACATAAAATACATTAACACTAATGATAGCTGATGAGCTTAAAAAAATAAAAAATGCAAAAATTTTTCATAATGTTTTGAGAAAGTTTACGAGTTTGTTTTGGGCCACATTCAAAGCTGTCCTGGGCCACATGCAGCTTGCAATTTGCAGGTTGGATAAGCTTGCCATAAAGCATCAGTATTTTATATAGTGAATATCCCTGGCAATACTTTTAATCAAGCTAGGGTAGAATAAACCTCCATATCACCACAATTCCTGATGGGAATTATTCTGTGATGAACTCTGAAGGCCAACATTCCTGTTCCATAGGGACAAAAGAGCCAAGTATGTCTGAATTCCATTTGTTCTTGTTGCATTTAGTCCCATTGTGCCTCAATGGGACCCATCAATATCTCACTCCCTAAAGAAATTTAGAAGTTGTCTCTAGTCCCAGAAATAATAGGAATCTTATTCATCCATTCCATGAGCATTCCTTAAAATGCTATAAACATTTTCTGTAGGGATATTACACTGGTAAATCAGCAAATTCTTTGTATACCACTCATCTGGATTTTTGCAAGGTATTTGACAGTCACTCTTGACCTCTCTGGGGTAACGACAGGATGATAATAGAGTTGGGTGCCTGTGTAACTGAACTGCTATTCCCAACATATGTAGTTTAGTAATGTGTAATTCTGGTAGAAAATATCTATCTGTAAGTTGTTAAATTTTAATAAATTCATTTATTTAAAACAATAGGTTGAAAATAAAGATTGAAATGCTAATGAAATTATTTGAAGACATAACAAACACTTCAGAAGGTCAAGTCAACTTTTGAGATCATCTGAATGGTAGAAAATGCAGTTCTGTTCAATTAAGTATTAAATAGAAGATTGATAAATGAAAACAGCACTTAGGCATAAAGAAAGACTAAAACAAAAATATCAACTGAGGAAATACAAGCTAAAGAATTAAAAACTTTAAGGATTATATGCAATTTTCTAAATAGAGTACAATCTGGAAGTTTTTGAAGTTGGGGAAAGATTTGTTGTTGATGAGTACCTGACTGGTTTGCGTGACCCCACAATTTGTAGAACTTTATGTTTCTTAGCTTCCTCTTCAAAGCTTATTAATTTGTATCTTCACCGGAAACCCACTTTTATAAGTTCCCCTTGAATAATATCTGAGTTTTCATATATTTAATTTTCTACATTTTTTAGATCTTAAGGCCCTAGCGATATTTCTCTGTGGCTGGGATTTTTTTTATTGAAAGATTTTTGTTGGTAATGTTTTATATATTCCTTATATATACATACTGAGTACATATAAGATTACATTTGTTTTACTTTTCTACATTTTTTATTTCACTTTTAAAGTTTAGGATACATACAGTAAATAAAAAAGAACATATGAGAAAGCCCAAGTTTTTTAAACTTTCATTAACTCCTAAGATAAACAAATTATATTTTGATAAATTTCTTTATTCTAAACTCATTAATCCCATGTAAGTATGGAGTTTCTGCCATATACAGATTGAGTATCCCTAATATGACATGTAAAATGCTCTAAAATCTGACATGTTTTGAGTATTGACATGATGCCACAAATGAAAAATTCCACACCTGACCTCATGTGATAGGTCGCACTCAAAACTTTGTTTCATGCACAAAATTATTTAAAACATTATTTAAAATTACCATTAGGCTATGAGTTTACAAAAAAAAAGAATTTCATGTTTAGTCTTGGGTTGCATTCCCAAACTATCTCATTATGTATATGCAAATATTTCAAACTTTAAACAAATCCAAAATGGTTCTGTTTCCAAGCATTTTGGATAAGATACATTCAACCTGTATGAGACCCTATGTAAAGGAGAAAGAAACATTGACTCCAGGCTAAAATGACTCATATTAATAGATGCATGACTAAATATCACAACACATTTGCAAGATGATAAGATTTTACCTAAGTATATGCTCAGTACAATTTAACAGTGGTGTGATGAGTCTGCCAAACTGACTAGCATAATTGTTGTCCACGTAAGTAAATGTATGGTATTCATCACAAAGCAAGTTGTTCTTACATGTGCTGCTCAGACAGCACCTAGAGCATTGAGCCAAAACTGGAATCTGTACTTCAAAAAAACAAGTTGGTAAATACTTGTTTACCCCGTTTTGCAAGGCATTATTCAGATTAAATTATACTACCATTCCTCCTATTTAGCAATTTGTAATCTAGTGTCATATAGTGAAGAGTGAAGAGATAAGCAGTTAAGCAGTTAGGACCTAGGAAGTAGAGTTTGATTCAATAAAGTGAAAAAAGAAAACAAATTTAAAAAACCAACTTAATAACTGTTAAATAAAGGAAATCCCTTATGTATTGTGGTCCACGTCATGATTATCCATGTAGGATGTTTATTAATGGTGTTACAAAGGACAATGAATATATGTTAATGATAAGTTAAATAACTTTTAAGGCCTCTTCTCATTCCAGGTTTTTTTTTTTTTTTTTTAAATGTATAAAGAGAGCAAGGTGCTATACTTACTGAGGAAGGAAAAGTCAATAAGAAATAGAAAGCTTCATAGAGATAACTGGACTTCTGCTTGACATAAGGATAGGAAGAATTGGGATAGTCAGGGAGAAGAAAGACATTCTTTGAAGGCAGGGCATCTGCACACCAGAGTACAGGGATGGAGGTGGAGGTGAACAGTAAGAAAGAGAAGAAATAAATAACAATGATTGATTTTTGAAACACATTTAAATATTTACTATTAACTCTAGCTGATAATTTTGTTTGAATATAGCAAAACAGAAACACAGTGATTGAATAATTTTTTGTGCAGTCTAATTGACATGTTTTTAATTTACTTTTGTCTTCCAATATGTCTATCACATTTTTTCCTAATTATATAGTTTTGTGATTTTTTTGGCTTACATTCTAGGAACTTGTTAGTTTTCTTTTTTTCTCATTGTAAATTCAAATGGGAATTCACTTGTATAATATAATAAACAATGTCAGATCAGCCTGTTTGATCAAAATAGTAAAAGTGAATAATTTAATATAACAGAGCTGCCTTTGCCACTTTGCTAACCTGTTACAACCTCTAAAAAAAGTTAATATCCACACCGGTCTTAAAATATTCCAATAAAACCGTATATTATTTCAAGCAACAATGTATCATAGAAAACACCCAATATGTGTACATAGGTTCATAATGACAGTTCTGTTTCTCCAATTTCCTCTGATTTTGTCCTACTTTTTTTTATGTTCTGACCATAGGATGATAGGATGATGTTAAGTAAGTTAGAAAGCCCTTCTCAAAACATCTGCAAATCTAAAAATGCAAGGCCCATGATATCAGAAGCTGATAAATAGCTCTTTGACAGAGCTATTATTTGTTTATTTGACAATTTTCAATGAATAAGTACCTAATCTGAAGGGGGGTAGGAAGTAATATTATGCATCTCACAATATTTGATGAAGTCCAGTTAGGTTCAATAATATGTTAAGAAATGAAAATGCCTATTGGTTTTATTTAAAGTCTCTCCAGTTTGCAGTGCTCTGAATACTAAGATAGATGAGGTTAGAAGATATGTGTTATTCTTGTCTCCAGGGAAATTGCTTCACTTTACTTATAAGATGTATTGGTGTTTCCTACTTTTTTTCTTTTACTTTATTCCAACTCTCACAATAAAATATAATTGGATTTTAGACCCTGAAGCAGAATAGAAGTTTTGTGTTGTGTTTTTGTTATTTATACTAAACTTTTATTATATTTAAAAGAGTAAAAGCACTGAGAAAAAAACATCTAAGAGAAAAACAAATACTTGTCTTGAAAGGAAACTCAAAGAAGGTATGGTCTTTGATTTTTAAAGGTTTAAAGCTAGCATTAATTAACATAATTTCAGAGCTTGCAAATGATGTGCTTTCAAACAAGAGGAGTTTAGGCTGGATTAGCATTATTTTGTCACATGTTCAGAACAATGTAGTTGTCAGTCATTTCAAAAAATTGAGAAAACTAAGGATTTGGATTTTAATCACTGTATTACCAACAGTTAAGAAAAAATTGGAAACATTGGAAATCTATAAATATTTTAAAGAGTAGAAATTACAAATAGAGATAAGATTTTCTGCATACAAAATTGGAGGACGGAGAAACAGTGTTCGATTCAACACATATTTATCGATCTTCAGCTATGTGCAAGGCACTGATCTAGTCCATGGAAATAAAGTAACAAATAAGATTGCCAGCAGGTACAGTTCAATATTCATCTCACTTCCAGATGCCTGTAATTGCCCACTTTACATCTCCACTAGGATGTTTAATAGGTATTTCAAACATAATGTATACTAAACATCATTCTTGATTTTCCCTAAGGGGCATATTAAAATTTAGAAGTTGCTCAGGCCTAAAAATTGAAGGTTATTATTTATTTACCTTCTTTCTTTATTCCCATACAATCCATCAGCAAGTACTGTGGACTTTACTTCCAATGTCTCTCAAATACATGCATTTCTCTTAATTTCCACTGCTACTACCTTAATCCTTAAAACTAGCCTTGAGCATAACAGCCTTGAATAAAACAGTTGCTTCCTAGTCACCACCTGGCTCCCACTTTTGCTCCACTGTAACTCCTTCTCCACAGAACACCCAGCATTATCTTTCAAAAATACTAGTTAAATTTTTTTCACTTTTCTGTCTATTTATCGGTGTCCCCCTTGGTTGCATGGTCCTTCCACAATGAGCTCCTTTGCTTCTTAAAAATACTGTGCTGCTCTGCCATAAGAAAGGATGAGTTCCTGTCCTTTGTAATGACATGGATGAAGCTGGAAACCATCATTCTGAGCAAACTATCACAAGGATAGAAAACCAAACACCGCATGTTCTCACTCATAGGTGGGAACTGAACAATGAAAACACCTGGACACAGGGCGGGAAACATTACACCCCAGGGCCTGTCATGGGTTGGGGGAGGGGGGAGGGATAGCATTAGGAGAAATACCTAATGTAAATGACGAGCTAATGGGTGCAGCACACCAACATGGCACATGTATACATATGTAACAAACCTGCACGTTGTGCACATGTACCCTAGAACTTAAAGTATAATAATAAAAAAATACTGTGCTGCTCTGTCCTGTTCTATTTTGTTCTTGCTTTATCCTCAGTAGAAAACAGTATTCTCATATATCTTTACCTTGCTGTCTCATTTACATCTTTGAGGCCTCAGTTTAAATAGCACTTATATAACAAAGGGGCTGCCTCTAACCTTGCTGTGTAGCTAGCACAGCATCTGATAGCACAGTCACACTTTAACACAGCACCCCATTTAGGTTTCCTTCACTATAATTAGTACCATTGGAACATGTTTAAAAAAATTGCTGGTTGGTTTTTTGCCCATTTACCCTGACTAGATAGTAAACCTACAGAAAATAAGGCTTTTGTATCTCCTGAATTACTATTTTCCTGTACAACAAAATATATTTATCATGGCATAGGTGTTCAATAAATATTTAATGAATGAATAAATATACAGTTGTGAGCAATATAACAATGTTTTGTTCAACGACACACTGCATATAAGATGGTGGTCCCATAAGATTATAATGGAGCTGAAAAATTTACACCACCTAGTGACATCATAACTGCCATAACAACATAGCACAACACATTACCCATGAATTTGTGGTGATGCTGGTATAAACAAATTTACTTGCTGAAAGTTGTACAGAAGTATAGCACATACAATTATGTACAGTAGATAGTACTTGATAATGACAATAACTATGTTACTGATTTATGTATTTAATATTGTATGCTTTTTATCCTTATTTTAGAATATGCTCCTTGTATGCATTTTTTTTAAAGTTAACTATGAACAGCCTCAGGCAGCTATTCTCAGAAGAAGAGATTGTTATCAAAGAAGATGACAGTCTCATGGGTGTTATTGCCCCTGAAGATCTACTGGAACAAGACTTGAAGGTGGAATACAATGATATTGATTATCTTGACCTTGTGTAGGCCTAGGCTAACATGTGAGGTTGTGTTTTAGCTCATGATAACATTTTTAAAAGTAAAAAGAAAAAGAACAAAAATAGGAAAAAGTCTTATTACATAAGGATATAAACAAAAAATATTTTTATACAGGTATACAACGTATTTGTGTTTAAATTGTTATTGAAAAATAGTTAAAAAGTTTTAAAAACTTTAAAAATTTATGAAGTAAAAAAGTTATAGTAAGCTAATGCTAATTTACTTTTGAAGAAATTTTTAAATAAATCTACTATATCCTAAGTGTGCAGTATTTATAAAGTCTACATAAGGGTACAATGTCTTAGGCTTTCACATTCACTCACCACCCACTCAGTGACTCATCCAGAGGACCTGCCAGGCCTGCAAATTCCATTTATGGTAAGTGCCCTACACAGACACATTATATCTTTTATAGCATATTTTTGTTATACCTTTCCTATGTTTGGGTATGCTTAAACACACAAATACTTACCACTGCATTATAATTGCCCAGAGTATTTAGTATGGGTTTGTAGCCTAGGAGCAATAGCCATATCATGTATCCTAGGTGTGTAGTAGGCTATACCATCTAGGTTTAAGTACACTCTGTGATGTTTGCACAAAGACAAAATCACCTAACAACGCATTTCTTAGAACGTGTCCTTATTGTTTAGAGATGAATAGAAAAATCGTAAAGAATGAGAGAGAAATTCTTTTTTGTGTTGTTCTTTTCTGTTTTTTTCTCAACAAATGTACATTGATTAAATACTATAGTTTTTGTTTCAGTTGCTGTGATTAAACAGTAAAAAAATGAGACAAACATGCTGGCACCAATGTAAATCATTTTCTAGTAAATAAAGACAGAACAAACGATAAATAAGCAAAATATATACAGTTGTCCCTTGGTATCTGTCAGAGATTGGTTCCAGGACCCCTTTCAACATAGCAAAATCTGTGGATGCTTAAGTCCCTTAGAGTCTGCTCTCTAGTATCCTCAGGTTCTACATCTGTGGATATGGAGGGCTGACTGTGCTACATTCGATGTTAATATGTGTTATGGAAAAAAATCAAAGGGAGAGAGAAGGTTAAAGAGTATTAATGTGGGGTAGTATTTTAAGCAAAGTGGTCTGGGAAGACTGGAATATTTGAGCACAGACTTGAAAGAAGTGAGACAGCGAGATGAGAAAGGTGCATTTCAGGCAAAGGTAAAAACAAGTGACAAGGTCCTAGGGAGGAGTGTGACCATAGAGGTCTTCTTCATATCTTCCTTTTTAGAAGTTTAGTCATGGCCATGCTACATACTAAAGGATACCTAGGAAGAACCCTGTAAAACTTTTTTAAAAATTATGATTGAAACAATATAAAATGCTTAAAAATTGTCCCAAAATGTGATCTAAATCTAAAAAATAAAAGTTTTAAAAAATTAAATTCTCACAAACTGCTTTTACCAAAGGTTATTTTGTGATTTTAGATTTTTTAGGGATTCTTACATTACACAGTACCAAAAATGTAAGAATTGTGTGACAACATTATATGATGATTAATGGCTCATAGTTTAGAATCAAAGCAAAACAGGCTGACATCTCACAATTATCTCTTGCTACTTCCATGATTTAAGTACTTAGCCTCTTACAATTACTTCTAAATCTAGAGAATACCTACCTCATAGGATAGTTTTTAGGTAGAAATGAAACATCAGTGGTAAAACACCACAGTGCCAAGTACTCTTTAAATGCTAGACAAACATTAGCTAAAATATTTTACAATGAATCTATACCCTCCTTCAACTTATTCGTTGTTGCTTTTAGAACCAGAATTCTACTCTGTATGTCTTAAAGTGTTAATATTTTGTCATATTAAAATTTCATATATTTTATCTTTCATAGCAGAGATTAACAAAACTAAATTATTTATGTAACCATTAAGATGTATATACAAAACACATCATTAATACTGGTTATTCATCATAAGATAAGCACAAAGTCAATATAGGGCATTTTGCTACATATTATACTTTGGTTATTATTATTCACTTATTTTGTCATAAAATATGTATGTCTGGAGAAATCTAAACCAGAAAACAAGACAATAAAAGTTTATACACAAGCTCAGAGACTACCAAACCACTACAAGTTGTGTGAGATTTTCAGTATGCTGTGATTTTAACTGGGTCAACAATATGACAATATGACTTTCATAGGGCTTCATAACATGTTCTTCTCTGGTAATTCTATTAAAATTGCCTTACACTGCAAATCTTAAGGGCATTATTAAACTAGATTGTAAATTAATGCTAAGCTTGTACAAGACAGTTACACACTCTAATTTGCATGAATGGAGCGCATTGCCTATGCTTACAAAATTGTGTATACTTGCCAGACTAAGGAAAAAGAAAGGGGTGATACAGGCCTTCACCCCTGGATGTAAAAGACAAATAGCCTGGGGAAAGCTTTGAAATGGTTCAAGGAATTTGAGCTTCTGTAAATCAATATATGAACCAATATTGGACTATAATCTTCTAGCATAATATTAGTACCAAAAATAGTAACAACTTATGTTGTATAAACATTATAAAAAAGATTATATGTTTAAAATATAACTTATTTTTATTTTCTATATTTGTTAAGAATAATTTGTTATAAATTTATTATGAATTTTTTATTTCAATCATATTTGTGGAACAGATGATGTTTATTTACATGGACACGTGCTTTAGTCGTGATTTCTGAGATTTTGGTGCATCTGTCACCTGAGGATTGTACACTGTACCCAATGTGTAGTCTTTTATCCCTCACCCCCTCCTACGCTTCCCTCCTAGTCCCCAAAGTACATTATTTCATTCTTATGCCTTTGCATCCTCATAGCTTAGCTCCTACTTGTAAATGTATCAAGTGTTGATAATCTGCTATATTATTTATTATATACCACTATTACATATTAATACATTTATTATTCATTTTTAAAGTCTAAATGTACACTGATAATGATAAATTATTTAAAAGTTTTGCTTGCATCCATCCCTCCTTCATAGTCTTTATTGTTTGAGAGCCCATCATATGTTTACTTTGAAAATCCAACTTTGTGTGTGTGTTTTGGAAGATCAGGGAACACTTTTATACTCAGAGAGGTTTTAAAAGTTTTATGTGAAAGCCCTTACCAATTCTCTTACTTATATATCCTTGATTTAATTTAATTAACACCACCGTATTCAGCTCATCCTGAATTTCTTCTCAGAGCTGAAGTCATATATCAAGGCAAAAAAGGACATTCTCAATATCCAATGAATATTTCCCCCAAAAAAAATTAGTATGGTAGGCAGAATTTTAAATGGCTCCCAAAATTTCTGCTCCATGATATACAATGCCTATATAATTCATTTTCCTTTAACATATGTGTAACTTATTGAATATGATGGATTTAACTCCCTTGCTTCTATTTCATTACATGACAAACAAGAAGGAATTTTTCAGATGTAATTAAGGTCATTAATCTATTTACTTGGTGTTAATAAAATAGGAGATCACCCTGAGTGTCCCTGAACTAATTAGGTGACTCTTTCAAAGGAGGTCTTTAAGTCACAAACTTTGAAGATGCAATCTGCCATGTTTTAAAGAGCCCCACATTTCAAGAAAGAGTGGGAGCTACTAGGACATGAGGAGTCTGTAAGAAGCTGAGTTTTGCTGATAACTACTTGAGTTTAGAAGAGCACCTCAAGCTCCTGAAAGGGGCGCAGCATGGCCAACTCATAGATTTCACCCTCATGAGATTATGAGCAGAGGGTCCAGTTATTCCTGCTGGAACTCCTAACCTAGGAAAACTGGAAGATATTAAATGCATCCTATTTTAAGCTGCCAAGTTTTTGATAATTTTTTTAGTACTCAACTAATGTGTTTATTGACTGTAAAGTTGTAGTCAGAAGACAAACTAGGCTAACTCTACCTGCTAAAGGAAACAAATAAATATGTTAAGTTCATAAACCTGAAACCATTTAAGAACTCATGGTTCTTATATGTGTAGCTCTTATAATTTATATTTGGAGTGATGTGAATGTGATATTTTATATATATGTATGTGTGTGTATGTATGTACATATATAGGTTTTTATCTGTGTGTGTATGTGTGTATGTACATACACAGGTTTTTGTCCATGGTTCCTGGCTTACAACTCCCATAGCGCTTGTGATAATGTTGAGGGACTTTAGGCCTCAGAAGAAGGCTTCAGAAAACAGAATCTTTCTATTTGATTTTCTGCTGCTCTCTTTTCACCTGCCTAAAACAGAACTCTAATCTGATTGTGGGGCATACAACTCTCATTCCAGAGAGGTTCCTGCCCCATACCCTGGAGGACAGAATGCTGCACAGAGAGGCAGAAGAATACAAACAGGCCTTGCTGGGTTTCCCACTCAGTCCATTATCATTAGATCATGTCATTTTTTTTTCAATCACATTTCTACATGGTTGTCAGTCACGCCTATCAAGTTTTCTCCACAAAAAAAACAAGAGGACAAGACTCAAAGATCTTCCAGATAATGGAACACGTGGAGGTTCCTAAAGGGTGGCACACCTGAGGAGGGCATGGAAGCCCAACAAACTTTCTCGTGTGCCTTGCTCTATGTGTCTGTTCATCTGTATCCTTTGTAATAGCCTTTATAATAAACCAGTATATGTAAATAAGTGTTTGTGTAAGTTTTGTGTGCTGCTCTAGCAAATTAATCAAAGAGGGCGTTGTGGAACCCCAACTTTTGGCTGGTTAGACAGAAGTTCTGGAAGCCTGGACTTACAACTGGTGCCTGAAGTGGAAGCAGTTTTGGGGACTGAGCCCTCAGCCTGTGGGATCTAAGGCTATCTCTGGGAAGATAGCATCAGAATTGAATTGAGTTAAAGAACACTCAGCTCATCTCTATTGTTTGTGTGGAAACAAAACCACACACATTTGGTCACAGAAGTCTTCTGATGATGATTGTTGTTGAAGTGTGAGCTCAGAGGAAAAATGCTTATTTCTGACAGGTGTTGAAGGGCATTTTTTTTTTTTTTTGAGACAGAGTCTCGCTCTGTCACCCAAGCTGGAGTGCAGTGGCGTGATCTCGGCTCACTGCAAGCTCCGCCTCCTGGGTTCACGCCGTTCTCCTGCCTCAGCCTCCCAAACAGCTGGGGCCACAGGTGCCCGCCACCATGCCCGGCTAATTTTTTGTATTTTTTATTTATGTAGAGACAGGGTTTCACCGTGTGGGCCAGGATGGTCTCAAGCTCCTGACCTTGTGATCCACCTGCCTCGGCCTCTCCCAAAGTGCTGGGATTACAGGCGTGAGCCACCGCACCTGGCCAAAGGGCATTTTTATATATTCCTAAAATATGTAATCTAAAGGTTTTACATACCTTATAATTTTATTGTAATTTGATACCTAAAATTACTAACACAAATTAATGTTATAATTGAAATACAATCCATGAAACATTTGTATCAATCCTGATATATGTTTTGATGTTTCATAGTTTAGAAAATTGGAGGGATGATTTTTTTTGAATTTTTTGAAAATATGATCATATCTTCCTTTTCCCCTTGTGAAAAAATAGCACAATTCATACTAGCTTAGAGGTACAGGATTTTGTTGAAATCTCTGTCTATATATATACATACATATATATATATATGTATATATTTGCTTCACTAGGAAAAAAGGGTATTTTTTCCAGATTCACTTAACAAAAAGTTGAAATTTTCTTAGATTAGTCCCACTCTGACAATTTCACTCCTGCAGTGTTCAAGATACAAGATATATTACACATTTGTGCTATTGCAAACGTCTCATGGAAAGGTGAAAAATCAGTTCAACATCTCGTACAGAGCATATTGCTTCCACAGAACTGTGTTAAGAAAGGTTCTGAGGCTGCAGACAAGCCCAGAAAGATAGAGGGCTGGCATCTTTCAGAGCATCTGCCTTCATATATGAGCAACAGTATTTGCCATCAACAACCTAATTACTTTTCCCTTGTATACTCTATATTTTAGTTTTCTATTGCTACATAACAACCAAAAATTATCACAAACTTAATGACTAAAAGTGGAGAGGTTGTTGCAATAAAAACCTATATTTCTCAGGAATCCAGAGCTACCTAAGCCTTATTAAAGATTAAACATAATCTTATTTCTTGTGTGTTACTGATTTGTCTTCTTTATTACCGTTTTCTTTTCAGGTTTGCATGTATGGTTCACCTTAAAGCAACAGTTCTTAATCAATGATGTATATTATAATTACCTCCTATGGATGTTAAAATTCAGCTGCCTAGCCGGACGCGGTGGCTCACGCCTGTAATCCCAGCACTTTGGGAGGCCGAGGTGGTCGGATCACGAGGTCAGGAGATCAAGACCATCCTGGCTAACACGGTGAAACCCCGTCTCTACCAAAAAACACAAAAAATTAGCCGGGCACAGTGGCAGGCGCCTGTAGTCCCAGCTACTCAGGAGGCTGAAGCAGGATAATGGCGTGAACCCGGGAGGCGGAGCTTGCAGTGAGCCGAGATCGCGCCACTGCACTCCAGCCTGGGCGACAGAGCGAGACTCCGTCTCAAAAAAAAAAAAAAAAAAAAAAAAAAATTAGCTGCCTGAGCAACAACTCCAGAGGTTATAAGTTCAGAAATTCTGTAGTGGAGCCCAGGAAACTTTCTGTCTAGTGTAACCCTGGGGATTGCGATTTATAATAGACCAAACATTAATAAGCAAAAGAATATTTTGGACATTTTCAAGGGTTAAATATTTTTACTTTGATAACTTTTTAAAAAATTGTATTGTCTTATTTTATTATTATATTTATAATTTAAGTATCTCTTTCCCTAAACGACAAGTTTTCTGCTTTTAGTGGTCTTTAATCCATTTTACAAAATGTTTACACATTTTTCAGACATTAATTCTTGTGATCAATCTACAATTGCATTGACTTTTATATTGAGAACTTTCATAACTTTTAGTACCATTCTATGTATTTAGTTGTAACCAACCCTTTTGTTGTTGTGTTTAATATCTTTTCCAATTGGCTTCTGCTATTTTATTGTTTTATTCTTCAATATAATTTATTTTGTCTCTTAAAATTTTGCCATTAAATTTTTAATTTTATATAGTTGGTCTTTTAAATTATTTTTAAGTTTAAACTTCATTTTAATTTTAAAATTTTAATTTATTGTATAGCTTTATTTTTGGTATCTCTTTATTTTATTCTTATGTAATATCTTTGCTGTATCTTTTTCTTTATTTTATGCTAAAATTCAGCTGCCTGAGCAATAACTTCAGGGGTTATAAGTTCAGAAGTTCTGTGGTAAAGCCCAGGGATTTTTAACATTTTTAATATTTAATAGTTTTTCTCTTTTATAATAACTATCCCTTAGTAAGTTTAGCTATAAAGCTATGAGTATAGGTAGGAGAAAATTAGAGCCTTGCTACTGCAAATGTTTCTGTGTTCCATAAACATAGTGTTCCTCCAATGAATTAATCATACAAATACTAATACTGTCCTCTTGAAGACTCTAGGAGAGTCAGATGATCAGATCAACAAGTTAACTACACTTGGCTAATACGTATATTAAATATCCAAATAATTACTGAAAGGGGATTGCCTCCTGACATTTCACACCATTATTACTGAGATGAAGACTTTCCTTTCTTGAAATATATGGTGTTCAGCAAACACAAACATTGGTGTTTGAAAATTATACCAAATGGCCAAAAAGGTAAGAAATCAAACAGGGTCATTATTCCCAGGGAGTGATATACCAGGCAATAACCCCTGTATGAACTCTGAGAAGCCAAATGGTGTTAAATCCAATAACTGTTTATGGAACAAGGTACACTAGGAAGTCCATGGTTAGATTCTTGAATTGATTGCAAATCAATGCCACTTACCTAGTGCTCTCATTTCTGATTTATTTTCCTTCTTTGCAGAGCCAGGGACATTGTTTGGTTTGAGGCATATGTTGCCATTATATTTCTCACTATGGTTGTAAAACAAAAGCCTTACAACACATTTGATATTTCCTATTAATATACAAATGAACTTTATTTCTACTATCATAACATTTTAAAAGATCCCTACTTACACTCACTTATCCCTGGAGCTACTGTCTATCCTTCTCTCCTTTTTTGATAACAAAATCCCTTGAAATACTTGTATATAATTACTGGCTGCTATTTTTCTACTTTTCTCCAACTCTTTTGTGTTGAACTCACTCCAGTTAAGTACTTGATCCCAGCACTCCATTGGAACTGTTTTGTCAATGACCTCCAGGTTGCAAAAAACAATGGCCACTATTCAATTCTCTTCTGACTTCACTTCTCAGTGATATTTGATGCAAGTGATCATTATCTCCTTTTGCAAACTCTTCCAGCTCCTTTTTGTATATTGATTTCTAAAACATTGTGTTCTGTTAATTTTCTTTTTCTCTCACTTTTCCTCATTCTTTTTACTGGCACCTCTTCATCTCACTGACTGTTAAAGTTATAGTATTATGTGGTCAGTCTTCAGACCTAGGCTTGTTTTCTATCTAAGATTACTCCTTTGATGAATTAATCCAGTTTCATATTGATAAGTCTACATGCAAAACATAGTCAGTCTTCTCTCCATTTATTTATAGACAACTGTCCATGAAACATCACCATTTACATATCAAATGGGCATTTCAAATTTAATGTATCCAAATGTCAGAATCAAATTCCTTCAAACTGTTCCCCTGCAATATCGACCTAAATATTAAATAACAACTCCCTTTCTTGGCGCTCAGTTCAAGAAAATTAGACCCATTCTTCAATTTTCCTGTTTTCTCACAACCTACATATTATCCACGAAAAGATCTTTTTCTTTCTGCCTGAAAATTATTTCCAGATTTTGACAGTTATTCACCTTATCTACTGCTGCAACTGTAGTTCAAGCCACTGTAATCTCTGGCTTACAGTTGCTTGGACCAATAGCTTTCCATTTAGTCTTCCTACTTCCCATTTTCCCCTTTAGTATATTCTCAATATTGCCATCAGAGTGGCCTTATTAAAACTTAGTCACAACTTGTTTCTTATGTGCTACCAAGTCTTCCCATCTCACTCATAATTAAAATCAATATCTTTATAATAGTTTAATAGCCGAATGTAATCTAACCTTCCTGTTTCCTCTTTATCTCATTTCCTGCTACTCTTTTCTTCACCCATTTCCGTTGTCCAGCATGTTCCCACCTCAGGATCTTGACTCTTACACTCTCTTCTTCCTGGAATTATCCTGCCCAACATAATCCTCTAGTAATTCCTCTAGATACTTACATATTCCCTTAAATGGTTCTTTTACTCCTTGCTATGGACTGAATGTATCCCCCGCAGAATTCATAAGTTGAAGACCTAACACCCCACGTGACTGTATTGAAGACAGGGTCTTTAGGAAAATGACTAAGGTTCGCTGAGGTATACCGGCGGCTTCCATCCTGATGGAACTACTGCCCTTAAAAGAAGAAGAGGAGACAGCAGAGCTCGCTCTCCACCACGTGTAGACGCAGTGAGAAGGCAGAAGCCTGCAAGCCAGGAAGAGAGCACTCACCAGAAACTGACTATTTTGGCACCTTGATTTTGGACTTCCAGCTCCCATAACTCTGAGAAAATTAATTTCTGTTGTTTAAGCCCCCTAGTCTGTGGTATTTTGTTATGACAGCCTGAGCGGACTAATACACTTCCCTAACTCATTTAAAATTATAATTTCTTCCATCATTTTCTAACTATTCATCTCCTTTATTTTATTCCATAGCATTCATCATAATCTAATATACTACCTATTTTACTAATTTCATTCTTTTTCTCCCCAGTAAAATATAAAATAAATAAAAACATTTTTTGTGTGTGTAGGATTCACTGTTATATCCCCTACATACAGACCCGTAGCTGAAACAATAGGTGCTCAATAAATATCGATCAACTAAATAAAGAACATGTGGATACATAAATAATTTCTATTTCTTGAGCATATAATCTTATAAAAATCATTGTATGAAACATTTTGTGTGTATTAGCTTATTCAATTTCACAACACTCCTATGAAGTAAATGCTTCTGTTAGCCCCTATTTTGAGAAAAATATTGATGCAAAGAGATGTTAAATAACTTGGCCAAAGTTACTCATAAGGTGTGTGAGCTGAGATTGTATAAAGGCCATTGTTTAATAGCCTCCGTGCTTGCATTCACTGTGAGACTGATTCAATACTCATAAATATTTACTACTAGTTTAAAGTAGCTCTCTGCCATTACATTTCTGCCTTTCAGGACTCAACCATATAGGCAAAAGCTACCCTTCAATGAACCAGTGTGACTTGAGCCATAGTAACCCCCAACCAGGCTTATTAGTTCATACTTAATTTCACTTTACGAAGAATCCTCAGAATCTCCTCATCACTTGAGTAATCTATCTCTCA
This sequence comes from Homo sapiens, assembly GCF_000001405.40. NCBI lineage: Eukaryota > Metazoa > Chordata > Mammalia > Primates > Hominidae > Homo > Homo sapiens. Next base: position 191,841,926 of record NC_000001.11, on the reverse strand, counting down.
GCCATTTTCTATAAGATTACTTATTTTCTATATGATACACTTGAGAATGACACATCAATGCTAGAGACAGGATCCATATGGAAGAAACTTTCCTTTTTTTATGGAGAAAAAGATGAACCCTTCTTGTGTGAGACAAACCTACCCCATTTTTCCCAAGACCCAGAGTGAAATTATTTTGTCAGGCTGGACTCTCTAATAGGTAACAAACTCTACACAGCTCAATGGGCAGGTATATTATACACTAATTCCATTATTGTTTGACATTATCTATTTATTACCTTTATTCTTATGAACATTAACTTGTTCATAATGGAATGGATACTGCTCCTTTATTTACTTAAGGCACAATCTTCATGAAATAATTATGTTTGGTAAAGAGTAAGACAATTTAAAACAAATTTTACATGAAAGATTTTTTTTTAATCTACCTCAAGTGTATCAAGGGAGAGTTTATCCTCTCTTGAACTGTTCATACTCGAAAAGCTTCTTTTATCCAAGTTTTGTTTCAAAAAATGTGAGGAAAGGATTTGCAGTTTGTAAAACATTCAGACACTAAAACAAATAAATGAACAGACACTAAAAATGTTAATGTAGAGATATGAAGCAAAAATTAGAAGAGGTCATCAGTATGGTACTATTAAATCTTACTCTAAAATGTATTTTGTTTCAACATCTCAGACAAAAAGAACACAGCTCCTTCATCAGTGTGAGGACCTAGGTTTGGCTAATAGAGTCATAGTGAAGAGTGATCCTGGAACTGACATTCTAGAGCATGTATTTAGGAAATACCATTGCAGGAATTTAGATTTTTCAGCTATGCTTATTTTTCTCAGCTTTGCAAGTCAAGGTTAACTGCACTACAAAAGTTTTTGGGCAGTTCTAGAAATGTCTCCCTTATTCAATACAATTTACTTGAAAAATAAAATATTAAATATATTTTTTCTAGTCCACATAGCTTTTCAAACAACTTAAAATGACAGGCTTCAAATACTAAAATTTTAAAAATATTTTATAACTTTTTCTGGTATAATTTTGTCTGATTTGACACTAATATTTTCAGGGTGAACAACATTAAGTGCTATACCAAAGAAAAATTTTAATGGTCTAAAAAATGAAAGTTTATTTATCAAACATATCATTGTCCAGTGCAAATTTCTGAGAGGACTCTGCTTCATGTAATCAATCAGGAACCTTCTATCTTCAACTGTGTCACTCTTCCTTATTCAATACGTGACTCTCAGGGTCATCTTCGGTTGAAATTTAGTTACCAGATAGGGGCCAAGGGAATACATAAAAGATTGTATGAGTTGTTTTTAAAGGTAGGCTTGGAATTTACTTATGTCATTTCTGCCAACATTCCATTGTCCAGAACCAAGTGTTTTTGCTCTGCTTAATAAAAGCAGACTGAAAAATAACGTATTTTTGCTCTGCATAAATGAAAGAAAATAAGATAGAGAATGATAAGAACAACTTTTTTTGCCACAGACTACCCTTCTTTCACAACTATTCATTTGTTCTCTTCTCAAATATATATTACATTCTCTCTCTCACCAAAGCAGGCAAATCAAAGTTCCACCCAATTTTTGCATTTTGTCCAAAGGCCAGAAGTTCTAGATGTTGTGCTATATTCTATATTAGGGTTAGATCTGACTGTTATGAATTAATAACAAGTTTTTTCTAGCCGATCTCAATCCTCCACACACAGACATGTACAGACACACACATGCACACATACATACACACACACACACACACACAGAAAGAGAGAGAAAGACAGAGAGACAGAGAGTAAACTAAAGTGGAATGTTCCAAAAATAGAAATACAGCATGCACAGAAGAGTTATTCATCCAAAATTCTTGTGAAATCTCTCTGGGAAAACAAGGTAAAGGTCTCAACCTTGGTGGAGCAGAAATTCCTCCAATAGGCTATGATTCTTGTCTTTAAGAGGAAGTACTTTATTTTTTCTCCTTGGTCCCCGATTATACTCTCTCTTTTCCCTCCACTTCCCTTACCCTGGTTTGGAGAGGTAACTAGAAGTTTTTCTTGCTTCAGAGATGAGAAATGATTGCTGCATACTTTCAGCTTGAGGAAGCATGGGAGCCTGAAGATGGTTTAATATCCAGAATAAGCAAATGGCTTTTTAAAATGTAGTCAATAAATTTGAAAAGATGAAATAAAATGCACTTATTTTAAGGTAAATGAAAAATTCTATCAAATTTTACACCCATGTGGCCAACACCATAATCTAGATATAGAATAGTCTCTTCACATCCCTAAAATATTTTTGTACTTATTTTGTGCAGTCAGAATTTCACCACTCAAAACACAAGTATTCCCTGATAGATTTTTTGTCACTATATATGAATAATCTTCTAGAATTTACTCTAAGTGGAATCATACATAATGTACTCTTTTGTGTCTGGCATTGTAACAGCATAATGTGTTTCAGGTTCATCTATGTAGTTGCGTTTATCAGTACTTTGCTCCTTTTTATTACTAAGTAGTATTCCTTTGTATAGTTATACCAAAATTAGTTGGTAGAAATAAAGATTGCTTCAGATTTTTAACTACAACAAATATAACTTTTTTTGGCCAGTCTCATATTCTATATTAACAAAGCTAACTTTTTTCTACAAATTTCTCAATTATTTTTTACTTTTATAATTGTGCCTTTCTCTTTTCTCTCTCTTTTCTTCTGCTCACCTGACCATCCCCACCATCGCTCTCCTCTCCCTTCGCCCTCTTTTCCTTTTGCCTCTCAATGATATTTATTTTAAAGGATCATAAGGCATTAGATGAGGAAATCACCGAATTTAAACTTCACAAGGAATTGTTCAATTGAAACATTTTCTGTGTGTTGGTCAATCAAAATCTTATTCAGACCTCTCAATAGTGCTTTGGAATGTAAAAGCAGCTGGTTTTCCATTTTCTCCAGGCCACAGATTTACAGAATCATCCTATTTCTTGCCATTTCTGCTTGTTAGTGAGCAAACATTTTTCTTATATCTTGCCAACATAAAAAATAAATAAAAGTATATATCAATGACATTCTGTTTTCCTACCTCTTTACTTAGATTTAAATGCCCAGGGGAGATGTGTTGCACCTTTCAAGTTATCTCAGTATCTTATTCTATCTGGATGCTATAACAAAAATACAGTTGTTCCTCAGTATCCATGGGGGATTGGTTCTAGGGTCTTCTATGAATACCAAAATTCATGGATGCTCATGCTACTTATATAAAATGGCAGAGTATTTTATATGGCTTCTGTACATCCTCCTATATACATCAAATCATCTCTAGATTGCTTGTAATACCTAATACAATGTAAATGCCATGTAAATAGTTATTATACTCTATTGTTTAGTGAATAATGACCAAAAACATTTCTGCAGGTTCAGTACAAGCACATTCAAAAAAATATTTTCAATTTGAGGTTGGTTGAATTTAGCTATGCAGAAGCCACAGATATGGAGGGTCTGCTGTACCATAAACTGAGTGGCTTATAAACAAGAGAATTTTATTTCTCAGGGTTCTGGAGGCTAGAATGTCCAAAATCAAGGCACCATCAGATTTAGTGTCTGGGGAAAGCCTGCTTTCCGGTTCACAGATGGTGCCTTCTCACTGTGTCTTCACATGGTGGAAAGGCTAGAGGTCTCTCTAGGGTCTCTTTTATAAGGGCACTAGTCCCATTCATGAGGGCTACACCCTCATGACCTTATCATTTCCCAAAAGCCTCACTTCCTAATAACATCACCTCGAAACTGAGGATTTCAACATGTGAATTTGGGGGAGAAACAAGTATTCAGACCACAGTACTTGGGTAACCATTTTAACATAGGGTCCTCCAGTTCAGCCAGGCAGCCTGTTTTCCCCCTTTCATGCTTCCTATCTGTCAAAACACTAAAATAACAATGCAACTATCTTAGATTTTAGTTTTAGTCACAACTCAAATCCAAATATTCCTTTCTTTTTTCTTCAATCAAACAAATCTTCACAGTAGTTTTTATGTAAGATACTATATGCCACTTAATTACTTATTAGATTGCAAAAGTTATCAAGCAAAATTCTAAAAGCAGTGTTTACAGGCAGCAACTCTGTGGAGAGCTCTATTATGAGAAATGCAATTGTTTTGAGAGTTTATAAAACTTTGACTTATTTTCAGGAATCAATCACAAACTAAATTGTAGCGAGCTTCTTACACATCAGGCTTCTCCCTCACAATGGTATTTTGTTTAGAGTCAGCATTACTGGGACAAATCTCTTACCATATACTATGACATAGGAATGGATTCTGGCCCTGATTCTTTGAATTTACTTATTAATTATCTGATATCATTTGGGTTAGCTGAAATACACAAATAACATGATTTAACTGTCTTCAGCCATGCCAATGTTCAGGTAAACAATTGCAAACAGATATCAATTTTCCCAGAGTCACTCTAATGAGAATGTACCTAACTACCTATTTATTTATTTTTGGTTTCAAGTCTTCTTTAAACACAGCCATTTAGACTGAGGACATTTTTATGACATGAATCCCTGTATCTCTAAAGTAGAAGCTTTTCCAGTTTTTCTCTAAAGTAGAATTCTCTTTCCCAACCCCAGTGCCTCTTAAGCCCAGACAGCTAACCTAGCCTTTACCTAAAGCTACAATATAGAATCTAGAGATATGGACTGAAGAAGGCACTGCACAGAATCTCTTCTGGAGGGTTACAGCTTTTGGGGTCATCCAGTTTTCCGAGGCTTAAGTGTCACAGTGAGAGATTACACCTATTGGGGGCTTATTGTTGTCACCAACGACCAGTCCTGAAATACACTAGGTTCTGATGAAGTAATCTGGAACTCCAGCTTCTGGAGATACCTCTGGTACTTCTGGAAACTTAACAAGCAACAATTAATGATTTTTTTTGCTCTCATTAAGAGGGTAGGTTTCTGTTGTTTGCAGTCAGATGCTGATTAATTGAGAATACTAAATATTGTTTTAACTTTTGGTGTATACCACTAACATTTTGCAAAAATGTAATTCATTCAGTGACATAAAAATATATTTTGGAAACAAATATTCTTTGATTTTTTTTTTTGTTTTTGGTCTGACATAATGCATGCAAATTTTCAAGCAATTAATACCCAGAATAGTCAAGAAACTCAAACAGCTCAATAGCAAAAACAAAAAGCAAAGAACAACAAATAATCCAACTGGAAATGGACAAATGAACTGAATAGAAATCTCTCAAAAGAAGACATACAAATAGAAAATAAATATACATAAAAATGTTCAGCATCACTAAGCATCAGAAAATTGTAAATCAGAACCACAATGAGATAGTATCTTCTATTTCAAATGACTCTTATAAAAAATGTAGAAGTTAACAAGTTCTTGCAAGGATGTGTAGAAAGAAGTACTCGTATACATTGTTGGTATGAATGTAATTAGTAGAGCCATTACAAAAAACAGAAAGAAGTTTCCTCAAAAAACTAAAAAAAACTAATATATAATCCAGCAATGCCAGTACTGGATCCAATCTCACACTCTTTCCAAAAAAAGGAAATTAGAATGTCAAAAAAATTAGTATGTGAAATCTGCATTTTCACATTTATTGCAACACTATTCACAAGAGCCAACATATGGAAATAAACCTAAGTGTTCATCAGCAGATGAATGGATAAAGGAAATGTGGTGTATACACACTATGGAACACTATTTCACCATACAAAATAAGAAAATTCTGTCATTCATGGAAACATGGATGAGCTTGGAGAACATTAGGTTAAGTGAAATAAGCCAGGTACAGAAAGATAAGTACCACATTTTCTTATTCAGATGTGGAAGCTAAAAAATTTGATCTCATAGAAGTAGAGAGTAAAAGAGTGGTTATTAGAGACAAGGAAAAGTAGGAGGAAGAGGAAGATAGATAAAGGTTGGTTAACAGATACAAAAATACAGCTAAGTGGGAGAGAAAAGTTCTGGTCTTCTACAGGACTGTAGAATCACTACCTAACAACAATATTTTATATATTTTGAAACAATTAGAAGAGCAGATTTTGAATGTCCCCAACACAAAGAACTGATAAATGTGTGAAGTGATGAATATGCTAATTACTCTGATTTGATCATTATACATCATATACATAAATCAAAATATCACACTGTACCCCATAAATATGTACATTAGTTATGTGTCAATTAATAATAGCAAAAAATAAGCATAACCACACCATTAGAAATGTACTGAAACCAGTATTACCATAACTATTTAAAGGTAAAGAAAGTATGCAATTGAGAGAAATATATTTAATACTCATTTAAGTATAACTAGGGTTTTGTTTTGTTATTGCTGTTGACTCCAGGTGCACTGATTTATAATAATCTTGTTTATAGTGTTCTTTCATTGTAGCTCCATGCATAACCTCTTTTATTAATTGATATCAATATGTATAATGTGTGTTTTTATTAAATGATAACATCCAGTTACAAGAAAACTAAAAACTGCTTCTATACAAGTGTCTTCCCTCCTCTGTATTGGAAGCCTGCATCCTTCCATCAGAGATAAACACTATCATAATTTTGGGAATATAATTATCCTGATATTTGTGAATTTATTTTTTCATATATGTTTAAAGTATATTTTTTGACTTTTAGATATTTTTGAACTTTGTAAAAATTGTTTTCTTATTTTCCCATAGGAGTATATTTCATATATTCTGTTGAGGGTAGCTGTCATCTAGTCATCTATTTTTCACTGCTTCATACAATATTTTTTATAAGATCTACTAAAATATATTTACCTATTTTTCTTATTAAGAACATTTTAATCTTTACGCTAACTTTTAAATTTTAGAACAGTTTTATATTTACAGAAAAATTGCAAATATGGTACACAGTCTCATATTACCTGCTCCCACCAACCCCCCACCATAGGCACACATAGTTTCCCTTATTATTAACATCTTGCATTAGTATGGCATATTTGTTACTATTAATATGTATTAGTCCGTTCTCACATTGCTAATAAAGACATACCTGAGACTGGGTAATCTATAAAAAGAGAGGCTTAATTGACTTGCAGTTTTACAGGGCTGGGGAGGCTTCAGGAAACTTATAATCAAGGCAGAGAGGGAAGCAAACACATCCGTCTTCATATGGTAGCAGCAAGGAGGAGTGCCAAGCAAAAGGGGAAAAGACCCTTATAAAACCATCATGTCTTGTGAGAATTCACTCACTATCATGAGCAGCATGGAGATAACTGTCCCCATGATTCAATTACCTTACACTGGGTCCCTCCCATGACATGTGGGGATTATGGGAACTACAATTCAAGATGAGATTTGGGTGTGGACACAGCCAAACCATATCATAATGTGACCAATATTGATGCATTGTTATAAACTAAGGTTCATTTCTATTTAGATTCTATTAATTTTATTTAATTACTTTTTCTGTTCCAGAATCTCATCCAATATACCATATTACATTTAGTTGCCATGCTTCTCAGGCTCTTCTCAGCTTTGATTGTTTCTCAGACTTTCCCCTTGTATTCGATGACCTTGACAGTTTTAAGGAACACTGGCCAGGTATTTTGTAGAGTTTCTCTCAAGTGGAATGTGTCCATTTTTTTGGTTTTGGTTTGTTTGTTTGTTTTATAATGAGGTTTATAGTTTTTAGTGAGGAGGACCACAGAGTTCTGTGTCATTTTCATCACATCATATTAAGGGTACAGAACATCGACATGACTGTATTAGTTCTTTTTGTGCTGCTATAAGAAAATACCTGAGACTAGGTATTTTACAAATAACAGAAATGTATATACTTAACAGTTATTGAGGCTGGGAAGTGCAAGGTAAGACACTGGCATCTGGTGAGGGCCTTCTTGCTACAACATCACATGAGAGAAAAAGAAAGAATGAAGCACCAGAGAACAAACCCTTTCCTGTGAGCCTTTTTTATGACAATCTATTCATGAGCCCTCATGACCTAAATACTTTCCATTAGGCCCTTCCTCCCAACATTGTCTCATTGGAGATTAAGTTTTCAGCACTTGATTTCTGGGTGACAGATTCAAACCATACAATCACGTATTGCTTTGTATGTCTTTGTTTTGTTTTGTTTTGTTTTGATAAACTAAATAAGATTTAAGTTCTAACACCTTAATAGGGTTTTTCCACTGTAAAGTTATTTGTTTATCTCCTTTCCATACTACTTTTGAAAGGAAGTCACTATATGCAACCTACTCTTAAAAAGTGACACTTTATGCTCCACTTCCTTGAAAGCAGAGTGTTTACATAAATTATTTGGAAATCTCTGCCTGGGAGATTCTTTTCCCATTGCTATGGTTTGAATATGTCCCCTCCAAAGTTCAGGTGTTAGAACTTTTTTTTTGTTATTATTTTTTATTATTATACTTTAAGTTTTAGGGTACATGTGCATAACGTGCAGGTTTGTTACATATGTATACATGTGCCATGTTGGTGAGCTGCACCCATTAACTCGTCATTTAACATTAGGCCTATCTCCTAATGCTATCCCTCCCCCCTCCCCCCACCCCACAACAGTCCCCAGAGTGTGATGTTCCCCTTCCTGTGTCCATGTATTCTCACTGTTCAATTCCCACCTATGAGTGAGAATATGCGGTGTTTGGTTTTTTGTCCTTACGAAAGTTTGCTGAGAATGATGGTTTCCAGCTTCATCCATGTCCCTACAAAGGACATGAACTCATCATTTTTTATGGCTGCATAGTATTCCATGGTGTATATGTGCCACATTTTCTTAATCCAGTCTATCACTGATGGACATTTGGGTTGGTTCCAAGTCTTTGCTATTGTGAATAGTGCCACAATAAACATACATGTGCACGTGTCTTTATAGCAGCATGATTTATAATCCTTTGGGTATATACCCAATAATGGGATGGCTGGGTCAAATGGTATTTCTAGTTCTAGATCCCTGAGGAATCGCCACACTGACTTCCACAATGGTTGAACTAGTTTACAGTCCCACCAACAGTGTAAAAGTGTTCCTATTTCTCCATATCCTTTCCAGCATCTGTTGTTTCCTGACTTTTTAATGATCGCCATTCTAACTGTTGTGAGATGGTATCTCATTGTGGTTTTGATAAAAGAGGATACAAACAAATGGAAGAACATTCCATGCTCATGGATAGGAAGATTCAATATCGTGAAAATGGCCATACTGCCCAAGGTAATTTGTAGATTCAATGCCATCCCCATCAAGCTACCAATAACTTTCTTCACAGAATTGGAAAAAACTGAACTTCATATGGAATGAAAAAAGAGCCCGCATTGCCAAGTCAATCCTAAGCCTAAAGAACAAAGCTGGAGGCATCACACTACCTGACTTCAAACTACTACAAGCCTACAGTAACCAAAACAGCATGGTACTGGTACCAAAACAGAGATATAGACCAATGGAACAGAACAGAGCCCTTAGAAATAATGCCACGTATCTACAACCATCTGATCTTTGACAAACCTGACAAAAACAAGAAATGGGGAAAGGATTCCCTGTTTAATAAATGGTGCTGGGAAAACTGGCTAGCCATATGTAGAAAGCTGAAACTGGATCCCTTCCTTACACCTTATACTAAAATTAATTCAAGATGGATTAAAGACTTAAATGTTAGACCTAAAACCATAAAAACCCTAGAAGAAAACCTAGGCAATACCATTCAGGACATAGGCATGGGCAAAGACTTCATGTCTAAAACACCAAAAGCAATGGCAACGAAAGCCAAAATTGACAAATGGGATCTCATTAAACTAAAGAGCTTCTGCACAGCAAAAGAAACTACCATCAGAGTGAACAGGCAACTTATAGAATGGGAGAAAATTTTTACAATCTACTCATCTGACAAAGGGCTAATATCCAGAATCTACAATGAACTCAAACAAATTTACAAGAAAAAAAAAACAAACAAACAACCCCATCAACAAGTGGGCGAAGGATATGAACAGACACTTCTCAAAAGAAGACATTTATGCAGCCAAAAGACACATGAAAAAATGCTCATCATCACTGGCCATCAGGTGTCAGAACTTAATGGGCAATGTGTTAAGATATTTAAGAAGGGATTTGGTCATGAGGGCTCCTCTTCTGGTGCAAATTTAGGTGATAAAACCTTCCACCTTCTGCCACTTGAGGGCATATTATTCCTCCCCTTAAGAGGATGCAGTAAGAAGGCATCATCTTGGAAGGAGAGACTGGGCTCTTACTAGACAGTGATCATGCTGGTGCCTTTTGACCTGGGATTTTCTAACCTCCAGAAGAGTGACAAAATGTATTTCTGTTCTTTACAAATTATCTCGTGTGCTGTAGTCGGCTTTAGCGGCACAAATGGACTAAGACATCTACAATATTTATTTATCCAATCATTTATTTACAATAATATGAACTCATAGATATTTATTTTACAATCTGGGTTACAATCCAATACTATTTGATTTTCTTTTTGAGAAAATTTTTCCACTTTTGGTTAATGGAAGTTCTTTCAGTTCCTTTTAGCATACTTCCATCATTTTTTATGTGTGTTCACTTTTACTTCTTATTTTTGAGTTTTCTCATACTTTTTTGGTGCTACTATAAACACCCAATTCATTTATTATTACTATGATTACTTTTAAATATTTACTTATATTTCGATCAATTTAAAAAAGAAGATATTTTGTTTTACCTCCATTTATTCTTTCTTCAATGCTCTTGATTTAAGTAGATCTGAATTATTAATATATATCATGTTCTTTTTTCCTGAAGATATTTTAAAATTTCCTACAGGGAAAATCAGTTGGTAATATATTTGCTCAGATTTCTGCTTTGTCAAAGTAAGTTTTTTTAAAAAAAAAAATTTTAATGATAATTTAACTACATGTAGAATTCTAGATTTGTGGTTGCTTTTTCTTTTCAACGTTTTAGTATTAAAGTGTACTTGTTTCTTCGCATAGTTTCTGATAAGAAGTCACCATATTTAGAATCTAAGTTTCACTATAAGATGCTTTATCTCACACCTCATTTTCCAACTTCTTTCAAGAATGTTTCTGTCTTTGCTTTTCTATAGTTTTGTTAAGGCAACCCAGCAATCATGGGATGAATTTACACCCAAAATTTGGTTTAGATACTAAGACCGGTGAAGCCACACACTCACTAAGAAAGCATGAAAAAGTTCATTATTAACATAAGGAAATCTCTTGGAAGAAGATAGTGGACCACCGAAGCTGGTCCTAAAACGGCTTGAGAAATTGGAGAAAAGAGAATGATTTAGGCTTTTTATGGTGCTTAGTGGGTGGGGCTGATTTGAACATTCTGGGGCATGAGAAGGGACTTGGGGAATTTGAATCACACACTGGCACTAAAGAAAGGAGAACTAAGGCTTTCTTGGCTTACCCAGATATAAGACAGTAGATGAAGAAGAAAGACAAAGCAGAAAAGTTGTCCCCAGTTAAACATCAAAGAATTATGGAATCAGAAGCTTTATTATACAGTTGAATATGTGTAGTTGTATTTTTTGTTTGTATGTTTGTTTTTAAATTTTTCTTACTTGATGTTCCCTGAGAGCTTCATGCTTCATGGATCCAGACTATAATGTCTGTCCTTAATTTTGGAAAGTTTTTAGTAATTACTTTAAATTTATTTCTCCATTTTCTCTCCTTCTGGTAATCCGCCTATTTGTATGTGACACTTTTTGAAATTGCCTACAGTTCTAACCTGCTTTTTTTTCCTCATTGTTTTTTTTTTTGAAATTCAGTATGACATTTTCTATTGATCTATCTTCAGCAACTTAAAGTTTAGATTGCTTCCATAAAGATAAAGATTTTAAAAAATATTATTTATTGACTAGGCTGCCCTGTCCTCTCTGATCTTTCTTTACACTTCTGTCATGATTCAAATTTCCACATGGGCATTGCACTGTTCCTGAACCCTCTGTTCAGCTCATTGTAAGTACCGATGGCTGGTATAAATTTATTTCCCTTTTTATTTCACTTTTTCAGAAATCTATTCTCTTTGCTCCTTATGATTTAATATACATTTAAAAATCTGTCTGGCATATGAAATATTGAAGTGTCTATTGAAAATTGAAGTGGAGATATTGAACAAGCAATAGCTATGCCTTTTGCATTTGAAAAGAGGTCCCAGAGATGTTCAAGAATTACTAGTGAAAAAAAACATTTTAAGTCAGAAGAAGCACTAGACCCCACAGCCAGAAAGTAACATTCTACAGATCAATGTTTTTGAAGGTATTTGGCTAATTGATGTTCAAATAAAATATTAACATGGGATAGTTATCCCACTGTTAGGAGGAGAGTGTTAAGAGCACATAGCTCAGAATTTTTCATTTCAAAAAACATCATATGTAAATTTTGTCTCATGACATGTTCAGAGTATCTTTCCTTGACCATCTGCCACTAGTGTCTACTTCCTCATATTTTCCAAGAGAACATGACTATGATTTTTCATTGCACTTTTAAAGTGATTATCAGAAATACTATATTTGCAACTATTTGATAACTTACTTGTTGCAATAAAAATCTCCAGGCCAGGCGCGGTGTCTCACACCTGTAATCCCAGCACTTTGGGAGGCCGAGGCGGGTGGATCATGAGGTCAGGAGTTTGAGACCAGCCTGACCAACATGGTGAAACCCAGTCTCTACTAAAAATATAAAAATTAGCCGGACATGGTGGCACGTGCCTGTAATCCCAGCTACTCAAGAGGCTGAGGCAAGAGAATCGCCTGAACCTGGGAGGCGGAGGTTGCAGTGAGCTGAAATCGTGCCACTTCACTCCAGCCTGGGCAAGAGAGTGAGACTCCATCTAAATAAATAAATAAATAAATAAAATCTCTGTAAAGCATTAATCTACTTTCCTTATTCATACACACCTTTATTCCCTAACTAGGGTATGATGCCAAGTAGAGTTTCAGCAGGTATCTGTGATGGTTAATACTGAGTGTCAACTTGATTGGGTTGAAGGATACAAACTATTGATCTTGGGTGTGTCTGTAAGGGTGTTGCCAAAGGAGATTAACATTTGAGTCAGTGGACTGAGCAAGGCAGACCCACCCTTAACTGAGTGGACACAATCAAGTCAGCTGCCAGTTTGGCTAGAATATAAGCAGACAGAAAAATATGAAAAGAGAGACTGGCCTAGCCTCCCAGCCTGCATCATTCTCCCAGGCTGGATGCTTCCTGCCCTGGAACTTCGGACTCCAAGTTCTTCAGCTTCGGAACTAGGACTGGCTTTCCTTGCTCCCTAGCCTTCAGACAGCCTATCGTGGGACCTTGTGATCATGTGAGTTAATATTTACTAAACTCTCCCATATATATATATATATGCACATATATATACATATATATATACACACACACACATATATACATATATATATAATTCCATTCCAATTTATATATATATACACATATATATATATATATATATATATATATATATATATATATATATATATATATATATTCCATTAGTTCTGTCCCTCTAGCGAATGCTGACTAATACAGATTTGGTATCAGGAGTGGTTCTACAGGAACAGAATATTAAGGATGGAGTTCCTTCATTGGTTTTGGGGTTTCTGGAGTTGGCTGCTTAATATGATTAGACCCAAAAATGCTAAGTACTCAAATTCTAGTAGTATGGAGAACACTGATAGTACTTGGTGTGAACTGTTAAGTGAGTATGCAAAATAAATGCATTTGACACTCCTGATTCATTGATCATGAGAGGCAAGGAGTTTAGTGACTGTATACATAACACATTTGACCATATGTGGAGGACTAAGGAACATAATGAAGCTGGTTGGTTGCTAAGTTCACTCCATTGGGAGTAATATCATCCTCTTCCTCCCTGAATATTAAGAACAGTATCACAGGAGTGTTTCTACTCCCTGCGATATTGGGTGTCATATCCGTGGTATTGTTCCTAATATCCAGGTGGGAAGAGGGTGATATTGCTGACAATATTGAAGGGGGTGTACACCTCTTCTGTGATATAGTTTCTGATATCCAGGGAGTGAGTGGATGATATTACTCCCAATAACGTAAGAGCTGTACACTCACCCTGTGATTTTGTCCTCAATAACGACATAGGGAGAGGTGATATTACTCCCAATATTGCAAGGGGTGTACACCCCGCCTGTGATGTTGTTTCTCATATCCAGGAAAGGAGAAGATGCTATTACTACCAATATTGAAGAGATGTACAGCCCACATGGAATATTGTTCTAAATATATAGCTTGAAAGAGGATGAGATTTCTCCCAATAAGACAAGGGGTGTACACCCCACCTGTGATACGAATCATAAAATCTAGAAGAAGAGAGAATGACATTGCTTCCAAAAATACACGGTGTGTACATCCCCGCCCCGTGATATTGCTCCTATCATCTAAAGGAACAGATGATGACATTACTCCCAATACCGCAGAAGATATACACCCCCCTGTGATATTGCTCCTCATAACTAGTCTGTGAGAGCATGATATTACTTCAAATATGACAGTGGCTTTACATCCCATCTGTGATATTGCTCCTAATTTCCAGTAGGTAAAGTATGACGTTCCTCCCAATAGAGTAGTGGGTGTACACCTGCCCTGTGATATTTCTCCGAATATTCAGGGAAACACAGGATGACATTACCCCAAATCTCGCAAAAAGTGTACACCCAATGTGTGATATGGTTCCTACTACCTGGAGGTGCAGAGGATGATATTAGTTTTCATATCCCAGTCTGTGTACACGCACCCTGTGAAATTGTTCCTAATATCCAGGAAAAAAGAGAACGCTAATAATGGACATACATAGGCACCCCCCACGATAAGGGTGGCTCACCCCCCTTCCATGTGGATGGTAATAGCCAGGGCGGGTGAGGAGTGTGCCATGGTGGCAGAGATGGAGGTTACACATGGTCTCAGCAACATGGACTTCCACTCATGAAGGCTGATCTGACTGTGGCCACTGCTGAGTGTCCAATTTGCCAGTGGCATACAACAACACTGAGCCCTTGATATGGTACCATTCATTTGGGTGATCAGCCAGCTACTTGTTGGCAGGTTGATTATACTGGACCTCTTCCATCATGGAAAGGGCAGAGGTTTGTCCTCACTGGAATAGACACTTACTCTGGATATGTGTTTGCCCATCCTGCACACAATGCTTCTGCCAAGACTACCATCTGTGGACTCATGGAATATATTATCCACCATCATGGTATTCCACAAAGCATTGCCTCTGACTAAAGCACTCACTTTATGGCTAAAGCAGTGTGGCAATGGGCTCGTGATTATGGAATTCACTGGTCTTACCATGTTCCCTCTCATCCTGAAGCAGCTGGATTGATAGAATGGTGAAATGGCCTTTTAAAGTCACAATTACAACGTCAACTAGGTGACAGTACTTTTCAGGGCTGGGACAAAATTTTCCAGAAGGCCATGTAAGCTCTGAATCAGCATCCAATATATGGTACTGTTTCTCCCATAGCCAGGATTCATGGGTCCAGGAATCAAGGGGTGGAAGTGGAAGTGGCACCACTCATCATCACCCCTAGTGATCCACCAGTGAAATTTTTGCTTCCTGTTCCCACAACATTACATTCTGCTGGCCTAGAGGTCTTAGATCCAGAGGGAGGAACACTGCCACCAGGAGACACAACATCAATTCCATTAAACTGGAAGTTAAGATTGACACCTGGATACTTTGGGCTTCTACCTTTAAGTCAATAGGCAAAGAGGGGATGTACCATGTTGGCTGGGGTGACTGACCCAGACTATCAAGATGAAATCAGTTTACTACTTCACAATGGAAGTAAGGATGAGCACGCATGGAATACAGGAGATGCATTAGGGCATCTCTTAGTATTGCCATGCCCTGTGAGTTACCTCAATGGGAAACTACAACAGCCCAATTCAGGCAGGAATACAAATGACCCACACCCTTCAGGAATGAAGGTTTGGGTCACTCCACTGGAAAAAAAAACAAAAAACAAAACAAAAGAGCAACAACAAAATGATGACCTGCTGGGATGCTTGCTGAAGGCAATGGGAACACAGAATGGGTAGTAGAGAAAGTAGTCATCAATACCAGCTACAAACACATGACCAGCTGAAGAAACGAGGACTGTAATTGTCATGAATATTTCCTCCTTCTTTTGTTAAAAACATGTTTGTGCATGTGTACATTTGTGCTAAGAAAATATCTTCATCATGTGACATAAGATTTATTGATGTCACATCAGCATTTAAGTATTGTTAACTTTATGTAATAGTATTTGGTTTGGGGATTTGTACATTTCTGTTTGTATGAAGGATAGTTGTATTATGTTAGGGGTAATTATGACCTTATTATTGTCTTTATTTTAAGATTATGTATGATTTCAGGAGATGTGTATAGGTTCAAGTTGACAAGGGGTGGACTTGTGATGGTTAATACTGAGTGTCAACTTGATTGGATTGAAGGATACAAAGCATTAATCCTGAGTGTATCTGAGGGTGTTGACAAAGGAGATTAACATTTGAGTCTGTGGGCTGGGAAAGGCAGACCCTTCCTTAATCTGAGTGGACACAATCTAATTAGCTGCCATCACAGCTAGAATATAAGCAGGTGGAAAAATGTGAAAAAGGAGCCTGGCCCAGCCTCCTAGACTATGTCTTTCTCCCGTGCTGGATGCTTCTTGCCCTGGAATATCAGACTCCAAGTTCTTCAGTTTGGGAATTAGGATTGGCTCTCTCTGATCCTCAGCCTGCAGATGACCTATTGTGGGACCTTGTGATCATGTGAGTTAATACTTAATAAACTCATATATATATATATATATATATATATATATATATATATATATGTATATAATTTTCAAGTAATTGTCATGAGTATTTCCTCCTTTTGTTAAAACATGTTTGTGCATATATAAACTTGTAGAAAGAAAATATCTTCATCATGTGAAATAAGATTTATTGACTTCACATCAGCATTTAAGTATTGTTAACTTTATGTAATAGTATATATATTCCATTAGTTTAGAATATGTAATATGTAATAGTATGTAAAGTATGTCATATGTAATAGTATGTAAAAGTATATATATATATTCCATTAGTGTGTGTATATATATATATATATACACTATATAGTATATATATAAAGTATATATGTATTTCATTAGTGTATATATATATTCCATTTCTGTGTGTGTGTGTGTGTATATATATATATATATATACTAATGGAATATATATATATACTTTTACATACTATTACATATGACATACTTTACATACTATTACATATTACATATTCTAAACTAATGGAATATATATACTATTACATAAAGTTAACAATACTTAAACGCCGATGTGAAGTATATATATATACTAATGGAATATATATATATTTCCATATATATATATTCCTATATATATGTATTCCATTAGTTCGTTCCCTCTAGAGAACCCTAATACAGTATCTTTTAATAAACTAATTATTATACCATAATAATTTACTCATGTGGAAGGAGAGAAAGTGTCTTATTCTAGGTTCAGTTCCTGGCTCTGCCATAAACTGCCTCCATGATTTTACATTGCTTATTTGACCACTCAAGGTTTCAGGGATGTTTTTTATAGATTAGAACATTAGACTACAAGATTCTTAAGATCATGTATTTAAAAGCATACTATAATTCTTACAGTTTCCCCTTCTTGTACATTCTCTGGTGAAAGACAACTTTATAAATACACATCTACATTATTAAGCATATTTATCAGGGAAGAAGGGCATGAGGCACTTAAAGTTTACCTGTCATACAAGTGTATCCAGCAAGTGCAAGAAGTTAAAATAAGCTGGTGATAAACTAAAGCCACATACAGGAAATTTATCATTTCCTAGCAGTCCCCTTGCCTAAGCTGATAAATGGCATTGTTTTTGCATTGCAGTTCCTTCTCAAAATGATAAACTTTTTGAAATGAACCCAATTCCATGATAAAGAGATTTGGGCAGAAATGAGGAGCAGTTGCCTAGTTAAGAGTGCTGTGCTGCAGTGTTTGATAAATGAAAAGCTACTCAGTTGTGGCAGGGTGCCAGAAAGTAGAAGCATAAATGCACTTGGCTGAAGGAAAGTGTAGTTGATCTGACATTCTGAGAAGACTGTGTGTTCTAATATGGCAAGCCGACCTTATGAAACCTTAACAACATGGTAGACTTCTTTGTTTTATATTTGTAAGAGCACTTACCTTATACTGATGTCATTTGGAATAGCTTCTTTGGAAAAGCAATCAGCAGAGATGCAGAGGTGAAATAAGAGTGAAATTAACACCTTCTTCTCTTTCCTCCCTTCAGTCTGCAAAGTTTCGTAGAGCTCAGTGAATAAAGCTGATAAACTGGAAAGCGGTCTGGAGGGGATTGCACTACTGAAGCACAGAGCAGTGCTTGGGAAGGGAGTTGGGGTGGAGGGGCACTTATTCAGGGAAAGGGACTAGCTCAGTTTCTCTCTCTCTGTCTCTGTCTCACTCTCTCTCTCTCTCTCTCTCTCACACACACACACACACACACACACACACACCCCTCTGGAAAAAGTCAAAAATATCTTACATTTAATTACATTCCCACAATCCCATAATGAACTCCATGATTACTCTCCCTTATCTTACTGTGTTTTGTGTTGCTATAAAAGAATACTCGAACCTGGGTAATTTATAAAGAAAAGAGGTTTATGTGGTTTAGAAGAAGTATGGAACCAGCATCTTCCTCTGATGAGGGCTTCAGGAAGCTTCTATTCACAACTGAAAGTGAAGGGGTACAGGCATCACATGGCAAAAGAGGAAAGAAGAGAGCAGAGAAGAAGGTGCCAGGCTCTTTTTAACAATTCTATCTCATGGAAATTAATGGAGTAAAGACTCACTCTTACATGGCTATAAGAATGACACCAAGTCTTTTTATGAGTAATCTGTCTCTGTGACAAACACCTCCCACCAAGACCCACCTCCCACATAAGGGATTAAATTTCAACATGAGATTTGGAGGTGACGAGTACCCAAATATATCACCTTCCCTCATTTTTAGATGCTGTATCTATATGCTTCATAATCAGACCTATGCTAAAACAGACATGTGAGTTTATATTTATTTTATTTCCGAGGTTGGAAATTGTGCCAGTCCAGTCCTCTGTAAGTAGGGCCTTGAGTGTCATAACTCACTGGGCATACCTTGCTTAAAGCTAGAAGTGAAAAGAAATGGTTGGTTGTAGAGTTGTTTCCCTGCCGTTGATTTGGTATCATTTTATTTCTAACTAGTGGTCCTATCTAAGCACTCCCTGACATGTATCTGGGAAAGGTTTTGGGGGATTATACTTTTGTATTTTCCTGGATAGAAAGCTAATGCTTAACCATGTGCTTTGCCACACATTGAGTTCTGAGATTATTGTCAATATATTTTATGGCAGGAGGCCTCTAAAAAATAATGACTTTTGAAAGCCACATTTCAGGGATAATTTTTTGAAACAGGAAACTCAACCAATTTTGTTAACATGTAATTTTCCTGGAATATTGGAATTGTGTACTGCATCAGAAAGCATATGCTAATGAAAGGTAATACGTCTAGTCATGAAATAACATTTTTAAAATAACAATTTATTAACAATCAATACTTTAACTATAACCATGACTTTCCAAACCTGGATAAATAGAAATGTGCTTATTTTTTTAAAGACCCATTTTCTTATTTTCATTTTGAAATAATAGTTATTGATGATTAGAATAAATGAATTGATGAATATCATAAAAATAGAAAGCAAAAAATGACAAAAAATAAGTGCACAAGGAACAAGTACACAAGAACAAGTGTAGCACAGAAAAAAAATGTATCTAATAACTATTTGTATCGTATTCAAATAATTGTTCTTTAAAAAATAAATGTTGACATCCATAGCAAAAATTTTCATTTACCAAAAGCACCCCTTTTAAAGCATATATTTTTCCTAAAGCTGAATGTCACAGCTACTAAAATAATTTAAATTAATAACACTTTGAATGTGCCTTCTATATTGCTGCTGTGTCTAATTTATTGAAGGAAGAACCACTCAAATCTAGATTATCATTCCACTTCATATTTACTTACTTATTTATCTAAATTTAATTATGTGGCAGTTTTCATGTTAAATCACTTAATAAGAAAAGACTTAAAGCGAAGTAACATTTTAACATTGCTATTATTTCATCATGCCAGAGGCATTTAATCTTTTGTTCATGCTGTTTTCTTATCTATCAGTACCCTTTCTATTTTGGCAGTTAAGTGCCTAATTTATTTCAAAGTTTATATTGAAATACTCTTCTTTATGAAATGACTCAACGTTCTTCAATAAAATGAAATCTCTCTTTCTCTTAATATTCTAACACATAATTTTGTGTCCTTCGTTTATTGTATTTTTCATCCAACAAAAAAAGCATGTATTATGGATATATAAATTGATGCATACAAATACTTATCTATCTGTTATTCTATATAATTTTTTAATTTTTATTTTTATGGATACACAAATGCTGCACATATTTATGGAGTCCATATGATATTTTGATGCAAGCATACAATGTGTAATAATCAAATCAAGGTGACTGGGATATCCATTACTGTACACATTTATCATTTCTTTGTGTTAGAAACATTCCAATTTCATTCTTCTAGTTATTCTAAAATGTAAACTAAATTATTGTTATTTACAATTATCCTATTATGCTATCAAACACTAGATCTTACTCTATCTAACTATACTTTTGTACGCATTAGTTAAACCCTCTTTATTCCCCCACCCTCCCCACAACGCTTGCCATTGTCTGGTAACAATCATTCTATTGTCTGTCTCCATGAGGTCAACATTTTTAGCTCCTGCATATGAGTGAGAGCATACAATATTTGTCTTTCTGGGCCTGGCTTATTTCACTTTACATAATATTCTTCATTTCCATCCATGTTGTTGCAACTGACAGGATTTCATTGTTTTTTATGATTGAATAATATTCCGTTGTGTTTATGTACCACGCTTTTTTTATCCATTCATCCATTGATGGACACTTAGGTTGATCCCATATCTTAGCTATCATCAATAGTGCTGCAGTAAACCTGGACTGCAGACATCTCTTCAATATACTGATTTCCTTTCTACCTATCTAAATATTGATAATAAGTTATTGGCACAAAGTATATTACATTACTCATTCATCTCTGTATAGTTCTATTAATTAGAAATTATTATCCTCATTGAATAAATAAAAATTAAGAGAAAAGATAAACATCCTTCCCCCAATATATGTATGTGTATATATATGTCTGAATATATATGTATATAAATAATACATGTATACATATACACATGTTATATATATGAATATGTAACACACATACATATATATACATATAAATATGTGTTTTTTTATATATAACCTTATGGATAGACATGTATATGTGTGTATCAATTTATATGCCTATAGTGCATGGTATTTTCTTGTTGGATGAAAAATACAATAAACGGGTGACACAAAATTATGTTTTACAATATTAAGAGAGAAAGAGAGTTCATTTCATTGAAGGATTTGAAGCAATGTTATAAAGAAGGGTATTTTAATATAAATGGTATATATATACATATACCTACTCTCTGTGTATATGTGTATGTGTGTGTATATATATACATATATACACACACACACAGAGCACACTTTAGAAGGTACCACTTTCAATTAATACAAATGCCTTCCAAACTTTACTGAGTTTGAAACTTTACAAAGAAACTCAGTCAAGTTTCTTTGCCTCTTGAATGAAAAGCTATTCACACTTGTTACTACAATGGGAACGGGGTAACTTAGGTCTATTTATAGCTGTTATTTCTCCTTAGGTAATTTGTTTTATTATTCTAGAACACAAACCTATCCTCTACCTTAAACTTTTGACTTAATGATGTCCCAGCTTGTAATGACCATTTATCTTTACCTGATAAGAACTTCTAATATTTTTATAATTAAATTATTGCTTTTAAAGTTCACAACAATAAAATTGGCTTGAACAGTTAAAAATACTAAAGCAAGAACAGAATACTCTTGAATAGTTAAAATACTAGAGCAAGGACAGAATACTCTGGAATAGTCTAAACTATGCTTCTCTTTCCACTGAACTCAACAGACCATTCATTTAATAATTTTTATCTTATATACCTATATATCTGTATTTTGATATATATTATATATCTCAATACATATCTATATTTCTATCTTATTTCTATCTCTAAATATCTGTAAATAGATACAGATAGAGTAAGATATATCAATGAAAATACATCAGTAAATAGTCATATGGATATAAACCTATTTATTTATGATATATATCTATTCTGATATACGTATATATCAATATATCTATAGATATATAAGATAGATAGATCTATATGTATATATTAGAAGAGAGATATATATGTCAGAAATGAATAGGTTCTAATTTTTATGCCTACCTAAACAATTGGTATTGCAGAATAAAGAACTGTTTGAAAGGGTTTTGAGACTTATCCAAAACCAACATGAAGTGATTATAAAAATATGCTATGTATCAAGAGCTGAGGTGGCCTGGAGAAAGTAGAGCCTCCAGGTTTTGGAGTAGTGAATTAAGGCAATATGTAAATATTTTTTTCCATACTATATGTAGAAGGAGAAAGCACGAGCTTCCTCAATGTTTTGTCTCATTCACATGGGATGCATGAGATGAGATTCAGATGTATTCGTGCAGATGTGGGGAATGTCTCACTGCTGAGAGAGCACCAAACATTTGATAAACTTGTGTCTCCTGACATTTGATAGACTTGGGAGACTGGAGAAGAGAAAGGGGGAAGTCTAGGAGCATAAGAGTACTGAGTACTGAATCAGGATGGAGAAAATTTTCTTCAAAATTCAATATGAGAATTTCCATAAGGATTCCCATCAGAGGGGTCTGGGGAAGGACTAGGCCAAGGCACCTTGATGAAGAAGCTTCTGAATGAAGGTAGTTGGGTTAGGAATACAGATAAGCATCAGAACATGGCTGGCCAAGGAGGTCTGAGTCTTTGATTACAATTCCTTTCAGAGACTGTAATGAACTGGCTGTGCAGCAAGTCTAGTGTGAAGAGGCAGCTTTCCACATTACTTCCAACAGGCAGAGTTTTTGTAATTACTAGAATGGTTAATTTATGCATCAACTTGACTATGCTAAGAAATGCCCATATAGCTGGTAAAAATATTTCTGTGTATATCTGTGAGTATGTTTCAGTAAGACATTAGCATTTGAATCAGTAAACTGAATAGAGATGATTGTCACTATCATTGTGGGTGAGCTCTATCCAATTTGTTGACGGCCTAAATATAACAAAAAAGTGGAGAAAGAGCAAGTGTGCTTCCTGTTTGAGTCAGAATATCCATCTTCTCCTGCACTTGGACATCAGCACTTCTGGTTCTCACACTTTCAGACTTGGACTGGGATTTATATCATTGGCTCTGTTGATTGACAGGCCTTTGGGCTTGGGCTGGAACTACACCACTGACTTTGTGGATCTCCAGTTTACAGGCAGCAGACTGTGGGCCTTTTCTATCTCCATGATCATGTAAGTCAGTCCCTCATAATCAATCTCTCTCTTTCTCTGTATTAGTTATCCCTTTACTATAGGTTTTATTTCTCTGAAAAACTCTGCCTCATACAATTACCTATGCTCAGGGCTGAAGGATTATGCATAGAATTTTTGACAGAAAATGAACTGGGGGATTCAGTAAATGGCTCCTCTTGTGGCCATATATCACACTTCTGTCTAACACCACTTGGGGAGGGCATAGCATTTGTTTTCATATCTTCCACTGAAATACCCATTCTCAACTGTGACTTCAGCTCTAAACTTTCTTGCTAACCCAAGAACTTTATTTGCAACTGCTTATTTTACTGACCATATATAATTGGCACTTCAGAGTTAACACCCTTACATTTTTCTGGTTGTCTCCCGTGCTAGAAAGTGAGAAGTCTATAAATTCAGGGAACATTTCCGCCACATTTAGCAACACTCTTGGCTTTCAGGAATTTAGTAGATCTTTAATGAAAGAAAACAGAAGGGAAGCTATTTGTTTAGTGGAGAACTTCTCAAATTCAATCCTATGTCAGTGTTGAACATAAGAAATTCAGTCTCAAATTCAGCTGACCTGAAATGTGTGGTCTCTATAAAAGTTAGAAGTATTGTTTTCATTAATCTACATGTAAATTACATTTTAGATAGTTAATTTTAATAT
Source organism: Homo sapiens (assembly GCF_000001405.40). NCBI lineage: Eukaryota > Metazoa > Chordata > Mammalia > Primates > Hominidae > Homo > Homo sapiens. The sequence goes on along the minus strand of NC_000001.11, from coordinate 191,817,641 downwards.
ATTATTAGTGTTATGCTTATTTTACTGACCATATATAATTGGCACTTCAGAGTTAACACCCTTACATTTTTCTGGTTGTCTCCCGTGCTAGAAAGTGAGAAGTCTATAAATTCAGGGAACATTTCCGCCACATTTAACAACACTCTTGGCTCTTCAGGAATTTAGTAGATCTTTAATGAAAGAAAACAGAAGGGAAGCTATTTGTTTAGTGGAGAACTTCTCAAAATCAATCCTATGTCAGTGTTGAACGTAAGAAATTCAGTCTCAAATTCAGCTGACCTGAAATGAGTGGTCTCTATAAAAGTTAGAAGTATTGTTTTCACTAATCTACATGTAAATTTCATTTTAGGTAGTTATTTGAATATATTATTAGTGTTATTTATTTCATAATGTCTTATCCCAGGTTGAGAATTAATTTGCTTTATTAATTCTTCTGGTTACCTCCTATCTATCCTTTAGTTTTCAGTTTAACTACCACTCCCTTAAAGAGATCTTTCCTTTTCACCAATCTAAATAAAATTTTATTATTATTGTTTGTCATGACAGCCAATTTTTTCTGTACATAACACTTCTTCAGTTACAGTTGACCTTTGAACAATGACAGAGTTAGAGGCACTAACCCCCTGTGTGGTTGAAAATCAACATTTTTGAGCCCCCTAAAATGTAATTACTAATAGCCCACTCTTGACCAGAAGACTTACTAATATCATAAACAGTCAATACATATTTTGTATATGTGTTAAATACTGTCTTCTTACAAAACAGAATGCTAAAGAAAAGAAAATATTATTAAGAAATTCATAGAAAAGCTAAAATATATTTACTATTCATGAAGTGGAAATAGATCATCATAAGGACTTCATGTTCATCATCCTCACACTGAGTATGCTGAGGAGGAGAAGGAAGAGGAAGGGTTGGTTTTGCTGTCTCAGGAGTGATGAAGGCAGAAGAAAATCCATGCCTAAGTGGACCCATATATTTCAAACCAGTGTTGCTCAAGGGGCAACTGGGTTTTAAATTTAAGCATATTGATCATTTGGTTGTATCTCCAACTTAATTTTCAAAGGCAGGGACTCTGCTGTTTTTGCTCACACTCTAGATCATGTGCATGAAAAGAAATACTTGGTGAAGGCTTGAGTATACTAGTGATTATTTGAAAATAGCATAGTCAGTAATATTCCTTTATTTTTCCATAGCATGTATATATACTCTTCAGTATCCTCATATGTGTTTATATTTACATATGATTTTGAGTATTTTAAGTTATGCTCTCTGTTACTTTAATGTTGTTGAAATTCTCTAGGCCAAGACATAATTGAGTTGAGGATCACTTGACTCTCAAGATGCTATGCAGAAAAAGCAATCCTGAATATTGAATTCTGTGTATAGTACATGGAACCCTTGAAATCATCTTTCTGCCTAAAATCTCTCAGCACTCTTCTCTTTATTTCTAGCAGCTATGCTGCCCTCCTGCTGAGGTAATTATGGATCAATGCCACTGGGACTTCTTTTTACCCTGTATTCCCATGTGAAGGCATCATTTCCCATATATACACACTATAAAATTCATTTACATGCTTTTGCATGTATTTGTTTTTATACAAGCCATCTTGATTAGAGAGTAAGGACATTTGTGATAAAATATCTTATCATCTACACCAATATAAGACATTTTTATCACCAATATTTAATGCAATCCTGAGCATATAATAAGGTATTGTCAACCGAAGAATCTCAAGGTTTATAAATTTGGGAAAATACTTTATTTCTCAAAAAGGGTTGCAGCCCACAGGCTGGCCATCCTGAAGGCTAGGTGTTATAGCCTCCAGCAGAAGCTAAGAACATGCATTTTGAGAGAGGGGTAAGAGGAACAGGAATTTATGTTGAAGTAGTTGGCTAAATATCCAAGTTCAGTAAGCTATATGAGTCATGAATATTTATGAAAGGAGAAATATGTGCACGTGCAATTGAACTTCATGCAACTTCATGGGTCACATTTTCAAAAACTGGCAATGTTTGCATGATTGAACGGGGGAGTTTTCAGTCTTCTGATGTCAACAGGTGAAGCAGAAGACACATAAACCCTCCTTGTGCATCCCTTGAGAGTTTTGACCAAAACTGGAGATAGTGGCTAGTTTTTAGGAAGGGATGCATCCTGAAACTGGTAAGCTGTCCTATCAAAACTGTAAAAGGAAGGGGGAGCCCCTTGGCAGTCTCAGATGATTGGCTAAAGGTGATAAAGGAATAGCTTGTCTGTTTCCTCTTCTCCAGAGCTTGTTTCTGCTTACTCTTTAAGAAAGAATTCTGGTTGAAGGTTAGTAAAAAAGGGGCATACTGAAGCATATCCAATCTCTTGTTCCATCATGGCCAGGAACTCAGTTTTTAATGTTGCTTTTGGATTCTCCTTGGCCAGGAGACTGTCTATTCAGTCTTTTGGGGTTTAGGAGCTTATTTTTATTTCTGACTTTCAATGAGCATCTTATGAAATGAATAAATAAATGAATGAAAAAATAGGCTCTCAATAACATTTTGTAAAATGAATAAATGAATGAATACAATATTTCTAAATTTAAACAGTATATATAATTTTTCATCCAAAGTTCAATACATTTGTGACTATGTGGGCCCAGTTTAGGCTAATATTAAGCTATTTTCAAGCCAATATTTAAAAAATATATAAGTTGTATATGAAAATAAATTACCTGCAGTTAATTTGATTTTGTTTTATTTTTAAAAATAATTTACCAGTGGAAGAAATTCTGCATTGTCTAATATTAGGAAAACCTGATTAAAAGCACTTAAATTTAGTGTTTAACATTTAAATTTAGTGACTAGAGTTATAGATCCATCGAGGGATGCTATCAAAAGCAGGGACGTCTTTTACCACATGCTAAAATGTTTAGGCATTAAGCAATTATAAAAGCATTGGTTCTTCCAGACCCAGGTGGAGTAGCCACGGGTGGTGAGTGCAAAATTCAAGTAATAATCATAATAGTTTTAGCTTGACCATGATAATGATTTTATTACATAACCTACCACTATACTCAGCTCTCTTAAAGTTTTATGCTGTTGCACAAACTATATTTTGAATTCTAATGGAGCTTTTATCTATTTTCCTAGTGTACTTCTAGCTGTATGATTTCAGCAGAAGTGAATATGAGTGGGATATCTTCATTTATTTAACATCCATGAAGATTGCTAGGAACAGTTGTGTACTCTTTTTTTCAAAGGCTTATCCACTGGTGTTGCAGGAAGTCAGGGACCCCCAACGGAGGGACCGGCTGAAGCCGTGGCAGAACATAAATTGTGAAGATTTCATGGACATTTATTAGTTACCCAAATTAATACTTTTATAATTTCTTATGCCTGTCTTTACTGCAATCTCTGAACATAAATTGTGAAGATTTCCTGGACATTTATCACTTCCCTAATCAATACTTTTATAATTTCCTATGCGTCTTTACTTTAATCTCTTAATCCCATCATCTTCATAAGCTGAGGATGTACATCAACACAGGACCTTGTGATGATTGTGTTAACTGCACAAATTGTTTGTAAAACATGTGTGTTTGAACAATATGAAATCTGGGCATCCTAAAAAAGGAACAGGATAACAGCAATTTTCAGGGAACAAGGTAGATAACCATAAGGTCTGACTGCCTGCGGGGCCAGGCAGAACAGAGTCATATTTCTCTTCTTGCAGAAAGCAAACAGGAGAAATATCACTGAATTCTTTTCCCACCGAGGAATAACCCTGGGAAAGAATGCATTCCCAGGGGAAGGCCTCTAAACGGCCACTCTGGGAGTGTCTGTCTTATGAGGTTGATGATAAGGGATGAAATATGCCCTGGTCTCCTGCAGCACCCTCAGGCTCCCTAGGATTAGGAAATTCCAGCCTGGCAAATTCTAGTCAGACCAGTTGTCTGTTCTCAAACCCTGTTTCCTGTTAAGATGTTTATCAATGACAATGTGTACCCAGTGGGACATGGAACCGCATCAGTAATTCTAATTTCGCCCTGGCCTTGTGATCTTGCTCTGCCTCTCTTCCCTTGTGATCTTTTATTGCCCTTTCAAGCATGTGATCTTTTTGACTCACTCCCTGTTCGTACTCCCTCCCCTTTTGAAATCCCTAATAAAAACTTTCTGGTTTTGCGGTTCGGGGGCATCACGGAACCTGCCAATATGTGATGTCACCCCCGGAGGCCCAGCTGTAAAATTTCTCTCTCTGTACTCTTTCTCTTTATTTCTCAGACACTTAGAGAAAATAGAAAAGAATCTACGTTGACATACTGGGGGCTGGTTCCCCCAATACACTCATCTGTGATACAGAATTAATCAAGAGTTGCTCCCCACCACATGTTTATACACCCAGTACCAATACAAATGACAAAGTGAAAATGCCCTAGACTGGATAACCGAAAGCCATTGGTATCTTTTCGAAAGACCTATGAAAATGGAAATGAAATTACTATGTTCTTAAAGACAACAAACATAATTCTCTGTATTCTAAATTCATTGTATTTTAAATTATCTACTCAAAAAAATTTCTTAGCAAGCATCTTGGGTTAATGGTGCTTTTGTTTTGTGTTGTTGTTTTACAGAACAGTCCTTGTAGAGACCAGAGTTCTATATTGACACAGTGCTCTTATGTAAAAATCAGCAACTGATTGCTAATTACAGTTTGCTATCCAATTTGTCAAGAAAGAGCAGTGAATAATAAAATTGCACCAATCACTTACATTGTTTTGAGTCCTTTTATATGATCTACTCATAAGGAATTCTTTTGGAGACAGTTTGTTTTCAAACAAATTTGTACTTGACTTTATAGTTTTATTAAAAGTTAATTCAATTGAATATTATTATAAAACATAATTACCTAACTGATAAAAACCACCAACACACATATTTTAAGTTTTCAAAATTCCCACTCTATGTATTTAATCATTTTGTAAATATCATTTCCTATTATAATACACTATAATTTAATATTTGCAGTGCCTTATTGTGGTGAAAGAAATCACGTACATATATATACACTATAAGATAAGGTCTCTCCACTGATAGTTTAGCCAATAATATAGACATTTAATGGAAGCGAGATAGCCACGCTAAGCAAGAAGAGATGTGGCATGTCCTGGTAGGGATTCTCCACATTCCCAGAGTTCTGAATGAGGACACAGTGCTGCTAGTGACAGTGAAGGTAAGGATCAGCTCAATATTTACTGTGTTAATACCATCATTTAAGAATTTACCAAAAACAATCTATGTGCTTTCATTGCAGAAATGCTTATAGTCACTTGATGCTTGTGTTTCCCCAAACAACGTCAACATTAGCAAAGATGTATCTTCAGCATAAATTAGAAACTCAAGTCAAATCAGTGGCCAAGGAACCTTAAACATTATTTAACAATGAGCTTTGATTTACAAACATTACTATCATTTTATTATATCAGCAATCCAAAAGGCAGATTTTATTTATACCAAAGGAAAAAAAGATATAAAATCTTAGAAAAATTTTAAAAATATCAGACTTTAGGAACTCCAAAATTTATTTTCTGTACCTGCAATATGGCACCAAAATCTATCCTTTCATCCCCTATAATGTTGGGTATCCATGTTTGGCTTTTAAAATATCTTACATCAAACTTTACCATTTTCCACAAAGAAGAATTGCATATCTTTTATAAAACGTATTTCTAGGTACTTGCTTTTTTATATTATCGCAAATTGAATTTTTAAAATTATATTTTCTAGTGTTTTGTTGTGATATTAAAATGCCCTTGTTGTTTTTAGGCAAATATTACAAGTTTTGTTTTTCTGCATTCCAATGAAAAATACTTTAGTTTCTTAATCTTGCCTTATTAGGCTCACTCCAACAACAGTATATGCTTATAGTAGTATTCCTGTCTTGTTTCTTATTTTAAGGAATGTTTTCTACTCAACTAAGATGGTGTGTGTAGTTTTTTTCTAATATATACAATTTCCCAGGAGATAGCTATCTTTTATTTCCAATTTATTTAATTATTATCATAAATATATAATAAGCTCTATATTTTTCTCTATTGAGAGGCACAAATTAATATTGTATTTCAACATTATCATGAATTAGATTTAGATGTTTTCTCATATTCTCATATTCTAAGTGAGTAATCCAATGTATATTTTATTACCTTTTGTACAGTTGCATTTCACTGCTAATATTTTGTTTTGGATTTTTACATGTTTATTAATAAATGAAATGGACTTATAGGGTTTCTCTACTATATTGACCTTATCAGAACTATGCTGACATTAAGAATGAACTAGGACATAGGACTTTTTTTCATTCTTTCTATTATCTAGAAGAGCTTAATATGATTGAGATGGTTTGTTGCTTGAAGCTAGTAACACCATCTTTGTGGAAACATCTTTAATTCTTTCTATTTGCTTGGTTTAATGTTTGTTTCTTTTTTTAGTAAATTATAGAATTATATAGGCATTTTTATTTTCCCCAAGCTAGAAACATTATGGTGTTTCTACTGGTGTCACTGCTGCCATCTGGCATGTTCCAGCCAACTGCTGGTAAGCCCATGCTTGAAAGATGCAAAAACAACATAAAATACAAACAAAAACAACAACAACAAAAAACCCCAGAGGCTAGTTATCTTCTCTTTCTCTGTGTATATTCCCAACAAGTCTGCATGTTTCTGTTCACTCTCCAATAAAAGCTCCTCATTTGCTTATTATTTTTGGTATAATGTAGAGGTTTATTCAAATTAGTTAGATTATTTAAATATTAGTGTTGTTTTAAAAACACACTTTATAAATCAATTTCTACTACATTGTTCTATATTTTCTTCTTTTTTGCTTTTAATTAACTTTTTTTCTTCTTTTAGGATAGTTTTATGTTTAGGAAAGTTTTAAAAATAGTAGTTTTCCCATATACCCCACTCTCAGTTTTCCCTAATATTAATATCTTACATTAGTGTGATACATTGGTCATAATTAATAAACTAATATTGTTTCATTATTATATACTAAAGCTCTAACTTTATTAAGATCTCCTTTATTTATTTATTTATTTATTTGACACCGAGTCTCACTCTGTTGCCCAGGCTGGAGTGCAGTGGTGCCATCTCGGCTCACTGCAACCTCCCCATCCCGGGTTCAAGCAGTTCTCCTGCCTCAGCCTCTCCAGTAGCTGGGATTACAGGCGTGGGCCGCCCTGCCTGGATAATTTTTTTATTTTTATTTTTTAGTAGACACGGGGTTTCACCATATTGGCCAGGCTGGCCTTGAGCTCCCGATGTTGTGATCCACCCGCCTCAGCCTCCCAGAGTGTTGGGATTACAGGCATGAGCCACCGCGCCCGGCCAAGATCTCTTAGTTTTTACCTATTTTTGTTGTTGTTGTTCTGTTCTAGGATTCTATCCAAGATACCATATTACATTTAGTCTCCTTAGGTTTCTCCTAATTGTGATAGTTTCTTTGTATTTGATGACCTTGACAGTGTTGAATAGTACTCGTCAGAAATTTTGGAGAATGCCCTTCAATTGGAATAAATCTGATGTTTTTCTCATAATTAGACTGGGATTATGTGTTGTTAGAAAAAAGCCCACAGTAAGCTTGCAGTGAGCCAAGATCGCGCCACTGCACTCCAGCCTCGGTGACACAGCGAGACTCTGTCTCAAAAAAAAAAAAAAAAAAAAAAGAAAAAGAAAAGTCTACAGTAGCCATGAGCCATGTATCGTTTTCATCATCATTTTGTATGAAATGTACATATTATCAACATGACTTATAAGTCTTGATATTGATATTGGCCTTGAACTTTTTGCTGAGATGGTGTTTGTAAGATTTCTCCATTTGAAAGATACTCTTTTATAACGCTTTCCATACTGTACTCTTTGGAACAAAGTCACTGTGTGTAGCCCACACTTAAGAAATGGAAAGTATGTTCCATCTACACTTCTAATTAGTGTGATTTTACCTCAGCAGCAATGACAAAAAAAAAATGGATGTCCAGTATTTTCCTCCTATTGGTATAAGAAATTTAGGCCAGGCTGATGTTCTTCCATCTCACTCATATAACCACACATAATGTCGATATTTTATAGAATTTCCCTTGGTCTTAGTTGTTTGTTTGATTTCCTGCTTAATAATGATAAATATTTTTTCTAAGACAAAATAATATTTGGAATATTTATTATAGCTTTTAAAGGAAATGACACTATCCCACCTTGCAATATTAGTCAGCATGTAATTCCTTTTAAGGATAAATTAAATAGGTGAAATTTTGGATTTGTAGGAGGACTGGAAACTGAGAGTTGATATCTACCAAGCCACATATTTTAGACCCAACAGAGTAGCAATCTCAATAAATTATTATTCCATAAGGTATTAGGTTAATTTATATTTTTTCCATTCTAGAAATATAACAATAGTCTGCTTTCATAAATAATGGATATGTTATTACTTTTTTAGCACATACGTGATGCATTCATTACACAGATAAAAATATGTCTAGGTTTATTTTGCTCTCATTTGTTTTCTTTTGCTTTTATTGTCACAGAACAAGCAATAGCTAGACAAAGATTTTGCTTTCTTTGTTGTTATTATTGTGTTTATTTTAAATATATCAAATACTAGTTGTCATCCGATAGCTTCTTAGTCTGTTTAGTTTCTAAAACATAAATGTGTTAGAAATCAAACATTATGGAAGGGTATAGATTATCTATTTGTGAGGATTTTTCTGCTCTATGTATACTTTAACTTGATTTAAATTGTTTTTTTAAGGCCTTGTTTGTTAACAGAAAGAAAGTGTGTCACACAGTAATACCATATGAATTAAACTGCCAGTCCAATACATCTATAGACATGTGAGCTATATGCTAGTTTAAAATATATTAAAAGTAGAAATGCTTCATAAAAATACTTTAAAGTAATTCGTGCCTTTGCCATTGGAGAATATACTGTAAAATATTTAATGCATCAAATTAGATGCTAGAGTAAAACATTTTGAATAATTACGTAAAATCAGCTTCTCCTTTACGTTCCATATTGAATACTGGATGCTTTGAATTATCACTTAGTATACAATAATTTTATGGAGAGTGGACATTTAGCATTATATAAATACGTAAAAAGTTTATATATAAGTTTCTGAGAAAATGACATTATAAAACAAGATTATTTTCTTCCCACTTTTTTTTGAGTTTATAGCCAATAGACTGGTTGTTACGTTGATGTAGAACAGCATTAGAAGAGTCAGGTAAACAATAAAAGTAAGTACAAAATAGAAGTCAAGTACCAGTAAGAGAATGCTAACACAGGTTAACATGAACTGGAAATCTCTAAGAAACTAGTATAAATTGGGAACATAAAAAATTTAAAAAATTGATTTATGGTCTTTGGCATATTTTCCATCTTCTAATTTTTGTTTCTTCCTCCCTTTCTGCCTCTCATCTTCCCCTTCCCTCTTTATTTCTCCCTTTCCTTCTGCCAACCGTTGTTCTAAGTAGTTTATATGCATTTGTCACTTAATACAACAAGAACTCATATGGTGGTTCTGAGAATTTAGTAAGATACAACATGTAAGTATCTAGAACAGTGTTTCATGCACAGTCAGCCTTATAGTAACATGTGCTGAATTGTTATTATTATTATTATGCCATATTTACTGGCCATGAAAACATAATTTAAAAATATACAGCTGAGATGACGTGTTTAGGAACTAGTGTATACAGATAAAACATTATCTTTCAAAGGCAACAGTAATAACTACTTTGAAAAAAAATTCCAGTCAAACTTAATCTTTTAATTAAATAAAATACACACCAAAGGCTCATCCCAAATTTGTCATGCTGCAGTTACTTTGTATCTTATGGCATAATTTTTATTTTTTGTTCAGATCTCCATTTGCTGAAGCTTAACTTATTTTCATGTTCATGATCCATTTGAATGGCAAATTGAGATTAAAAAACTACAAGTTATTTAAAACTCATTCTTTAAAATATAGTATCATAAGGGATCTTGAAATGTTAAAAATATTAAGCAGTTATTCTATTATAATTTCAAGAAGTCTGAGTTCTATACATTAACTGTAGTCCAGAATGAAAAATGAATGATAATAGTCATCTTCAGCTTTGTGTCCTTGTAACAAATTTAAGGGCAACAAAAAAAGTTTAGCTTAACAAATTTATGAAGAAGCTTGACACATGAAGAGCACTTTTTATTTTTATTTAGTTATTCATTTATTTACTTTAGACACAGAATCTCACTCTGTCACCCATGCTGGGATACAGTGGCACAATCATAACACAATGCAACTTAGAAATCCTGGGCCCAATGGATCCTGCTGCCTCAGCTTCCTGAGTAGCTAGGGCTACAGGTATACATCACTAGGCATGTCTAATTTAAAAAAAAAATTTTTGGTAGAGATAGGACCTCATTATGTTTACTAATATGGTCTCAAACTCCCATCCTCCAAGGATCTTCCCACGTTGGCATCCCAAAGCACTCTGGGATTACAGGCATGAGCTACCATGCCTAACTCCATAAAGATTAATTTTTGGTGATGAGAAGGGTAAAGTTACTATCAAACATATATTAATTTCAGGCATTTTTGTCAATTATTTTTATTGTTAATTGTTTTATCTCAAGCAGTCTGTAAATCTGAACCACTGTAATTTCTTGCACCACAAACACCTTGAGATGAGCTTATAATAAAGGTTGACTTGTTTCTTACTTTTTATTTTGTTTTGTTTTGTTTTAGATTTTGGTTTGAAAATTTGTTTTCAATCTTGTATGCTCCTGAGCTTGATTCAAGTATTTCAAATCTACTTGATCCCTAATTCAAATCAAATTTTTTCTCACCATCTTGGAAAACTAATTCTGACTCCTGATTGCTTCTGTTGTGTAATGATTAATTACCTTGAACTAATTTTGACTGATTGAGTCTCCTAATTATTCAGTAGAATGAACTAATGTTAAGCTTATAATAAGTCATAAGGGAAATATTAACACTATTAAACTTTATTTCTCAATTTTAAGATACAAAATTATGGGATAATTTTAGCATAGTGATAGAAGTTCGAAATTAAAATTAACTAGGAAAAACTGGTTCCAACTGTCTAAACATCAGAGGGTTCATTTATACTATTCAAATCATACATATATACATAAAAATGAAATTATCCTTTGATTATCAAAATGAAGTAGACTTCCTAGATTTTGGTGAGATAATAGCGTCATTAATTATGGATAGGAGAGTACAATTAGTTGTGATTTTTGTATTTATTGAATCGTTTTCTGAACTAAGTATGTTTACTTTTAAATCTGCCTTATTTATGTCAGACTAATGTAATTTAATGCTTCCTTTGGGATTCAGGTCTGGCATAAAGAAATATGCTGTAAAAATTAAGTACAATTTTATATCTTAAAATATCATCAAGGCCCAATTAAATTATTCTAATATTGTATACATGGTGCAATTATTTCCCTCAGATGTATTCAAATCCCTCAGATGTATTATTCAAATCCATCAGATGTATTATTTCCCTCAGATGTATTCAAAGTAATTCACCCACACTACTACAAAGTAATTTGTTTCCTGGTTTTCAGGTTTGTTTTCATTACAAACTGAGTAATGGAACTTCTCTATTAAAAAAAAAAAACAATAAAATAGTCACATGAACAAAAAGAACAAATTGATTTCCCCTTATTGTTTTAAAAATACACTTTTATTAAATTAAGCTTGCCTAAATTTTTAGCCCCATATTCACTATAAAAATATTTCTGACTAACTGATTCTCCAGGAAATGTGTGGATACTGAACACACTGGAGTGCATTGTTCCCTCACTTTAAATTTATCCTCAAAACTTGAAATGCATGTTTTAGAACTCTACTTTCTAAAATTGTAGTTAATATTTTAGAACCTACCCAAATCTATAACCATATCAGAGAATAAATGTATAAATGTTTCTTAAATATTTTGTTTTGCTAATATGAAATATCCCCCAGTATAAACAAAGAGAAATGTTATATAAACTGCAGCAAAATTATTTTAAAAGCATTACTGAACCAATAAGTGAAGAAAAGAGAGCAATCAATTTCGTTAAGCACAAAGAGTATTCAACACAAAAAACACTCTCCCTGAGGGCGATATCAAATTGAAAATAAACTATTGCAAAACACATAAGAAATATAATTTTTAGTGAGTGAAACATAGCCAACACTAACAACACTAGAAATAGACCTTTATATATTTAGATGCGAGATTTTTTTAAAGTGTGTTTAATTAATAAAATTTTCAAATACTGATTTAATCTCTAAAAAGAACATGATAGTTAAAAAGGAGATTTAAAAATAAAATATACTTACCAGAAGAGAAAAAATACATAATCATGGAAGTTAAGATTTGCAGTTAAACTAAATTGGATCAAATATAACCCCCAAAATAATTATAAAAGAAGTTTAAATTAAAATAAATATCTGAGAAAATTATCCAAAAATGGCAAATAGAATGGTAAAGTGATGAAGGGTTGTGAAAATTAAGAACACTTCTTTTTAAAATATGATGAACTCAACATCTGTTTAATAAGAGATGCAGAAATAAAGAAATTTTTAAAGCCATGAATCCTTATATATAAGAAGTATGAAATCTGATAAAGATAAATGGCTTTACATAAAGCAAAACTTGGTAAAATTGAAAAAGAAATGGATGAATTTTAAATCATACTTGCAAATTTAAACACCTTCTCTGAGTAAGGATAGAAGATTTGAATGCTATCAAATAATAGGGCAATCTTGTAAATATTAGCAGAATATTAGTTTTTTCAAGTGTTTATGAAATATTCATCAAGGTAGACCATGTGATGCATCATATATATCATATATAAAATCTCAATAAATTAAACAATAACAAAATATGCAAAGTATTTTGCTTATCACAACAAAATTTTTTCTGTTAATTAAATAACAGAAAAAAGTACATTTAAAAAAATATGCTAGAGTCTTTAAGAGGCCGAACTAGAGGCATTCAGCACTTGCCTCCTCCACAAAGAAGGATAAAAACAGTCAGGAGATAAACACATGTTAAGTGGAATGTCTAAGAGAGTTCACTTGAATTCAGCAGGAAAGTCACCGGGAAACTCTGAAGCACAGAATTAGAGGAAAGAGAAACAGCTGGCTTGGCTGGAATCAGCTTGGAGTCAAGGGAAACTCCTTATTACAGGGAAATGTGAAGAGAGATCCCCAGTAGTCCACATTCACACATTTCCACCACAGACTACTGCAATCCTAGCTACAAGAGAGGCCCGTGGACCCTGTGGGCCCTGAGACTAGTAAAGGAGCTGCCTGGAATCCACACAATGGCTGGATAACACCTACCAGGCCTCCCCATCTCTACAACCCAAAAGCCCCACTGACAAAAATACACATTTCTCAAAGGAAGACACACGAATGGCTAATAGGTGTATCAAAAATAGATTCAACATCACTAATCATCAGGGAAGTGCAAATCAAACTACAATGAGATATCTTACCCTGTTAGAATAGCTATTACCAAAAAGACAAAAAAATAACAAATGTGGTAAGGATGTGGAGAAAAGAGAACCCTTACATACTGTTGATGGAAATGTAAAATTAGTACAGCCATTATGGAAAATAGTACAGAAATTTCTCAAAAAACTAAAAATAGAATAATGCAACAATTACGCTACCAGGTATTTATCCAAAAGTAAAGAAATCAGTATATCAAAGAGATTCCTGCACTTCCATGTTTAGTGCAACACTATTCACAGTAGGAAAGATATAGATCAGCATAAGTGTCCATCTATGAATAAATAGATGAAAGAGTAAATGGATAAAAAATGTACAATTGAATACTATTTGGCCATTTAAAAGAAGGAAATCTTGTCATTTGCAGCAACATGGATGAAACTGGAGGTTATTAAGTGAAATAAGCCAGAAACAAAAAAATATTGTGTGTTCTCACTCATATAGGAGAACCAAAAAAATTGACCTCAGGGAGATAGAGTAGAATGGTAGTTACCAGAGGTTGGGAAGCAGAGGAATGAAGAGAGGTTGGTTAATGAGTGCAAACATAAAGTTGAGTACAAACATAAAGTTAGATGGAAGAAATAAGTTCTAGTGTTCAGTAGCACAATAGGGTGACTGCAGTTAAAAATGATACATTGTATATTTCAAAATAAAAAAGTAGATTTGTAATGTTCTCAGCACAAAGAAATGATAAATGTTTGAAGTGATAGATGTCCTAAATACCCAGATTTGATCATTACACATTGTATACATGTATTGAAATATCACATATATGCCATAAATTTATACAAATATTATATATTAATATTAAATACATTTTAAAAATCTACAAATATTTAGAAAGTAGAAAAGAGATAAGAACAATTACAAAATATTTTGAACTCAAAGAAAATGAATACACAATACATCAACATGTGATGATGTAGTTAAACAAACATTTTGAAGGAAATTTATAGCATCAAATCGCATTAGACAAGAAGAAAAAATATATAACAGTATATACTAAATTAATTCAAACCAAATTGTAGAATATGGAGAAATTATTTGTGACCTTGAGTTGGGCAATGATTCTTAGGGTACAAAAACTTGAATCATAAAATCTTTGTAATTTAATATTCATCAAAATTAAAATTTCTCTTCAAGAGTCACCATTAAGGAAAGAACAAGGTACAACCCAAAAGAGGAAACATTACAATGCATATGGCTAACAATGGGCTTCTGTCCAGAATGTATAAGTAACTTTACAACTCAGTAATAAGCCAAACATCACAATAGTAAATGGGCAAAACATTTGAACAGATATTTCACTAAATGAACTATGTAAAATTCTCATGAACATATTAAAAATGCTCAAAATATTGTTTGTTATGGAAGTGCAAAATCTGATCCACATTGAAGGACTGCTAACATCTACAAGAGTGAATAAAATTAAAATGAATTGACAATTATAAGAGGTGGTGTAGATGTGGAGAAAATTTGGCAATATTTTTCTTGCTGCTTTTTCGTAGTTGATTGCAAAGACTAGGAATAATTTTCTCCACACATTAATAATCATCTCTCATGTGATAATACAATCTCTACAGGTTATAGATATATTTTTGTTATATTGGGGGGCACTGTGTGTAAAATGCCATTTCAAATCTATTACTTATTGTTTAGAATTGTATGGTTTCTCAATGTCATATATTAAATAGAAGTTAATCCATACATTAATTATCAAAAGGGAAACAAAAAATTTCACACATTTTTGGCCACAAAATATTATTAAGCAAAGGAAATTAACTATTGTCTCCTGGTATTAGAGACTACTGATTAGGCTGGATTATAAAGAGATGCCCTTGATCTTCCTCTTTTACATCTTACTTCGGAAAATATTCAAGAGCTATTCTATGTAGATCATAAGCCTTTCCAAATAGCTTTTGGGAATTCTGGATGCCAAATATCTTTGTAATCTTATTTGGGTATTATTCAAAATAGTAATTGTCAGATATGCTTGGTGGGGTTGTTCTTTGTGGTTCTTGCCACATTCTATTCTCTTTAGCAAAGTTTATTTTTATCTACTGAATACCTCTTCTTTCCTTAATTTTTACTTAAAAAAATCTACGTAAGCAGGTCTTAGTGTGTCTTCTCAAAAATAAGAGCTTTGTTTCTAACTATAGGATAAATGGCAATAGGGTAAAAATTTACCATCGTTTTATATATAGCTTTTAGCTTTTGGACAATGGTTATGCTAAATAATTATTTTACTTTATTTATTTCAGTCAAACAATTAGGTTAATTGATTTCTAGGATCTGAAATGTTGTGCAATTAACCAGGAGTTTGGTCATATGTGCAATACATGCCATATTTTTCTACATATCTTCTGAGTAATTAATGTCATGCTAGAATTTTTAAGTGCTATATAATTAAAATTTCACAAGCCAATTTTGATTATCATGAGGATTCTTCAAAAGCAGTTGTTTTTTCGGATTCCCTATTTAATAACTGGTGCTGGGAAAACTGGCTAGCCATATGTAGAAAGCTGAAACTGGATCCCTTCCTTATACCTTATACAAAAATGAATTCAAGATGGATTAAAGACTTAAATTTTAGACCTAAAACCATAAAAACCCTAGAAGAAAACCTAGGCAATACCATTCAGGACATAGGCATGGGCAAGGACTTCATGTCTAAAACACCAAAAACAACGGCAACAAATGCCAAAATTGACAAATCATGACAGGCAACCTACAGAATGGGAGAAAATTTTTGCGATCTACTCATCTGACAAAGGGCTAATATCCAGAATCTACAATGAACTCAAACAAATTTACAAGAAAAAAACAAACAACCCCATCAAAAAGTGGGCGAAGGATATGAACAGAAACTTCTCAACAGAAGACATTTAGGCAGCCAAAAGACACATGAAAAAATGCTCACCATCACTGGCCATCAGAGAAATGCAAATCAAAACCACAATGAGATACCATCTCACACCAGTTAGAATGGGGATCATTAAAAAGTCAGAAAACAGCAGGTGCTGGAGAGGATGTGAAGAAATAGGAACACTTTTACACTGTTGGTGGGACTGTAAACTAGTTCAACCATTGTGGAAGTCAGTGTGGCGATTCCTCAGGGATCTAGAACTAGAAATACCATTTGACCCAGCCATCCCATTACTGGGTATATACCCAAAGGATTATAAATCATGCTGCTATAAAGACACATGCACACCTATGTTTATTGCGGCACTATTCACAATAGCAAAGACTTGGAACCAACCCAAATGTCCAACAATGATAGACTGGGTTAAGAAAATGTGGCACATATACACACACCATGGATTACTATGCAGCCATAAAAAGTGATGAGTTCATGTCCTTTGTAGGGACATGGATGAAGCTGGAAACCATCATTCTCAGCAAACTATCACAAGGACAAAAAACCAAACACCGCATGTTCTCACTCATAGGTGGGAATTGAACAATGAGAACACATAGACACAGGAAGGGGAACATCACACACTGGGGCCTGTTGTGGGGTGGGGAGAGGGGGGAGGGATAGCCTTAGGAGATATACCTAATGTAAATGACGAGTTAATGGGTGCAGAACACCAACATGTCACATGTATACATATGTAACAAACCTGCACGTTGTGCACATGTACCCTAAAACTTAAAGTATAATAAAAAATAAATAAATAAAAATTAAAAATTAAAAAAAAAAGAATACCATATTTGTGGTACCCAAAATACTCTCAAATATTTGGGTTAGATTTACATGTTTACGCATTTATACAACGCAATAACACAATTTTTCTTCCCTATTTTTCTCCCTTTACCTTGTGCCCCATATGTCTCTTAGGACTGACCTGCCTAAAACCATATGAAGCCTTCACTTCTGATTCTTTGTAATATAATATAATATGGAGAATTAGATGCTTTGTGTTACAAGTCACTAGTGATTTTGTTTTAAATGGATCTCATTTTTATCTCTTTTTAAAAGATGCCATTCTGGATTTTGTGACCATTTTTGTCAAAATGATCCTTTGTTTTGTTTTTTAAAAAAACAAAAAAACATGCCTTTCAGAGGTTAAATCCCAGTCTGATGTTTATTTACCTGATATTTCAGGTGATATGCAACCTCATCAGGTAAAATCCAAGAAGAAGAAACATATATTTCTTATCTCTGTGCTGAAAATATTATTAATCAATCATAAGACTGTCACAAATAACATGCCCAAGGTCACATAGATAGTTACTGATACCCAAAATGATAACCCAAGATTCTCTGTATCATGGACATCTAATTTCATATCTGTCGGATGTTACTTTTTAAATTTTAACTCCTGACATGAGAATTAACTAATTCAATATTTAATTCACATGCTCCTACTTTAGAGAATATTATAATTAGTTTTCTACTAACAAAAGATAAGCATGTACAAAATTGTCTTTATATAATTAATTACATTACATATTTTCAGGTCCAATACTAAATTATTTTTTGCTGTTAAATACTAAACAAAAAATCTTTTTATAAAAAATGTGCATTTTTTCTTTTAGTAACAAAAATATAAGCCATTTTGATTTAAATATGTTGATTGAAAATGTTGCCTGCAGTTATTCTATGGCATTATTTGAAGTGTTTTCCAAAGCTCAAGCATACCATATCTAAAGAGATGGACACAAAAAAGGAAAGGAGTAGTCTACTTTAGCCCATCCTATGGAAGAACAATTACTTTGTAATTTAATGAGTTTAAAATATGTTCATTGGTATGAAAATACTCACTGATAGTAGCAATGTGTCTGGCACTATGCTACTTCCTGGAACAATGATGAATTAGGTAGACAGAGCTTTGGTCTTATGAAGCTCCTGACTGGAATAGACCCTTCACTGTAGTCAAAGTAGTCAAGATAAACTATGTGTACAGATACTTCCACATTAAGAACCCATGTGCTCATTTTGTCATAGAAGAATAAGTTATAAAAATCCAAAATCCCTTATTAGGCGTTAACAGCACAAAATCACCAAATACACGACTGTATGTGTTCATCCTACCACATTTATGAGATCTGTGCAAATGCTTCGAAAACTCAAGAATATAAATTACTCATCACTGTAAGACTGTAGAAAGAAATAATGTATTCAAGCTACTGACTTATGTTAACAACTATTTTACTTCTCTCTTATATGACTTTAAATTTAAAAAATGAAAATGAGAGACAGTAAATCTGTATAATAATGACTGCTTTATTTTGTACAAAAGAAAAATATGATATATGTTGCTCCTATAGAAGAAATGTATAAAAATATATGATTTTTAAAATATACATGTTAAACTCCATAATTTAAGTAAAGAAGAAAATCACAAAGTATACACACAAATATAATTGTAAAATATGCACATGAATATATCTACTAACTGCAAATACAATTGCAAAATATACACACAAATACATCTACTGAAGTATTTTTTTCTTCATTTATTTGATTGTTTTTTAGTGCCAATACTTATCTGGCACATTTTTAAGCTAGTGGTTTTCCAAAAGTTATCAAGAGTCCCTTGTTGGTTCCCAAGCTATTTAAGTGGTTTGTAATGTCACAATTATGTTCATAGCAATGCAAATATGTTATTTTTCTTTTCTTCTCTCTATAATAAGTATACAGAATATTTTTTTCAGAGGCTACATGATCTGTAATGATGTCACTGCTCTGACTGCTAATGGACTGTATTTTTGTTTTTTTTGTTTCTGTAATTTTCTAAGGTAGTGGCTTTAGAATATAAATATGTACATATTATGGAATTAACTCAGTTGATTCTTAGAACATTATGTTCTTTCTTTTTATTGTAACTACTATGATCTTTGTAAACTCATTATCTTCCCATGAATTATTTTGAGTTTGTTGTCTTTATGCCTACGTGAAAATACAAGAAAGTAAATTTTGTTGATTTATTTTACAAGATTATTGATTTAAAAAGTAGAAAACTTTTCTAAATTTGAAGAATGTATCCACATATGTTATTATTTTGGAATTTAATTACCTACTAAAATAATTTTATTTATACATTTTGCATATTTAAGATTTAGTTGATGACTAAAATTAGGACTAGAAGACTTGACTTCTTCAATCCACAGTTACACTATTCCTAAAGACACGGAAATACAAAGAAACTGACATATCAGAGTATTCTCTGACATATGTAAAACAATCTATTCTTTGGAATTAATTCTAAAGATACTGGGCAAAATTTTAAGTAAGAAAGTGAACTGATGAAAGCTATCTTTTTAAGCTTTAGAATGTTAAAAATTTAGTATATTGTGTTTTATTCAAAAGAACAGTTTTGAATAATATTATATTGCCAGTTAATTTGTGGATCATTTTGAGGCAAATCTAGTCAATTCATAAATTAAAAGAATTGAGTATTTTAAATGTAGAGATGATAAGCTATTTAAAAACAAAAATTATTCATTATAGCTTTTCAAACTAAAAATGAAAAATTCACTGAAGCATCTTACAGGGAAAATTATCTTTCATTGGCTGGAGAAACACTTAGAATAGCTGTAGGACAAAGCCTTGAATGCCTGCTAGATGAAAAGTCATTAACAAAATCATGGCACTTCTACTTTCTAATAATACTGTAACTCATGGAATTGAAGACCTACTATAAACATCAAGATTGAGTTAGTACCCAATCTGTAGATTAGTATTTTTGTCTTACAAATGCTTACAAATGAATAACCTACAGGCATGGCTGGACTTGCTGTATTTACATTAATCTAATATTAACACCAATTAATAAATTAGACCATTCATTTTTAATGAATGCTTGGAAATAAACACAAATGAAAATTTTGAATAAATTTTTTGAATCTCATAAGTTATCCTGGAACAATTGTGTGGACTTCTGCACTGATGGTAGGTACAATTGATGGGGGTCGGTGGTTGACATCATTCAATGGTACCAAACTATAATAGGAGTCAATATATTCTTTGCTATGTGAACATACACAGAAAAGAAAAGAAAAGAAAGAAAACAAACAGAAGAAGACAGCTTTTAAAAAGAATGTGTTTGATTAATCACAAATAAATAATTTTATTAAAGCTCCAACCATAAATACATATCTTTTTATATTCTGAGTGATGAAATGGAAAAAGACATAATGAACTTATGCTACACACCAAAGTAGGATGATTATCTTGAGGGAGGACTTTTGTGTGATTGCTATTGTGAGGAGATTAACTAGCCACTTGTTCATGAAACACCATTCCTTCCTAAAAGAACAGGTAACCAAAAACTATAGTTTTTAAACGCTGGGTATTTGGCAGACATCTTCTCAAATATAAACAATCTGACCCTGTTACCGACAAATAAAACAACCTACCATATTTGTTGTCAATAATGAAATTTGCATTTTAAGACAAAATTTAAGTATTAGAAAATTTGCATCTGCCTAAATAAGCATGACATCTTCCTAATGCAGACTTTTCTAATAAGATTGAGGTTGATATTAGCACATGTGATTTTTTTCATATTACATCATGAAAACGATGTCAACATTTGAAATATCTTCATAATCCACTGAATCAATTTCTAAAAGATGAATGTATGGTGTTTCAAAATTATGTATGAATAAAAGTTTGAGATATACTAACAGTTTTAAATGTAACATAGTGAGGAAAATTAGTCAGAATGGTTTCACCTCTTAAATTTTAACTTTTAAGAACTATTACTTGGGGCCAGGTGGGGTGGCTCACACCTGTAATCCCAGCACTTTGGGAGGCCAAGGTGGGAGGATCACGAGGTCAGGAGATGGAGACCATCCTGGCTAATACAGTGAAATCCAGTCTCTACTAAAAATACAAAAAATTAGCTGGGCATGATGGCACGTGCCTGTAGTCCCAGCTACTCGGGAGGCTGAGGCAGGAGAATCGCTTGAACCCAGGAGGCAGGGGTTGCAGTGAGGCAAGATAGTGCCACTGCACTCCAGCCTGGGGGACAGAGAGATACTCCATCTCAAAAAAAAAAATAAATAAAAGCAACAAAGAAAGCCAAACCAAAAAAAAAAAAAAAAAACTATTACTTGCTAATTTTGCTGTAGATTCAAATTGATAATTATCAAGGTTACTATAAAGTTTATTAGGGACTCCTGCCTTTTCCAATTACATATCTGTATGAGTATATATTAACTGCATATTTCTACCAAAGTAATATACCAGGGCTGATTGAATTCAGAATCAGCAAAACATATGGAAACACTTTTCATTTTCATCTTTTATTTAGTCCTACATTAAGATACTTAAGAATATATGAAACAATGTCACTATTCGCATTAGTTTTTGGCTTTGTAAGCTACAATGTATTTCATTAAAATGTTGTTTACATTAGCATGTAGTAGGTTTATTGTTGTTATTTACAATGAATTAATAAATTGATATTTTTAAATGCCTAAATTTTACTTGTAGTACTATAAATGCATATATTTATATATACTACATAAGCAAAAGTATTTTGGCATTCTCAACATAGTTTAAGAATTTAATCAGAACCAGAAACAAAAACTAAATGTAAGAACCACGGCTCTAGGCCATGAGATACACCAGTGATCAAAATAAGTTGAAGCCTCTGCCCTGTAGAGCTAATTATGTTCTCCTGGAATAGTTTTATTCCAGCAGATGGTTTTATTCTTCTATTTCAGACTTTCTGTCTGATTCTTTCTAGGTCATGTTGAAATTAAAATGAGAGAAAGAAAAAACAATGACAGATTGTTGCATTCCCTTTGTCATACTTTACTTTTTCTTACATTTTAAATTGCTATTTTATTTATTTATTTTTACCATTCTGAGGTTGTCTAAAGTTCCACTTCCTGAATCACTATATAAAACTCTTTGTAATTACTACTAACTAATATGATAGTATCGCAAATTTTCCACCTTATAAATTTTGTGACACATCTTTAAATTTCTTGTTGTAAAAATATTTCAAAGCAAATTTTTTTTCTTAACCAACTGACATATGGCATTTAATTTCCAAATGTTATTTTTGAATAAACATTAGTGAAGTATATTTATTAGTTTAGAGATTTTATTTTCACAATGTGCTAATTTTGACAAATTAAGGTCTTAGAGCAGATTTTTTGCAGGAAATTTCTAGCAAAAATTGATTCTACTAAGCTTTATTATAATTATTATTCATCTGAAATATTGATAAATTTGCTTTTTCTTCCTAAATTTATTTTGTAAGCAATCATTAGTTTCACTGTACATCACCATGTAGTATAAAATTTTGGAAAGAATCTCAAAGAGGAACAAAATCAGAAAATTTCTGTTCCAACTTATGTGTTAATGTCTTGAATTTATCTAAGTTATTGCAAAATATTATGCTTTTAGTTGGTTTGTTATGCTTTTAAAACTGCATGTGATTTTTCATTGTGTTCATATATTTAAAGCCCAATTAACTTTTCATGACTTGTCTACTTGGAGGCTACTCTGCCCCCACTATCTTTATGTATCTTCTGAAGAAAATAGATAGCACCTTTATTTGCTAATAAATTGAAGTCCCTGTGTGTTTTCATGCTGCTTTTTTTTTTTTTTTTTTTTTTTTTGAGACAGAGTCTCGCTCTTTCACCCAGGCTGCAGTGCAGTGGCGCCATCTCGGCTCACTGCAGGCTCCGCCCCCCGGGGTTCACGCCATTCTCCTGCCTCAGCCTCCCTAGTAGCTGGGACTACAGGCGCCCGCCACCTCGCCCGGCTAATTTTTTGTATGTTTAGTAGAGACAGGGTTTCACCATGTTAGCCAGAATGGTCTCGATCTCCTGACCTCGTTATCCGCCCGCTTCGGCCTCCCAAAGTGCTGGGATTACAGGCGTGAGCCACGGCGCCCGGCCTTCATGATTCTTAAATGCCACCCTCTGCACACATTCAGAGGGAATCATAATGAAATATTATGGAGTACTGCAAAATGCGAGAATATCTATCTTATATCAAAAAGCAAGAGCCAAAATGCGGAGTTGGGAGCATATCCTTAATTTTTTTTTAGAAAAGTAGAAGTTTCCATTGTCACTTTGGAGAGTTAAAACAAACAAACAAAAAAATTAAAAAGTAAGGCCGGGCGCGTTGGCTCACGCCTGTAATCCCAGCACTATGGGAGGCCAATGCGGGCAGATCACGATGTCAGGAGATCCAGACTATCCTGGCTAACATGGTGAAACCCCATCTCTACTAAAAATACAAAAAGAATTAGCTGGGTGTAGTGGCGGGCGCCTGCAGTCCCAGCTGCAATTAATATAGCTACCTCAATTTTTTTTATTAATGTTAGCATAGTGTATGTTTTTCTGTCCCTTCACTTTTAATCCGAGTTTTTATACTTAAAGTAGAATTTTTATAAACAACATATATTTTTGTCTTGTTTATGTTTAAGCCACTCTGACAACATGTGTCTTTTAACTGTTACTTTTAAATTGTTCTAATTTAAAATCATTATGAATATGGTTGAATTAATTCCTACCATATTCTTTAAAATTTATAAAAATATTTTAATTATTTTAAAAATTATGACAAAATGCACATAACAGAAACATTGATCATCTTAACTATTTTTAAGTGTACAGTTCAGTAGAGTTACATATACTCACATTGTTCTGCAACCAATCTCCAGAACTGTTTCATATTACAAAACTGAAATCTATGCCTTTTAAACACTAACTTCTCATGTCCCCTTTTCCTCAGCCCCTGGCAACTACTATTCTACTTTCGTTTCTGTGATATTGACTACTCTAGACATTTTATGTAAGTGAATTACATAGCATTTTTCTTTTGTAATTGACTTATTTCACTTAATATAATGTCCTCAAGTTCATCTATGTTGTAGCAGGTGTCAGAACTTTATTTATTTTTAAGGCAAATAGTATTACATTGTATGTATATATGAATTTTTTAACACATTCATCTGTTTATGGACATGGGCTGCTTCCACCTCTTGGCTATGGTGAATATGCTGTTATGAGCATGGTTGTACAAATATCACTTCAGGACTGCTTTCAAATCATTTGGATATATACTCAGAAGAGGATTGCTGAATCAGATGGTAATTCCATTTTTAATTTTTAGAGAAACGACTAAACTGTTTTAGCATTTTACATTCCCACCAACAATGTACAGGGATTTCAATATCTCCACATCCTGACCAGCATTTGCTGCTCTCTCTTGTTTTTTAATAGTAGCCATTCTAATGGGTATAAGATGGTATCTTATTGTGGTTTTGATTTGCATTGCTTGTGTTTTTTATTTGCATTTTCCTAATGATTAGTAATGTTGAACATCTTTTTGTATGTTTGCTAAACAAAAGGCCTGCGCCCGTTTTTGAACTGGGTTGTAAATAAATACATAATTGAAAGTAAAAGATAAAAAAAGTTTAAATAAAAATTTAATGAATTAATATAATCACAATAATATAAAATCTACTTAAAATAATGTAAATCAAAGCCTTAGAATAAGGGATGCTAAATCCACAAAGAAACTAGGAGAAAAATAAATTTTGTTTAAAGAAGCATATGAAAGATATAAAAATAGGTAATTAGGACATCAAATATTTTATGCCTATCCAGTCTGAACAAAAATAAAAATAAATGAAATACAAAAAAAGATAAAATGTTGGAAAGAGAATCAAAATTTTTAAATATTTAATAATAATATAAAAACATAAACTAGAAATACTTTAAGAAATTAAGCAGGTTAAAATGTTTCTCTAAGAAAAAATAATCTTGTAGAATAATTAAAATGTTCATTATCAGCTCAGAATTTTAGTGGAAAGAGGAGGGGTAGAAAATGATAATCACAGGCAGCTGTTCAAAATCTAAAAGTGGCTAAACTAAGAGACAAAACAGAACTTGATAATCCATGCTTGTTGTTCTCAATGGGTTGAAATTCAGTACAACAAAGTCCTAAGAAGTGAATTCACTAGTAAGGAACCAGGAAAAATTCTGAAAAGAACTGCCATTGGAAATCTTCCTATACCTGCTTACCCAGAGTACTCATAGACTCTAAGGCTTCCAATAAAATGTAGTATTGTATAAGTGTATGAAGTATTTGTTTGTCACACATTGTGGATAATCTGTTCATGAATCAATGCAGATTTCATATATTTAATAGTTGTAGATTTTCATTTCTGTTCAAATTTAATGTTTGTCTTAACAAAGCAAATAGAAAATAAAAATTATAAAAATATGATTAAAATAATTTGTAAGAGCTAAGAAAATATGTTTATATAGAGACAATATCTTCCTTTTAATTAAATAAATTTTCTTTCAAAAATTATTTTTATTTCACAATTGACAAATATATATTTTTAAAGTAGAGTAAGATATTTTTTATTAGTGCTATGGTTTGGATGTGATTTATTCCCACCAAAACTATGTTGAAATTTGATCTACCATGTAGTGGTGTTGAGTGGGACTTAGTGAGAAGTGTTTGAGTCATGGGGGCAGATCCTTTATGAATAAATTAATACCCACATATAGAGGTGAGTGAGTGCTCTTCTTGCAAGAATGAATTAGTTCCCATGAGAGTAGGTTATTAAGAGTCTGGCTTCCTCAGTTTCTCTCTCTTATTTCCTCTCTTGGCACGTAATCTCTTTGCATACACCTGCTCCCTTTCCACTTTCTATCATAAGTTGAAGCAGCCTGAGGATTTTGCCAAATGCAACTGCCAAATCTTGAACTTTCCAGTCACCAGAATCATTACCCAAATAAACTTCTTTATAAAAATAAATTATCCAGCCTCAGGTATTCTGTTATAGCAACACTAAATGAACTAAGACAACTATTTCTTTCCAGTGCATTCCCTCTTGGTTTTTTTGGAACACTAGGATCCTATTTAGTGAACTGTTAATGCTCATGCATAAAATGGCCATGATGGCCAAAGAGTTAATGCCACTCCAGAAGTGCTGACTTATTTCCAGTGATCAGTGACTGCCTTGAAGGAATTGAGCTGAATGTGGTTGCAATTATAGACTAAATGGTTCTTAAAGGAACAACTCTTCCATGACAGATGTGTGACAAATAACTATTCCCATAGCACATTATGAACCCACAAACTTCAGCTCAATTTTTTCTACTAGTTCATCTATGGGAGAATAAAGGGCCAGATTGTACCATTTAATAGTCTTTCCTTGCTGGCCTTATTGCTAATGAGGGGATGTGGGACAAGACATTCTAGAGAAAGCTGAAGGCCTCTTATGCTTATATTGCTATTTTATGATGTCTTACTTGAACGATTCATGTGGTTATACTCTCTGTTGAAGTAGTTGTTCAAGAGATTACAGTTTCTATGCTTTTAATGACCAAGTGAGCTAAGAAAGAAGTCAGAATAAGAACTTTGGTGTCAAAGTATCTCCGTTTCCAAAGCATTTGCACATTAGTGCACCAGTCATCAGGTTATTCTCCCATTGAACAGTTTTCTCTTCTACTCTTTCTCAATTTGACAATCATTCTATCCTGTAGTGAAACACACGGTTCCATAGAAAAAGGTAGAAAATGCTTTCAGTTTTCTCAATAAAAATTGAACTCCAGTTTTTATTAGAGGAATTCCAAATGCTGGAATTTGTGGGAAGGACTTGTAAGAAATCATGGCAAAGACATATAAATGTCATTTCCTGCCCGCTTTTTCCCATTCCCTTATACTTAAATTAACTTGAGGAATAGCAGGTTAAACATAAAGGACTATTGCATCAATGTTACCAAGTTTAGTATCACTTTAAAATGTATTTATCTCAATAAAAATCAGGTTTTTTTATATAGCTGAGCAAATATTCATCATAATTATTTAGAACTTTTTATTACTTTCACACAAAAAGTAACATATTTTGATAAAATATACAAATTATATTTTTAATATATAAAACTATAATTTAAAATACTGTTTTTATTGGGTGATTTTCCATTTCCTAAACAATTATGGAAAAGTAAATAAATGACATCCTTCTAAACTCATAAAATCCCAACATGCTATTATTATGTATGTGTAAATGGTCAATTGTATAATTTTTCTCTCCTTTCATTCCACTTTCAATTAATATGTCTCTATTCTCAACAAAGACAACTGTTATCTGTGATTTCCATCTCTTATCCAAATATTTTCTATTTTATACACATTTATGATGCCTTTTTTCTTTATTTCTTGTATATAGCTTGTTTCTTCTCACAGCATATTATTCTTACCAGTATACTCTTACTATGTTCTACCTCTGTATTGTCTATCTCTTGCCTAAGTAACTTAGTCTATTTTTCTGTAGCAGTTAATATGAAAAAGAATCAAAATCATGACTGAATTTAATATACACTTTAGAAAATGTTTTCATTTAAGTATATATGACATATGAATTGGTTCAATTTTAGTAGAAGCTGTCAGTTATTAAAATGGTGGTAATGTCCATATGAAAGGGTTTCTGTTACTGTGCATTCTCACCAGCACTTAGTATTGTCAGTTCTTTTAAATTTTTTAAGTGTTTATTAAAGTTTATTACTCCTTCAGAAAACTGCAAAAATCTTTTAATAACATGTGTAACATTAGCTGAATATATGAATAAGGGCATAGAAATCCAGCTCCTGATTAAAAACCTATGTGTGATCTTTCAGGCCCAATCATAATCAATTACAAAGCTTTACCTGGCAAGCCTCAAGGGGAAAGCTGCACTCTCTGCAACAGACCTATTGCACAGCTAATGCATTCTGGTCTCTGAAGGAAGTTGGAATCAAAGATTCAGGCCCATTGGCCAAACTCTTCCCATATTTGCATTCCTAGCCTGGTGCCTTCATTTCTAAGCCTTTTTATCTGAGGCTTTAAGCAGAGGTCTCTTCAGGCTCCTCTGCCAGGGCTTCCTTATGGAAAAGAAAAAGGATACCTTGAAGACACCTTTCCCCACTCTGACTCAGTGACTCAGTACCCAATACTTTTCCACTCACAGGCCTTCCTCCATTACACTCATCATCCACCCCCAACCTCATGGTCCAAAAAGTGATTGGAACCTTTTGTTTCAAGCTTCTTCAACAGTCAGATGACCGCAAACTCTGCACTAATCTACCTGACCCCTCCACCCTCCAGGTAGCAGCAGTTACATGGCAAGAGATGGAACATGGGGAGTTAGTGCTTTCTCCAGATTGGACTCTTGCTTATACCATTACAGAAAGTGATTACAGGCTTAAATGTTTCATTTAGGGCTTGCTGTTTTAATTGGATAACTCCAACACCTGGCAGCCCAGATCTTTCTCCCAGCACAGCCAACCTCCTGACAGAGCATTTTACCAAGAGGATAAAGGGTGTGTTTATATTTGAAAAGTTACATATGACTAAAATTCACTAAACATATAAATTGCATGTCAGGTTCAATGAAAGTCTAATAATATAAATATGAATACAAATCTATCCGTTCTCTTAGAGAAAAGCATAATAAACTACCCACCATTTAGGAAGCTTAGAGCTACACTAGCAGAATTAACAAAACAAAGCCTATATAGAAAAGAACAGTGAAGAATTTTCTAATGAAGGATTGGAACTCCTGGTATGTATACATGGCATCTGAAGTAGGTTTTGTAAAGGATAAGTATAATTTTTTCAGATTATAAAGAGGCAGGGTATTTTAATCATATCAAAGTGTATGTACCAAAAAAGGCATAGAAGTAGATAAACATGACATGTTGGAATCAGCAGTAATCTAAATGAATGATAGTTTTATTAAGTAAAGGGTGTGAAAAATGACGATACATATGTAATGTTAGAAGCCAGATGATGGCAGGGATTCTAATAAAGGGATCAATTTTTTCTATAGAAAATATTAAGGCTAGAAATTGGTTAGATTATTAATACTATTTGATTAATTTTTAAGTAAGCTAATAGCTAACATTTGAGTGTAAAGTCATATCTTTAAAACTTAGAATTCATAATATATAATTACAAATGCATCCATGCATCCCTTTGTGCCATTTGTTTTAAGTTGTATAGAAACACCTTTTTCTGTGTTTTCCATTATTAATGAAAAAATATTCTGTTTAATTTATAAATAATATCAAAATATTAAATACCATTAACAGGATTCTTTCACAGACTGTTTTTGTTACAAATATGAACTCTAAAAGATTTTCCAGAACACTCACTATGTTAAAGCTTAAAACAGTAGTATTGTATAACTTGGAATATTGTTGAGAATAATAATATTTCTGTATAGATTTACATCTCTTTTGGACACTGGTTTCTCTCTGCAGGTGGAAACGTTTCTCTGCCTTCTGTTGTAGCTCTTTGTGAACACGTTTTATGTTTTAAACTAAATTATTAAGCCAGTGATTGTGACACTACATGGTTTTCATTGTGGTGCTTCTTTACTGCAGCTTCTAATACAAAGTCATGAACTTTGGAGATGCTCAGGAGGCTCATTAAGTACAGATTAGATAGCAGGATAATATGGAAATGTACAGAAGGGCTGCACTATTCAGTTAAGTCACCGTATCTCTCCTGTTACCAGTTTACCATTCCACGTTTTTCACACAACACTAGATGATTTCATCTACGAATAAACTGTACCATTCTCAACTACTCAGTAAAATAATTTTATCCTGACTCATATTCAAACTCCTTTCCACAAATATCTAATTGGACATATCTCCTGAACCTGTATTTTCAAGTTATAACTGAATGCTAATTTTTGACTAGAAAGAAATATATCAAATGTCATCGTCTCCTCTTATTCATGTTGATTCTGTTTGATTCTCCTGCAGCTTCCAATAATAGAGATTGTGATCTCATTTGTGAAACATCTATTTCTCATTAATCATTTGTTAATATACTATTGATTACCAATTTGGCAATGCTCTGTCTAATGAGGAGAAGACGAGGAGGAGAAATAAAAAAAAAGAGAAATTTCCTCCTGGAGTTTACATAGTATAGAGAGCTTAACATTCCCTTTCCTTGACTTTTTTCAAAGAAATCCTACCTGGATCAATCGCTTAGCTTTGAAATGTTTTATTTTACTTCATTGAGAGAAACATGCTTTGGATCATAATTTATCAAATATATTTTACCCTTCATTTATACGTACAAACCTATAGTGCCAAGTTGTTTTATTTCTGATACTGTTGTTGAGTCACGTAGGGTTAATTTAGTGGGAAGAATAGTTTCAAAACAGTAAATAAACATTAGTCTCTGTCCTAAGTCAATAATTACTTTTTTAAAAAGTTCTAAGTAGAGAGCTTTTTCCCTTTTTACTGAAAAATAAAAACATCTTCAAAATCGCTTATATGAATCACTTTTCAAATGTAAAATCTTAATGTTTCTCATAAAACACCAAGTACAGATGCTGACAGGTATGAAATTCAAAAGTTATTTGGGATTTGATGCTCAGAAGGTAATTGCATGCTGTGTATGTTGAACTCTAAATTGGGTTGGGCTCATCTGTATAGATTCACAGACAAGAATTAAAGTCTTGAAGGTAAACTCATTGTCCTCTATCAATAACCAGAAATATGCCTTCTTTGAATCTGATATTCCCTGACATTCTCCTGCATTAATGTGTTGAAGTCAGATAAATCTTTAGGTTACTTATTTTGAACTGTTGGATTCTAGAGTACTGCTTCAGATTTCATTTTTTTTAACCATAGTTCTTTTTTTATCAGAAGGTTATTTTCTTAGAAAAATATATGCAAGCATTGTCCTTTGAAATTTTTCTCGGGTGTTGAATGTTAAGTACATATTTTTAAACTAATAAAGCTGTTACTAATAAAAGTATAGCAGAAGATGTTATTCCAATTAAAAGGAATAAAATTGATTTGGAGAAAAGTCAAAGTTTAAGGAAGGTTTGATTTTGTTGGAATTAGAAACAAACAAAGTACTTCATATCTGTAAATGTGTTATATAGTGCATGTCTAAAAGAGTTATTATTTCGGTTTGGTAAGATTATGAGTTTTTATTTGGTGGAGGAGAATATTAAAGTGTGTGACTCCATTTTTATTATTGCCAATGGCTTTCAAGCCCTAGTATTTACCCTTCCTTGCTGCCCCACATCCGGGAGAACTGAGAAGAAAACTCAATTGGTTTCCTTTGGTGCTGGCAGGGAATTCAAACCATGTGATCTTCCTTAACACTAATGTTTCTTGGTGTATTTTTTGGTGTATTTATTGTCTTATTTCATGAGGTAATGTTTACTTAATTTTGATCACAATATTTTGTGGGGATTTTTAGGCAAGTGGATTTCTTAGATGAACTTTAATATAGTTTTCAAAAAATAGTATGAATTAAAGACATTTGTAGAGAGACAAAAATGTTTAAAGTTATATGTTGTGGAATATTATTTAAAAATTTAAGAAAGCAAAATGGACATGCTAATTAGTTTGACTTAGTCTTTCCACAATGCATACATATATCAGAACACCATGAGGTAGACCATAAAAATGTATAATTTTTTATTTATCAATAAAAATTAAATACAGTAAAAAGCAAAATGCTTTCTAAAACATACTCTCTTTGGTGGATCCTGTATTAAAAAGAGGTGGCCACCTCAAGACCTAAAGTACATCATATTGTAACTAAATGGTGCTACTGTATTTTCCAAACTCTTTCATAAGCATCCTACATAGGAAGCATGTAACAGATGAACAGTAACAACCTCAGAGCCAATAATTAGTAGTGCCTTTACTAGTACTCAGTATTTAAGAGAGAGTTAATATTAACTCAGCATTAGGAGATTTATTTTCAAGTAACAGGCAATCTGAAATCTAACCATTTTATTTTTATACCAAATACTGAGTTTCTTGTTTATTTAATGTATGTCATTACGTATAGACTCCTTGTCCTCAAAAATACAGCATTTGATGTTTGCAATGAGTAAGGTAAAAACTTGTAAAGGGCTTCTATGGTGTTTTCTTTTCATTTTCTAGTTTTCCTTTTTTTAAAGTTCAGAGAATGTCTGTGACAAAACATCATTGTGTAATAATTTTTGGTTTTTCAGGTGCTTTTTTGGATATTTACATTAATCAATTTGGGGATTCTGTGACAAAATGTAATTTGCAAAGACTTGACCTAAATTGATTTTCTATGAAGCCAACTTTGAAACAGAAATCAACATGCAGAAATTATATCGTGGATTGCTTTGAGGATACACATTGTATAGATTAAAAGAATCAACATTAGGCTGAGGGAGGTGTTTGGTGGCAATTCAGTCACAGCAAAAAGTGCAGCCAACCCAGCGAGGGAAACTGTAGCTGTGATAAACCACCAGTGTTGTCCCAAATTTGGCAAAGGGGGCTGGACCTTAATAAGTCTCATCAACAGTCACTGGACATGAGCTGCTCTTGAGAATAAGACATGACATTGCATGAGGTGGCTTCTTCAATTGAAGGAAATCTCCAAAGGAATACTCAGCAATGATATGTCAATTATTAACACTCTTGTCAGCTGGGGAAATGAATGCTTTAGTCCTGAAGGAGGGGAAGGGGATGAGTAACCATAGTATCCCCTACAATCCAACCACTGGACCTCTTAGTTGCACTTGGCTCACATAATTTCAGGGAACAGTTCTTTTAGGATTCTGAGGGGTGGTGTCTAATATAATGATGATTAATGAAAAAATATAGCCAATGCCTAACTTTGCAACTAGGTCTCATAATCGCAACTGATATTCACCATTTTTTTTACTCCGTATTCCTGTTTCTTCTCACCATTGGATAGTATTGCTGCTTGATCAGTGGGGTAACCCAAACAGACCCTCATCCCTGAAGGGTCAGAAACTTTGTGTTTCAATTATCAGTGTATTGCCTTTCATCCCTAATACACTCTTTAATGTATACTGTATGATAAACCAATTAATTATTTTAAGTATTTCTTCCTTAAAGAAAGAACAATGTTAAGCTTTCTTAGGAGAGTGATCCAAAGGGATTTGCAGAAGGAAGGGGCTCTCCTACTGTGCCCAGTGCTGGCTAGGGATAGATGGTAGGGATATAAGGGCAGCCATTCTTTCTGACCAAAGCAATTCACATAGAATATTTTCCCTCTTCAACCTTGCAGCCTTGGCCTGGCAGTAAATTATCTGTAGCTCTTTTGACACAGAAACCAAAGTCCCTGTGTGATCCATGCGATCTGAAGGCCTCCTGCCCTGGCCAGCACCTGAAGTCTATCTGCAAGCCCCTACATGACCTGCATGCTCTAAAGGCTTCCTCTCTCCACCAGCACCCAGACTTCTACTGCACACGCATGCCACCAGGTGTTAATCACCTACTCTTCCATTTGCATTGTGGAGGGTGGCCTATTACTTATACAACTCATGACTAGCTCTGATCTGGTCAAATCAGAGAAACATTCTGCTATCTGGTGCACTATCCAATAAGATCAGAGGCCCTACTATGATTGTTCTTTTTTGATTATTCTCTCTGAACTCTGGGATATCATAGTTTCCTTATACCTTGTAGTTAATCTTTTATCAAAGTTAATAATACATATTAAAATTATTCTGCTTAACGTACTATGTAGCTTCTATCTCCTGATTAGACCCAGACAACTATACCCTACTCATGATAAGATTCAGGTCTTTCCTGTCTGCATTATATAATGGTATCTATACATCATATTGACAATAAAAATCCACTGTTTCACCTACTACAAGACAAGACTTCTAAATAGAGTTCAAAGTTACAAAAATGAGCAGTAGAAATCCTTTAAATTGGTCACTGAGACTGATAGTAAGTTAGGCCACTCTTCCTTATATTGCTTAGGTTCTAAGCTCCATGTATTCTACTTTTGTGGAAAAAAGAGCATAGTATTGTCATTGATGTAAAATGTGTGCTACATCCTAAATGATGGGGGCCCATTCATGAAGCCTAAAACCTCTGACTTGGCACATCAACTGTTTCTGCTATAGGCATGCAGTTTAAATAGAAATAAAATGAATAGCCTAAGTGCTACTATTTAGTCACATCCCTCTCTCTACCTGACATAGGTAACAAAAATCCTGAAATTTGTGTTAATCATGCCTTTGATTTCTTTATAATTGATCACCTATACAACTATTGCAAAAATAGTAAGTTACTTTGATTTGATTTTTTTTAAGTTTCATATAAATTAAGTGATGCAGTGCATTTTTAAGATGATGCTAGCTGCCATAACAAGCAAATCCTAACATATCTAATGGATGAAAGCTATAACATTAATTCCTTACTCATGAGCTACAAGTGTTTCTGGCTGGTGATGACTCTTCTCCAAGCAATTATATATGAAACCCAGAAACTTTCAATTTTGTTATTCTGCTATCTTCAAAAATTTATTTTCAATGTCAACATACTTGTTCACACCAGGCGAAGTAAGGGGAAGACCAAGGAGAATCAAATGTGACAAGTTTTTAAGGGCTAACCCTGGAAGTAGTATATATCAATTTACTCGAGTTGCATTTGCTACAACCCATTTACACATTTACTCATTTAAGGAAATCTGAAAAACACAAGGGGAAGAGGAGGAGAATGAGGCATAAAATGGATCAGCAATCAAAAACCAAGAAATTTATTAAGATGCCTTATTACTATTCTCTCCTAATGCTGGCTGATGACTAAAGTAAGCCATAATTTATTTAATTAAATTTAAACTTATTTAAATAAGCAAATATATGCTCTATGAAGCCTGCAACCTCTAGCCTATAATGAAGACGAAAGTTCTGTTGAATGGCTTGTTCAGGAGCCCAGCGTTGCATATTTTGATAAGTGAAATGAGTGACATGGCCACTATCAATAATGTCTGGAATGATAAAGTATATAAGGGGTGTCCTGGTGATGGCTTGTATTGTGTTCTCAGTATATGCAAAGACATGTTACTTTGATTTATTATTTGAGTATCTATGGGGCAAGAAATTTCCAGAATTCTTTACTCTTTTACTCTGTAACAATGTACAAATGAAGCTGATTTGTACATTGGCCAGGACATCCAGTACTAAGACTTCCGTCTGAAGTTTGGCGAATTGTGCTGAGCCTTGGGTGCTGTCTTTTATCAGGGACATCCCTGTTAAGGAATGAAAAGCAATAGCTATCTAGCAAGCCCCATCATGATGGCACTTCCGTCCTTAAAGTATGCAAATTCCTATTGTTGTACAGGCAGTTAATCCCAAACAGTTACCTACGTAGCTAAGTAAACTGGGAAAGAGATGTCCTTTTCTAGAACCACAGCATCTAACAAGAGACTCAGAATAGGGGAGGCCACCCCTTCTTACAGGTGAGAAATGCTGGAAGGCTCAGGATTAGGTATAACTGGTAGCAAGGAGGTGTCAGGAGCCATGCTGAGCTTGTAGGGTGCTGCTTCCATGAATCCAAACATAATGGACAACTCAGTATGAAGGGGCATTGTCTCAGAACCTGTAATATCCTCTTATGCCAGGAGAGAGCTCAGTGTGTGGCCAGGGATTGCCACTCCAATGCTGTACAATGCAGAATCAATGAGGGTAGTTTATTGAATAAGAAATATATGGACAACTTATGGCCATAAATGTGTGTTTGCAATCCATAACAGCAGACGCTATGCCTCTGTGGCAAGGAGTCTCTGGGGGGCACTAGAGGGATGGTCTGTTATATCACAATTTAGATAGATTCTAGAGCCCTTTGTTGGAAGGAGTCCATTCAAGTTTCAAGGTGGGACAATTTGCAAGCAACAGTGTAAATGGGGAACATGTTGCCTCTAGAACCCAAAAAACCTTAAAAATTCAGGGCCCTGTTTTACCACTGTGGGTGCTAAGAGGATCAGTAACTGTTTCCTGACACTGTTAGCATGGAGTCACTCTTGGTTTACCAAACAACTTTCAGAAATTTACCCTAGGCGGAGGTCTTGCACTATGTGTGGGACAATGGCTCATCCCCATTTTACATACTTCTTTATAAGTATATATGTATCCTGAATGAAAATGCCAAATGAATGTTTTTGGAGGAAGATGTCTTCAGTGTAATGTCATACCTGTGCTCCTGGAGAGAACTCCATGAAGTTAAATTCTTACCTGAAAAGACTGTGTGCAGTTGAGCAAGGTTGTTCAGGTACCTCAGACGTAAATGTATGCTGCGTCCCTTCAGAGGTGAAAGCAATCTGCTGCTGAGAGGCTGTTGACACAGACATTGAACAGAGCATATTAGCCAAATCAATAATAGCAACATATTTAACAGGTAGATTGAGTTAGTAATTTACACAATATTGAATATGAGGGCCTTAATAGGTAGAAGACTAGTATTAAGATTTCAGTAATCCACAACGAAGTATCATTGATTATTTCCAAGATTAAGAATAAGCCAATTGGATTGTTAAATATAGCAGCAGTAGGGGGAACAATTACTCCTTCTTTATCTGGGCTTTATATAATAAAATTCAATTCTTGAAAGCCCTGTTTTAATTTACTTTGGGCATATTAACTTTTTTAATTTAGGGAATTATCCCTGGATCCCATTTTGTCATGCCAATTTATAAGATCCAAAGACTTAATTTATTTTCACTTTATTACTCATTGGATCACAGTGTTTATATCCACTATGGGATATTTAAGGGCAATAGGTGATATGACCATGGAGAACTCAGGCAAGGGAGTAGTTCAGGTAAGGCATAGCTATTTTTCCTCTATTTTATATGCTGCAACTCCGCTAAGATTAATAGGCATTACGTTGTTTAAGTTTATGGAGTCCCTAGGTATAACTGTAATTCTAGCCCCAGTGTATTGATTAAGTCCATGAAGGTTTGCAAGTTGATGCACTTCAACAGATTTTGACATTAAATCTACAACCTACATTATAAGGGAGAAAAAGCCTGCAACCAACAGTGATCTTTTATCTTTTTGTTGTATAAAATTTTTTAAGATTTATTTTATTGCTGATTGACACATAAAAATTATACATATTTATGGGGTCTAATATGATGTTTCAATACATGTATTCATTGTGTAATAATTAAATTAGAGTAATTCATATACCCATTACATATTTATTTAACATTTATGATTTCTTCATGATGAGAACATTCAAAAGCCTCTCTTCTAGTTATTTTGAAATACACATTATTGGTAAATATATTCACCCAACTGTGCAATAAAAATCCAGAACTTATTTCCCCTATCTAATTGTAGATTGTACCCATTGACCGACTTCTCCCTATCCCCTCTATCCCATATCCAGCCTCTGGTAACCATTATTCTACTCTCAACTTCTATGAGATCAACTTTTTAGATTCCATATATGAGGGAGTGGTATGGTTTGGCTGTGTCCCCACCCAAATCTCACCTTGAATGGTAACTCCCACAGCTTCCGCATGTCATGGGAGGAATCCAGTGGGAGGTGATTGAATTATGGGGGTGGGTCTTTCCTGCACAGTTCTGGTGATAGTGAATGAGTCTCATGAGATCTGATGGTTTTAAAAATGGGAGTGTCTCTGCACAAGCTCTCTCTTGGCCTGCTGCCACCCACGTAAGGTGTAAGTTGCTCCTCCTTGCCTTCTGCCATGATTGTGAGGCCTCCTCAGACATGTGGAACTGTAAGTCCAATTAGACCTCTTTTTTTTTGTAAATTGCCCAGTCTCGGGTATGACTTTATCAGCAGCATAAAAAAGGACTTATACAGGGAGATCATGTACTATTTGTCTTTCTGTGCTGGCTAATTTCACTAATTTAAATTCCCACCAACAAGGTACCAAGGATCCCTTTTTTCCACATCCTCCTTTTCTCCACATCTTCAAAACATTTGTTATCTTTTGTCATTTTTGATAACCAACATTTTAACTGGAGTGAGACAGTTTCTCATTGTGGGTTTGATTTGCACTTCACTGATAACTAGTGCTCTTAAGCACTTTCTCATACTCCTTTTGGCCATTATGTCTCTTTTTGAGAAATGCTTACTTAGGTCTTTGGTCCATTTTAAAATCAGGTTATTTATTTGTTTTTGTTAGTGAGTTGAATCCCTTATATATTTTTGATATGAACTCCTTATCAGATGTATAGCTTGTAAATATTAATATATTCTATCATATGTTAATTTTTACTCTGTTAGTTATTTTCTCTTTTTTTGGTCTATTTTTGCTTATTTTTGCTTTTGTTTCCTATGTTTTTGAGGTGTCATAAAAAAAAAAATTCTTGCTCAGACTAAGGTCATGAAGTTTTTTTCCTGAGGTTTTCTGGTAGTTTTATAGTTTCAATCTTACATTTAGGTCTTTGATATATTTAGAGTTGATTTTTTATATGTTGAAAGATATGTATCTAATTTCATTCTTCTGCAAGTGGATATTTAGTTTTTCCAACACCATTTATTGAAGAGCTTGGTTTTCTCTAATGTGTGTTATTGGCACTTTTGTTGAAAATCAGTGGGATGTAAATGCTTGGGTTTATTTATTGATGTTTCATTCTGTTCTATTTGTCTGTGTGTCTTTTTTATGCCAGTATCATGCTGATTTGGTTACTTACAACTTTGTAGGATATTTTAAGGTCAGGTAGTGTGATATCTCCACCTTTGCTCTTTTTGCTCAAGATTGCTGACTCCTTGAGGTATTTTGTGTTTCCATACAAATTTTAGAATTTTCTTTGTATTTCTGTGATGAATGTTATTGATATTTTGATAGGGACTGCATTAAATTTGTAGACTGCTTTGGATAGTATATATATTTTAGCAATAGTAATTCTGCCAATACATGAACACAGGATATGTTTACCTTTATTTGTGTCTACTTCAGTTTCTTTCATCAATGTTTTCTAGTTTTTACTGCAGAGATCTTTCACCTCCTTGCTTAAATTCATTTTAAGTGTTGTATTTTTGTATCTATTTGAAATGGAATTGTTTTCATTGTTTTCTTGATTTTTTTTCAGATAGTTCACTATTAGCATATAAAAACACTACAGATTCTTTTTTTTTTTCTATCCTGCAACCTTTCTGAATTTGTTTATTAGTTCTAACAGTGTTCTTTTGTGGTCTTTAGGGTTTCCTATATATAAAATCAGATCGTTTGCAAACAGGAAGAGTTTAATTATTTTTTTCCAATTTGAATGCCTTCTATTTCTTTCTGTTGCTTAATTGCTCTGGCTAGAACTTCCAGTAGCAGGTTGAACAGAAATAGTGAAAATGGGCATGCTTACCTTGTTCCAGACCATGAAGGGAAAGCTTTCAGCTTTTCCTCATTCAGTATGATGTTAACCATTGGGTTGTCACATATGGAGTTTATTGTGTTGACATACATTTCTTCTATACCTAATTTTTTGGGAGGTTTTCAATTAAAAAGTGATAATGGATTTTGTCAAATTCTTTTTCTGCATCTATTGAAATGATCACACCATTTTTGTTTTTCATTCTGTTAAGGTGATACACCAATTTATTAATTTGCGTATGTCAAAACATACTTACGACCCTCGGATGAATACCACTTGTTCATGGTGAATTATCTTTGGATGTGCTATTGAGTTAGATTTGCTAGTATTTTGTTGAGAATTTTTGCATCTCTGTTTATTAGGGATATTGAACTGTAGTTTTCTTGTTTTTGTTGTCTCATTGTCTGGCTTTTGGATCAGGATAATAGTGGCCTTGTAGAAAGAGTTTGGAAGTATTCTCTCCTACTCTATTTTTTGGATTACTTTGATCAGGATTCATATCAGTTCTTCTTTAAATGTTTGATAGAATTTAGCAGTGAACCCATTAGAGCTTGAGATTTTCTTTGATGGGATATTTATTTATTTATTTATTTTTACTACTGATTCAATCTCCTTACTTGTTATTGGTGTGTTCAGATTTTCTGTTTCCTCATAGTTTAATGTTGGTAAGTTGTATGTGTCCAAAAATGTATCCATTCCTCTAGGTTATCTAATTTGTTTGCATATAATTGTTCAGAATAGTTTCTTATGATCCTTTGTATTTCTGTCGTACTAGCTGTAATGTCTACTTTATTATTTCTGATTTTATATATTTGATTTTACTCTTTTTTTTCTTAGTCTAGGCCAAGATTTGTCTTTAAATAAATAATATTTATTTAGTTGATCTTTGAGTTGTTTTTCTAGTCTCTATTTTGTTTATTTCTGCTGGGATCTTTATTGTTTCCTTCCTTCTACCAATTTTGGGTTTAGTTTGTCTTGTTTCTTATTAATTTCCTGAGATGCAACAATAGGTTATTTATTTGAAATCTTCCTTTTTGACATAAGTGTTTATTGCTATAAACTTCTCCCTTAGAGTTTACTTTTGAAGTATTCCATAGGGTTTGGTATGCTGAGCTCCCTTTTTTATTATTTCAAGAAATATTTAATTTTCCCCTTAATTTCCTTAATAACCCATTTGGCCATTAAGAACAATGTTGTTTACTTTCCAGGTATTTGTGAAGTTTCCAAAATTATTCCTGTTGTTGATTTTTAATTTATTTTTAGTTTTATATTAATGTGGTCAGAAAAGATGTTTGAAATTATTTCAATCTTCTTAAATCTTTTAAAACTTGTTTTGTGGCCTACCATATAATCTATCCTAGAGAATGTTCCTTGTGCTCGTTAGAAGGAAGGGTATTCAGCAGTTGTTTGGAGAAATATTCTGTAACTGTCTGTTAGGTTTACTTAGTCTAGAGTACAGTTTAAATCCTATGTGTTTTTGTTGATTTCCTGTCTAAATAATCTGTTTATTGCTGAAAGTGGGATGTTGAAGTCTCCTACTATTATTTCGTTGCAGTCTATCTCTCCTTCATATTTGCTTTATATAGTTAGATTCACTGATGTTGGGTGCATATATATTTACAACATGCTCTTACTGATATTATAAATCTTGAAGATTTTACTCCTTTCTTATTATATAATGACCTTCTTTGTCTTTTTTATTACAGCTTTTACATTAACATCTATTTGATTTGATATAGGTATAGCTACTCCTGCTCTTTTGGTTTTGGTTTATTTGAAATATCTTTTTCTATCCTTCACTTTCATTCTATGTGTGTTTATACAGGTGAAATGAGTCTCTGGAAGGTAGAACAAAGTGTTTATTTATCATTTATTTAGCCACTCCACGTGTCTTTTTTTTTTTTTTTTTTTTTTTTTTTTTTTTAAGGCAGAGTCTCACTTTGTTGCCCAGGCTGAAGTGCAGTGGTGCACTTTCAGCTCACTGCAACCTCCACCTCCTTGGTGCAAACAATACACCTGCCTCAGCCTCCCGAGTAGCTAGGATTACAGGTGCCACCATCATGCCTGGCTATTTTTTGTATTTTTAGTAGAGACAAGGTTTCACCACGTTGGCCAGGCTGGTGTCAGACTCCTGACCTCAAGTGATCCACCCGCCTCAGGCTCCCAAAGTTCTGGGATTTGATGTGTGAGCCACCGTGGCTGGCCCACTCCAGGTCTTTTAATTGGATAATTTAATGCATTTACATTGAAGGTAATTACTTCTAGGTATGAGTTTATTGCTGCTATTTTGTTATTTTCTAGTTGTTGTGTATATTTTTCTTTCTTCCTCTATTATTGTCTTCTTTTAAAGTTAAGTGATTTTCTCTAGTAGTTTGTACAAATTCCTTGCTTTTAAATTCTTATTATATCAATTGTAGGTTTCTCTTTTGCGGTTAATTTGAGGCTTACATAAAACATCTTATAACAGGTTACATTAAGCAGATAACCACTTAATATTGATTGCATAAAACAATTCATACAAAAAATCCTCCATGTGTTAACTATACTCCCTACCTATTTTGAATTATTGATATCACAATTTTCATCTTTTTATATTGCATATCTCTTACCTATTTATCCTTATTATTTTTATAGTTTATTTTTTTACCCATCATACTAAGAATCTAAGTGATTTATGCTCCAACATCATATCATTAGTGTATTCTGAATTTCACTGTGTATTTACTTTTCTTTAAGAGACAGAGCTTCACTCTGTCACCCAAGCTGGAGTGCAGTGATATAATCATAGCTCATTATAACCTCAAACTCCTGGTTCAAGTGACCTTCCCACCTCAGCCTCCTGAGTAACTAGGAATACAGGTGCAAGTCATCATGCCAGGCTAGCTTTTTTTTTTTTTTTTAAGATGGAGTCTCTCTTTTTCACAGACTGGTCTCCAACTCCTGGCCTTAACCAATTCTTCTACCTTGGCCTCCCAAAGTGCTGGAATTATAGGTGTGGGCCACCATGCTCCACTAGTATATTTACTTTTACTAGTGAGTTTTATGCCTATAGGTGTTTTCATGTTACTCATTAGCATCATTTTCTTTCAGCTTAAATAGTTCCCTTTAGCATTTCTCATAAGTCAGTACTAGTGCTAACACATTCCCTCAGTTTTTGTTTTACTGGGAAAGTATCTCTTTCTATTTCTAAAGGGCTGTTCTTCTGGGTATAGTATTTTTGGTTGGCAGGGTTTTCTTTTTATCACCCTTAGCACTTTAAATATATTATTCACTCTTTCCTGCCCTGTATGTTTTCTGTTGAGAAGTCTACTATTATACATATTGGAAGTCTGTTATTAGTTATTTGCTTCCTTTCTCATGATGCCTTTAGGATCCTCTTTGTCTTTGACAATTTGATTATATGTCTTAGGGTATTTTTCTGGATTGAATCTGATTGGTGACTGTTGGCCTTCCTGTACCTGAATATTCCTATTTCTCTCCTAATCTGTAAAGATTTCTTCTATTAAGAAAAACAAAGAGAAAAACGAACTTCTTTCTACTCTTTTTTCTTTCTCTATTCCCTCTAATAGGAAAGTGTTATAGGAAAGGGTCTTAAACTCCAATAACACATTCATTTGCTCTTTTGACATCTTACTAATCTCATAAGCTTTCCTCATTTCTTTATTCCTTTTTCCCCTCTCTTGAGTTCACAGATATTTTCCTCTGCTTAATTCTGCTGTTGTTCTCACTTGCATTTCTTCATTTCATTCATTGTATTTTTCAGTTCTAGGATTGCTATTTTTATTATCATTTCAACTTTTCTGATTAATTTATCTGATAACCTTTCTTCAATTGTTTATTAGTGTTTTTGTGAAGTTCACTGAGCTTCTTTAAAAGAAATATTTTGAATTCTTTGTCTGGCAAATTACACATCTCCATCCCTTTAGGGTCAGTCACTGATATCTTATATTTTTCTTCTGTTGAGTCATATTTTCCTGTTTGTTTTTGATGCCTGTGGACATATGTCAATGTCTTCACGTTAAATAATTGAGCTTTTATTCCAATCTTCTCAGTCTAGCCTTGTTTGTGCCTGTCTTTCCTCTGCAGGCCTGCCCAGAAATTCTCAGCAGAATATGCTCCTTAAGCTATGACTGCTGCAGCTGTTTTAGTACTCGAGGGTGTCATAAGCCCAGGTTTGCCATGAGTCTTGCAAGAGTTGTTAAGTTGTCAGGATGCCTAATCCATGA
This sequence comes from Homo sapiens, assembly GCF_000001405.40. NCBI lineage: Eukaryota > Metazoa > Chordata > Mammalia > Primates > Hominidae > Homo > Homo sapiens. The sequence continues at coordinate 191,773,779 of NC_000001.11, read as the reverse complement.
TGGAGTTGCAGAAGACCCAGGGGGAGGGGGTACCCAGGCTATGTGGGAAAGCTAGGCAGGGATCAGTGGCCCTGATGGTCATGCCTCCTGTCAGTTCCCTGCACAGGTGGGACAGTTTCTAGAGTTCATTGAGAGGAGCTGGAGACTGAACTGGGAACTTCAGGATCTTCTGTGGGATGAAGACTGGTGAGTCTGCCCTGGTAGCCCTGATAGGGACACATCTCCCAGAAGTTTTCTGCATAGTTTTCTGACTGCAGCAAAAAGGTCCTGAGCTGAAATTGGGTCCCCTTAGGATTTACTATGAAATGGAGTTTGGCAAGCCCATCGTCAAAGCTCAGACAAATAGGAAACACCCAGGTTGCAAGATACAGGAAGGTCTTACTCTGGGTTTTTGTGTAAGCAGTACTAGCCTGGTACAATAGCTAAGGGTACTTAAGCAAGCCACAGGGTGACTTCCAGATTCACTGCCAAGACAAATGTCAGTAGGCAGACAATCCTCTCTACCAAGGCACTAGTGTGCATGATTTCTCCTTAGTCCCTTGACAGATGGTTTTAGTTGCAGGTTCAAGGTCATAAAGGTCTGAAGGCAGCCTTTTGGGGACTCTGGTTATTTCTAGGCTTGAGCTAGTAGCACAATTTGCAGGTCTGCCACCTGGGTGCAGGTCTTCACTCTCAAAATGACCCTTTTAGGTCATGGGCTACACCTGGGTTCCACAGGTTCCTCCCTGAGTCCTGAGGCTTCTAGAAAGAGATTCTTTTTTTGTGGATAGGTAAAGAATTCTTGTTATGAGGGGATATAAACAGATGACTTCTATCCCATCATTTCTGTTGTATAAATTCTTGTAATAAATGTTGGATTTCTAATTAGATCATATTGTGGAACTTCATTCAGTTTTTTTTTTTAGTTTTGTTTCTTTCCTTTATATCTGTTTCCTTTTTGTCTTTCTTTTTAAATATTTATTTATTTTTAGTCACTGGTTGTATTTCTGTGTGGAAGGGCACTCCACCATGCTCATACTTATAAATTTCTTCCTCCTGAAAGTATCAAATTCATATCATCAGTTTAACAAACTCCTCCATGAAAATGATTGCTTTATAGAGTTTAATGATCCTGGATTATAATTGGGATTGGATCATCTCCTTTGCTGTGCCATGGGGATGCTATGCATGTTTTTTTTCTGTAACTGAGAGAGTCAGGGTGTTTGTCACAGCAGAAGCATGGCAACATCAGCAGATATGTAAGAATCCTGGTGAGTCCCTTGCTCTTAGAAGTGGGGACTTTAGCACACCACGTAATAGCTGTTTTATTTTCCTTTTCTTTTGTTCCTTTTTTTTTTTCATTAACTTCCTAATGAGTTCTCTTTCAGAAGCGACAACCTGATGGGTCCATATCTCCCACTGTGTGTCTTTCCTTTCAGTGCTATATAGATCAAGGGTCAATGCTTGGTTAAGATATATAATCAGTTGATCACAATCATTCTCCTGAGCATAGTATCAGTCATGACCTCATTTTAAATTATAGAGATAGGTCCAGACTGAGACACATGACCCAAAGCCACTTTAAGAAGGGCTCTAATCCTATTTGTCTTTAAATACCAAATATAGAAATTTCTGACTTAGGTCAGCTAAATCTATAACAGAGGCTCAGTAGGACTCAACAACAAAACACAAAGCTGCACAGCTCAAAGGACAAGCTAGCCAGCAGGTAGTAGCTCCAAGTACATGCTTGCCATCAGGTAAGATCAAGCTAACAACCATCAAGAAGAGGCAGTTAGCAAGTCAAAGCAAGAAAATAACATCCTCAGTGATGGTGACCATTATCTAGGAATCCTGTTCATAGTGCCACTTCTTGTGACAACTTTGCCAAGTCAAGATAAACCCCGAGCCAAAAATTTGGTTTAGAATTTGAGACTGATAATACCACATATATAACAAGAGGATATAAAAATATCTGACTTGCACAACGAGGTTTGTGGGAAGAACAAGAAAGGTATCCCAAAGAGGTCTGAAATGACTTCAGAAAGTAGGAAAAAAAACTGGCTTGGAGTTTTTTCTGTGGTCGGGGTGGAGCTGGAGTAAGATTTTTCACACATGGGCCAGTCTTTTATGGTTTGAATTCCTGCCAGTAACAAAGGAGGAAGCACCTAGGTTTTCTTATTAGCTTTTCCAGGTAAGAGACACAAGAGAAAGAGAGAAGTGAGGCTTAAGTCTTTCAGCTGTCAAATTTCAGAAAAACGCAGTCAGGTTCTGGATTTGGGAAAGGGTTTAATTAGGAGCCTTTTTACAGAAGTGTGAATAGAGTTAAAGAAAGAAATAAGAAAGATATTGGCATGCAGATTTCAGCAGTTTGTGTGAAGTCATTGCCACCTGTAATCTGAAAGAGATGGGTATTCACGAGAGTAAAACAAAAGGGGACAGGGAGCAGACATTGTGCTCTCAGAGATGTGACATTGCTGAGGCAATAAAGCCATTGCTGCTCAGGAAAATACATTTAGGTCTTTGTCTCTTACCTTTTGATCTTTTACTGGTCTTTGTCATTAGCTGAACCTAATCAGAAGCCAAAGGCCAAGGAAGTTTATGTAAGAGAGTTCATAAAGTTAGCTTTCCCAGGCGACCAAAAGATAGAGAAGGCCAGAGAACTGTTATGAGGGTATAAATAGAAAAATAACCAAAATGGTCAATTTTTAAAAATGCAGAAGCCAGTTGTCATAGCAATCTTAATGTTTCTCATAATAACCTGCAATTGTTCTCATTTATCTCGTGTTGATACATGCATGGCTGTTTGGGGGTTCTCCATCCTGTTTCCTTGTTCTATGTATCTTCTGGAAATACAATGATATATTAAATTCTGTAATTTTCAACTCTATATTTTTATATAATATAGCAATTCCTCCCTCTTGGTTCTTCAAATGTGTCATGCCTATTCTTGAAATTTTGTACTTTTATATACAATCTATAACAAGCCTGTCAAGTTTCCAAATCAAATAAAATTAAAAAAAAGAGAATAAGTAGTAGGTGAAATTTGATCAGTTTGGGGAAAATTTGCATATTTATGATTTAGTCTTTCATATCATGAACATTGAATATTTCTTCTTTTACATTTGCCTTCATTAATATGCTTAAAAACAATTTATCTTTTTTTAAGAAAAACATTTTCATTGAATTTATTCCTATATGCTTTTTATATTTTGATGTTACATAAATGTTCTTTCTAAAGTTTCAATTTTGAAATGTTTGCGATTGTTGTGAAGAAATACAATTGGTATCTATACATTGAGTTTACAATTAACAACTTTGCTAACCTCATATATTTTAATTATTTATAGATTTTATGTAGACTGTAGAACATTTTTTTCTATAAATAACCATATTTTTTCCCTCAATACTGAGCAAGCTTTTTGTTTTATTTTAAAACTTGCCTTACTATTGTAACATTTTACTATTCTAAAACATTCAAGAAAAGTGGGCACTCATATATGGTTCCTGTTCTTATATACAATACTTAACATTTTTTACCATTAAGAGTCCCATTTGTAGTATTTTATGGGATGATAGATATACTTTATTAGGTAAAATAAGTATTATTCTCTAGTTCTTTATTCATTTTTCAATATATTTTCTGTATGAATTTGAAAAATATTTGCATTCTGAAGCTTTTGATGCAGTCTTTTAAATAAGGCCCACATAAAAAGTTTAATGATTTTGTGGCTTATCTTCAAATTTACTTGTTTTATTTTTTTAATCTATCATTTACTGACAGAAATATGTGAAATTTCTCACTGTAATTGTGGTTTTACCTTTTTACATTATTTTTATCATTTTCTGAGGCTCTATTATTAAATGTACACATATTTCTAATGATCAATCTTAATTATAATTTGACTTTTTAAAATCAATACATAGTAACTCTCTTTATTTTTAGGGTTTTTTTTGCTTTAACTTTGGGAATCTTTATTTTTTTTTGGAAATTCGGATACATAGCTAAATTCATTTTACTTTCACTACTTGATTATTTATGTAAGCAAGTTAACCTTTGATTGCATAATATCTATTTAGGATAATTTGAGATTTAGATAACTCATCTACTACCGGATTCACTATTTAATTCAGAAATTTCTATGTTAAAAAAGCATGGATAATCTGAAGTATCATTAAAATGTCACAGATGAGTCTGGATGCAGTGGCTCATGTCTGTAATCCCAGCATGTTGGAAGGCCCTGGCAGTAGGATAGCTAGAGGCCAAGAGTATGAGACTGGCCTGGAAAACAAAGTGAGACCCCCAACTTAAAAAAAAAAAAAAGCACAGTATTAGTATGTATAGATACATATATGTATATATGTGCACACCTGTATTTTCTTACCATGTATGACCATGTATTTTATGTGTATGTGTGCATACATACACAAACACTCACACAGTCCACCCTCCATATGCATGGATTCTCTGTCTGCAAATTCAACCTACTACAGACTAAAAATATTTCAAAAAAGATAGCTAGGAATACACAAAAATAATAATTTAAATAAAAAATAATATAACACGGCCAGGCTCAGTGGCTCACGCCTGTAATCCCAGCACTTTGGGAGGTTGAGGCGGGCGGGTCACAAAGTCAGGAGATAGACACCATCCTGGCTAACAAGGTGAAACCCCGTCTCTACTAAAAATACAAAAAAAAAAAAAAATTAGCCAGGCATGGTGGCGGGCGCCTGTAGTTCCAGCTACTCGGGAGGCTGAGGCAGGAGAATGGCGTGAACTCGGGAGGTGGAGCTTGCAGTGAGCTGAGATTGCACCACTGCACTCCAGCCTGGGTGACAGAGCGAGACTCCGTCTCAAAAAAAATAAATAAATAAAAGTAATAATAATGATGTGACACTTATTTACATAGCATTTAAAAGTATGAGGTATTATAAGTAATCTAGAGATTATTTTAAATATATGGAAGGATGTGCATAGGTTATATGCAAATATTATGCCATTTTATTATATAAGAAACTTCAGCATCTTCAGATTTTGGTATCCAAGGGAGATCCTAGAACCACCAATCTTCCATGGATACCAAGGGATAATTTCATATATATCTCCTCCTTATAGATATAAAAATCTATATATTGATCTATATTTCTAGTAGAAAAATTTCACAAGATATAAATACAGAGAGATTCTACTATGTTTTTCTTAAATAATTTTGGAAATGCAAATTTGCTTAAGATTGAAATGGCAAATAGATTTATTTAAATACTACATAGACAAAAATCATATTATCTTAGGATTACAATTTCCCATACATCTTCAATCAACATATTTACCTATTACAGTGAAAAAATCTTGTATAGTACCTGTTTTGGTTAATTTTAGGTGTCAACATGACTGGATTGAGGAATACCTAGAGAACAAGTAAAACATTATTCATGAGGATGTTTCCAGAGAAGATTGGAGTGTGACTTTGAGTACACTAAGTGAGAGAGATCCACCTTGAATGCAGACAAGCAACATCCAAGTGGTTGGAGGCTTGGATAGAACAAAAATAGAGGAAAGGCAAACTGGTCTCTCTTCTGGAGCTAAGATACAGTCTCCTTCACTTGCCCTTGGAAATCAGAACTCCATGTGCTGTCTGGCCTTTGGAGTCCAGGACTTACTCCAGCAGCCACTTGGGTTCTCAAGCATTTGGGTTTGGAAAGAGTCACACTACCAGCTTTTCTAAGTCATCTCCTGCTTGTACACAGCCTCCATAATCACATATGAGCCAATTGCTCTCATAAATCCCCTCTCATATCTATCTTTCTATTCATCTATATCTATCTATCTATATCTATCTTCTATCATCCATCTATATCCTATAGTTTATGTGTCTCTAAAGAACTCTATCTAATACAGTGTTTATGCACCATCGACACTTTGTTTGAGGTTTTCAGTCTTATGCTGTTTTAGGGCACTAAGCCATTAAATAAGAGACAGGATAAATACATTTTCTCATTAAATAAAAAATGTAAAGAACATGTCTGTCAGTATAAGATAAGATTTTTACAAGGAAAGAACAAACACAATTTATAAGAAGAGCTGTTGATTGTTCAACAGAGGCACAGCTCTAGTAAACATAATGATAAAATTATAGCCCCATGACCTCTATTATTTCAGCAGCACTATCAACACAGCTGATTTGACTACCATAACAGTATTGTACAGTACTGAGGGGAAATTATCACTTTGTCTTAAATTTGAGGTTATTTATGATCTGAACAAATGTATCTGTTTTAAAAGACATACCGTCACTTTTTCCAAATTAACTTCCATGATCTCAAAAATTCATTTCTTACTATTTTAAAACGGCTTAATATTACTACCTATGGTTGAAAACAATGGTCAAATTCTATCTACTTTCTCACACACCCACAAATTATCTGTAGCATGGACATAACCTAGAAAAGAAAGCAATTGTACTTCATTTGATATTGTATTAATTTTTTTAAAAAAACTCTGTCATTAGAAAACACTAACATTTGGTGTCTCATCTACTGACATTTAATTACCTTTTTTTAGATTTTTATATTTCACAGAAAAAATACCTTAGGTTACTGTGAATTCATGAGATTTCAACAGAATAGCTCCTTTTTGGAAATTCAGTTACATAGCCAAATTCATTTTACTTTCACCACTTGATTATTCTGTAAGCAAGTTAACCTTTAATTGCATAATATCTATTTATGATAATTTGGGATTTAGATGATTCATCTACTATAGGATTCACTATTTTATTCAGAAATTTATATGTTAAAAAAGCATGGATAATCTGAAGTATCATTAAAATGTCACAGATGACATTTAGATGCAGAGTCCAGATGTAGTGGCTCGCGTCTGTAATTCCAGCACACTGGAAGGCCCTGGCAGTAGGATAGCTAGAGGCTGACCTTGTATGACCATATATTTTGTGTGTGTACATACATATACAAGTACACATGTATATGCTGTATGTTACTACATATGGTTGAAAGCAATGGTCAAATTCTATCTACTTTCTCTTACACAAAAAATTATCTGTGGCATGACCATAGCCTAGAAAATAAAGCAATTGTACTTCATTCGATACTCTATTAAAATAAAGAAAAACTCTATCATTAGAAAACACTAACACTTGTGTCTCATCTATTGACATTTAAATACCTTTTTTTTAGATTTTTATATTTCACATAAGAATACCTTAGGTTACTGTGAATTCCTAAGATTTCAACAGAATAGCTCAAATTTTGAGACAGCAAATTCAGACAGTAGATTATCATATTTTTTAAATGAGCTCTCAACTATCACGTAAGTGTTCAGAAAAAGAAATTAAATACAACAATTATTTGAGTATCCATACCTATATTCTTCTACTATTTAAATATATAAAAAGTATACACATATATGTAAATAATGATTATATCAATTTTACCTTTTTGTGTATGGAAATTAAGTCAATTTTATCACTAATCCATTTGTGAGTTTTTAGTAGCATCGTCAGCATGACAAAACATATATACAATTTTTTATTTTAGATTATAACTTAACCAAAGGTAAATATGAACAAAATAACATTTTACCAATCAATTATATAAGGAGAAAATCAGTAAGAGAGAAATATTTTTTAAACATTGAACAAACTGTATGTAATGCAGTGTATAAGATAGCAAATTTCTAATCTCTCCTTCTGGACAAGGTGCTATATTCTGAAGAATGATATTTAGCTATAACTTTTAGTGTATATGGTGAAAAAGGAAAATCAGGCATGTTAATGAAATAGTTTGTTAAATAAAACTTTACTTTTTTAAAGCTTTGAGGCACCAAAAGTGGGGATAATAGTTGCCAACAACTGCATCCTACATTCCAGATGATCGATTCAGGACTTGTAAATTGGGTTTCACAAATCTATTTCTGTTAACAGTAGCCTATCACTTAAACCATTCTGTGTGTAAGATAAGTAGGGGACCAAAATAATAAATCTTTGATAGAGAATTCCTTTGAAGCAAGTTGTTAGAATTCTCTGTGTTTCTTCATAGTGGGTGTTCTTCTGCCTAACTCGGGCTGACTGATGGTGAGTTGACTTTCAAAGAATCACTTGGAGGACTTAACATGTGTCTCTGGAGCTGGGTGTGCACAGCGTTTTGTGCTATCTTTCATTAAAAAAAGTCAGGCTGACTAGGTATAGCTACTTCTATTAACAAACACAGGAAGAGAGAGTTTTAGCACATGGACAACTATTTCCAATGTCTTGTAGAAAAAAATGAATTTTCCCCATGTTGCAAAGCAAACAATAGATAACTGACCTTAAATCAACATGAAAGGACACTACTCATAAAGCAGCATGCCATGAAAATTTGGCCCTCACAGAGATGATCTGTGTCAGATGTACTGTCTGAAGAAAAGTACCTGGGGAGTAAATCTCTGAAATAAAAAAAAAAATTCAAGTTGTAGACTTCAGCTTGGAAATTTTCTGAAGAATTTGAGTTTCCTCTACCCTGAGGAAACCCAGCGTTTGCCCTGCAGAATATACAAAAGCAGATTATAAAGAATATGTGACCTGTAAGAATGTGTCCTTCAATCTCTATTATCCCCTCTTTAATTGCCACCACCCAGGATTCCTGGCTCCTAAGTGAAAGAGGAACCGGAGCTACAAAGTCAATGCAAATTGACTGTAGCACCTTCTCACTGTAAGTTTCTGCTTCCAGATTGGACCTGAGCTACGGGACAAGAATTTTTAAATTGGGTAAAGGCTTAAAATTTTTTGGTATTTATAATAGCTTTATTCTTAACAGCATCAAACTGGAAACAACCCAAATGTTCTCCAACAGGTGAATGGCTAAACCAACTAGTACATCTATACCATGGAATACTACTCCACAACAAAAAGAATGATGACTGATACACACAACAACCTAAATAGATCTCAAGGGCATTATGCTGAATGAAATAAGTCAGTCTCAAAAGGCTACATGCTATATGAATCTATATACATTAACATTCTTGAAATTATGAAATAATAGAATAAATAATAGATTCATAGTTGTGAGGGGTTAAGGAGGTGGTAGGCATGGGAGAGGAGTGGGCGTGGCTCTAACAGGGCAGGTGACATCCTTAAAAATACCATAGAAAGAACTTCCATCTAATCTCACTTAAGACAAAATTTCCTAACCTTTAACAATCTATAAATAATACTTATGATGCAAATGTTTTGTATTTTGGTTAATAAATGTCAATATCCTGGTTGTAATATAGAACTACAGTTTTAAAAGATTACCATTAGAAAAAAAACTGAGTAGGAGATGCATAGAATCTTGGTTATTTCTGACAACAGCTTGTGAATTTTAAATTATCTAACAGTTTAATTAAAATGTTTTTCTGGGCTGGGTGATACGGCTCAGTCCTGTAATACCAGCACTTTGGGAGGCTGAGGCAGGAGGATCGCTTGGGTCCAGGAGTTTGAGGTCAGACCAGCCTGGACAACATAATGAGACCCCGTCTTTATAAGGAAAGAGAGATAACCATGAGACAAACAAGCCTCTTTAAAATTGTTTTTCTGTTTTATCAGCATTTATAGTACAATAATTTCATACACACACTGCCCCACTCCCTACAGCCTCACCCATTATCAAAATTTCATACCAGAGTGGTACACTTGTTGCAACTGATAAACCTACATTGAAACATCCTTATTATCCAAAGTTCATAGTTTACATTAGGGTTCACTCTTGGTGGTGTACATTCTGTGGGTTTCACAAACATACAATGATACATATTCACCATTCTAGTGTCAGAGTAGCATAGCCCCCCCTTATTCACACGAGGTACATTCCAAGACCACAAGTGAATGCCTAAAACCACAGTTATGTGTACTATGTATAAACCTATGTATGCTGTGTTTTATTATGCACATATATATCCATGATAAAGTTTAATTTATAAAGAAGGAACAGTGCTGCTGTGCTTTGGGGCCATTATTAAGTAAAATAGGGTTACTTGAACCCAAACCTGGTGATAACATGACAGTCCATCTGATAACTGAGAAGGCTACGAAGAGTTCCACAGGCAAGCAGCATACACAGTGTGGATACTCTGGACAAAGGGAGGACTCATGTTCTGGGCAGGATGAAGTGCGAGGACATGAGATTTCATCATGCTACTCTGAACTGATACGTCATTTAAAATTCATGAATTGCTTATTACTGGAATTTCTTTTGATAATTTTGGACTGTAGTTGATCATGAGTATCTGAAACAGTAGAAAGCAAAATCATAGATAAAGAAGGACTACTGTAATTTCATTGCTCTAATAATCCTCTGCGCCTATTCATCCCTTCATATCCCTAGTCCCTAGCAAACACTGATCTTTTTACTCTCCCATAGCTTTGCTTAAGAATGTCATACAGTTCGAATCACACAGTGTATAGCTCATTCAAATGGACTTATTTCACTGAATCATAGCATTTAAGTTTTCTTCATGTCTTTTCGTGGCTTGATAGCTCATTAATTTTTAGTGCTGAATAATATTCTATTGTCCGGATGCACCAGAGTTTATTCATCCATTCACTTACCAAAGGACTGCCTCTGTAATTTGACAAGTATGAATAAAAGCTGCTAAAAACAGATTTTTGTGTAAACATAAGTTTTCCATTTATTTGAGTAAATACCAAGGATTACAACTTGTGCATTGTATGATAAGAGTATGTTTAGTTTTGTGAGAAACTTCCAGCTGTCTCCCAAAGAGGGTACGTACTATTTTGCATTCCCACCAGCAGTAAGAGCTCCTGTTGGCCAGCATTTGGTGTTGTCAGTAAGGCTTGAAATTTTATTAAGCTGGATTTGAATTCTTAATCCTTGAAAAATAAGATGCTTTTAATAAGAAAACTCATGGCATCTTCCAAAATGTCAAACAAAGACAGGAAAATAAGACTCAGTGAACAGCAAAAATAAAACGTGTTCATGTATTATGCTTTTATTTTCCTACGTGTTCACTTTCAAGACTATCCCAACAAATATCTCTAGGAAGTATGTTATACATCAGAGAGATGTCCGGGTTCAGGTTGCTATGTGGAGGAGGATGATACAGAAAGAAGTTTAGTTGCAGAAGATAAACACTATGGACCACAAAAGGAATTGATGGGTAAAAGATGAAACAAGTGTCTGCATTGAGTTCAAATATCCAGGAACTTTTTTTTTTTTTTTTTTTTTGAGATAGTGTCTCACTGTGTCACCCAGGCTGGAGTGCAGTGGTGCATTTGCTCACTGCATCCTCGACCTCCCATGCACAGTTGATCCGTTCACCTCCGCCTCTGGAGTAGCTGGGACTATGCGTGCAGGCCACCGTACCCAGCTGATTTTTGTTTTGTTTTGTTTTTCTTTGTAGAGATTGAGTTTCACCATGTTGCCCAGGCTGGTCTTGAACTCCTGAGCTCAAGTGATCCACCCTGCTCAGCCTCCAGTTTTTAAAAGAATTGTTGGACTCTCTAGCAAGCATTGTGATCATATTTTAACTGATAAACTACACACAGGAAGAGAAACTTTAAACGAGGCAACAGAGGTACTTGAGACTTTCGAAACCAAGAAAAACACCAACAACAAAGAAATTGTGACTACAAATTCATGCACCTTTCCTTAAAATTTCCCAAAGGAATAATTTTCTTGTGATTCATTTTAAAAAATTAGCAAAATAATAAATAATGACATCCTTCCGGAATAAGTATGCTGGAATTCATCACATCTAGATTACCAAGTAGCATATAAAGAACACAAAGTACAATGAAAGGAGTGTAGTTTATTACAAATTTTCCCTAAATTTTTGATGAAGTTATTAGTGGATTAGCTGCAGAGCCATCTATCCAGACCACGCTAGTCGTAGGTCTTTGTGCTGGTTTTCAATAGCAAGACTTCGCTCCTGAGACCTAATGGTCTAAGTCCATGCTATTCCAATTGAACCTAGTTATTTTTTTTGCACCAAAGCTAGGACCATTTGTATAAGTGTTATAATTATCTTTACAGAATATCATCCACATTTATATGGCTCTAAAATATTTTCTAATAAGAGGGCTTTGCTTCTGTGTTTATTAATTCTCTCACTCTTTTTTTTAATACCATAAGTTGTCCTCTTTGGACTTGGAACATTCTTGTTAGCACAGAAACCTACTTTCATATCTTATATCTAAATAATGTTCAATTTATCTCAAATTACCCTTCAGCCATTGTCGTTTTTTTCTACAGTCCTTCAAAGCAACTGACTTCTAATGAGTTTAGTGCAGCTACGGTCTCAATTTTTTTACTAACCTTTCTCTCTTCATCTCATTCCTGTTTGGCTTCAGTACTCATAACTCTGCAAAGTTTCTTCTTGTCAAGCCACCACCATTGTATGTTCAAATGCAAGATTCTGTTATTTTGTCCTTACCATAAATCTTAGCAGTTAACAAATTTAACTGTCTTCTTTATTAAAGCCTTTTCATGTCTTTATTTCCTTATAGTTATATTCTTTTCTACTTTATTCTGTGTCTTTTGCTGGCTCTTCCTCCACTTCCTAACAAATGATGGAATATCCCTGAGCTCATCCCTCAGCCACAATTTTCTTATCTGTTCTTATCGTATCTATTCTTTGACTCTACTAGAAAATGGAGTCCAGTCTCATAGCTTTTGATTCCAGGTACCTAGTGTTAAGTCCCACACAGGTGCCTTCAAACCTGACCCCTCCTCAGAGCTCTATAGTTTAAATCCATCAGCCTATTACAGGTCTTCTATTTCATGTTTAAAGGGCAATCAGATGTAACATGTTTAAAACAAAATATTCATGCCCCTCAAACCTGCTCCAAAACCTGTTTCTCTCCCAAAACTTCTGATCTCAACAAACAGTGCTATCAATTTGCTTAAGTTAATATCTAGATATTGTAGTGTTTAAAAGATTTTTCCAAATAATAGTTTGTTTTTTTGATATCTATAACATCTATTTTTCACCAAAGTTCAATAATTACAGGCACTGAGAAAAAAAGTCTTTGCTTTTTACATTTATGGATTTTGCTGTAAGTTATGCTTATTTATATATGAATTACATAGTCATTTTCTTATTTTTAGAAAATTTAACCTTTATATAGAATGATTTTAGGAGTTTTTGAATCTAGAAAATTTAAAATAGAAGAGCTATTTATTGCTGTTTTTGAGGTTTTTCAAAACTTGTTTATATCTTCTCCACACATATAACACAATTATATCATTTTTATTAAACCAGATATATAATTTTGTTAAAAAATTATACATGGATATGTTTTTCATTTTTTTATATTACATTAAGTAGATTTTCAGTAATTTTTTCAAGTTGAACTATACAAGCTAGGCACTATTATTTTTCAATTTTCCTAAAAACATCCTGATCTACCCTTCAAAGGCAAAGGTAATAGCATTTTTCTAAAACTATTTTATTGTTATTTTATTACTTTATTTTTTAGTTGCCACATTTTAATGAGTTTCAATGGAACTCCTGATCAAGGCCCTTCCTGTTACCTCCCCTTTTTAACACAGAATCACGTGCTAATGCATTTTCTCAGTGTCTTTAGACTCAAGTTCATGACTCACTGCCACCTTACACAATTCTAATTAGAACAAAGGGTGGATTTGCTGCTGAATTCTTTCTTGGTTGGACAGCTAATTTCTATAGCTTGACTAATATTTTTTCCTCCTAACCAGATATAACTCCGCACAGTTGAAGAATACTCTAATATTTTAATTTATAAAAATAGACTTATTAGAACCAAGACATTCTTTTATTAAAAAAAGTGATGAATTGAAGTACATTTCCATTTTTATATTAAACAGGTTTTAATTGGTATTCAGGCAGAAGAAACCAATTGAAATTCTGAGAGTGCTTTCCTTTTAATAACGAACAGTAAAGCCACAGGCAGTGCTTTAAAAAAGACATATAAATGATGGGAAAATTTAACAGCTTGGTGTCCCAAATACAATCCCTTGGACTGATGTTCTGAGGTGATTGCTGTGAAAAGAATCAGTCCTCATTAAAAACTGCAGGTAGAGCACATGTATTTATAAGGTGTTATGAGGATGTTGGCACAAATAAAAACTCAAATAAAATTAACTGCTTCCAAATTGTAAAAAAAAATGTAAAATAAACATGCTTACTGTGTTGGTATTGGTATCATTAAAATATCATTTCAAAATAAATGGTATTTGTATTAGTCTGTTCTCACACTGCTGTAAAGAACTGCCTGAGACTGGGTAATTAATGAAAGAAAGAGGTTTAATTGACTCACAGTTCCACATGTCTGGGAAGGCCTCAGGAAACGTACAGTCATGGAAAAAGGGGCGGCAAACATGTCCTTCTTCACATCACAGCAGGAAAGAGAAGTGCAGAGTAAAGTGGGGAAAAGCCCCTTATAAAACCACCAGATCTCATGAGAACTCACTTACTATCATAAGAACAGCATAGGGGAACTATGCTGTTCTCACTAACTAATCACCTCCCATGAGGTTCCTCCCACAACACAGGGGATTATGGGAACTACAATTCAAGATGAGATTTGGGTAGGGACACAGACAAACTGTATCAGTATTTAATTGCAATAATTCCTCACAATGAATATGTATATACACAAATTATATTCTATTCCATTTCATTTCAATACACTGAGAAAGTTTGATTACCCCAACCATGTAACCCTTCTGTCAGATTTATACATAATATGGAATTACATATTAATGTGTAACTGGTTGATTGATATCAGAGCTGATTAATTGCATGAAAATCCAACAGAAAAATCAAAACATGCACAATTAATAAAAATAAATAAAATTTTAAAAAAGGGATATGGACAAGGCTGGACAAAAAGTTTAAGAAAAGGAATAAAAAGTCATACTTAAAAATGAATAACAAATATTGGAGCCTTTCTACTATGCACGAAATTATACATAAGAAGCTGAACTTTGTAAAATATATGTGTAATGAGTAGCGTCTACTCAAGCTTACTGAAATTGTCTCATCTCTTACAGTGAAGTTACACAACCATTTTGAAAATTCTTATAACTTTCTAGAAAGTAGTAAGTATCCTAGTAGTATAATTATAGTTAAAGGGGCTTTCTTTGAACAAGAATATTCTGGGGAAAATAGACACAAATCTATTTTCCTCTTTTGACAGTATTTTATTCTGTTTCTCACTTTTAGGTTCCACCCACTCTCCTTCACCTCCTACTCAACATGTTCACATTTGTCCTCCCTCCTTCTCCACTTCTGGTTTGTGCTTGCCTCCAACCAATACCTAAACCTATCCAGGTTCTTTAAAATACTAGTTTAAATTTCCAGAGGATAAATGTATATAATTATTTACATTCTTTTTCGATGTATAAATTTTACTGAAAATAATGCCTCCTTAGTTGTAATCTGGATTAATTAATCCATTGTTCAATGGTTTAATTCCAATTAATTCCACATACATTGTATATATACAAATATCCTGAATATTATTACCAGCTAATTATTACCCACTTTTACTGAAAACCTGAAAAGAAAGGTAGGAATTATTAATGGTGACTGGACTTAAAAACCACAAAATACATGTTTGTTTATGTCATTTGAGATGATGCCGAGTTTTTGAAATTTTGACGTATCTGGGCATTAATTGAAAAAGTATTCTCTAAAATTATGCTGTCATTTTTTGACAGCATAGAAAAAGAATGATCCAATATAACATTTTTTCTCCTTTAGAACGGGATCCCAAGAGAAAACTGTATTGTATATTATTCATGCAAAAATTCCTTTATTCATTTAGCAATAATTTATGATATCCTATGAGACTGACATAGTGCTAAAAGTTGTATAGGAAGAAGGACAGGCAAATAAAATAAATCACTTTCTCTTTATATTAAAGAATTATCAACCTTACAGAAAAGTTTTAAGATTATACAATACCCATATCGCGTTTGGTTAACTTCATCAAGCTTCTTTCTTCTTTCTTTCTCTCTCTTTCTCTCACTCTAAACTTTCTAACAGGATGCAACCATCAAAGTTTATTTATTGCATTTGGTTATTTAATCTGTTGTTCATCCATCTAAAACAGTTCCCCAACATGATATTTTTCAAAAGCCCAAATTAGTTTTCTTCCCGAATATTTCAGTTCTGGATTTGTCTGACAGTTTCCTCAGCAGGTTAGCCAGAGTAGTACAAAAGCAACAGTGTTTCTGTGTGTGTGTGTGTGTGTGTGTGTGTGTGTGTGCGCGCGCGTGGGTGGGTGGGTGTGTTTGTGATTTCTTTTTCTATTTGTATTTCAGTTTGGTCAACTTCTATGAACATATCTTCAAATTCACAGATTCTTTACCTTTTGCAAGGCCTTTGGTGTGAGGGATTTTGTTAGCCAGAAGTTGTTCTGTGTTTAAAGATTTTATAGCTGTGGTTTTTCTAAGAGGCCTCTATTCCCCTGATTACACTTTGGGTTTACAGTATTACTAATTTTTCAGGAGTTTGTCCCAGAGTCTAATCCCAGTTGGCCTGGAGCCTTCTCACTTTTCTTGTGGTCTTCACTTTACACTGTTTCCAAGGATATGTATTTTGCAGCCCTGCCAGATGTATTCCACATGATGCTTATCAGTGTGGTAGTGAGGGGGTGGGTCTGAGTGTTCTCTGGTGATCTGATTAAGTCTTAGTTTTTGGCTGGCTGTGAGCCTAGATCTCAGGGCCATGCCCTTCACAACCTTTCCACCTCTCCTCCAGATGCAATGCTGGCCTTGTTCTTTTCCTGGAGATGGAGATTCTGCTCCTCTCATAGAGCAGAGAACAAGTTTATTTGTTTACTTACTTATTTTGCAGTTTTTCTCCATCAGATACAATGAATTTCTACAAGAGCTTATGAAGTACATTTTTTTTATTGTCCTTCTCCCTTCAAATTATTTCAGAGGAATCACAGAGATAGGTCTGGGGGGATTTAGTCAGTGGCTAACGTTCCTTTCCCGTGGCTAGCACCTTGGGAAAGCATTCCCAGAAATCTGTGTCATCTTTCATGTAAGCACCTAGAAGAGGTCCTGAAGTAAGCCCCTGCCAGATAGTGTGAAAGCCCCTCCCGCAATCTACAGCCCCTGATGCTTCACATTTGTACACTAGTCCATAATATGTCTTTGGCAGCACTTGTTGGCTTTTATAGCATTTCACGATGTATTATCCAGGTAAGTAAATGCTCTGATCCTATTACTACCTACAGTTATAAGCATCACTCCATATTTTGGGTCAGCAGTTTGTCCTGTGACCTCAGTTCTCTAATAGGCTTAAGAAAAGTTGTTTCCAGTTCTTCCAGGTTTTCTTTTGTTATATAAATGGGAGCAGCACTCTTTCCTACTTGATGTATTCTAAGCCAGAATTGATTTTTAAAGCATCCTTTTCTTAATTATGATAGCATAAAATGTGCTCATCACAGCATCTGGCACATAGCAGGGGCTCAATAATTATAAATTCCTTTCCTATTTACTGAATTTTGAAGTATTCTTGTCATTACAAGCTATTATTTCTAGAAGTGAGACTACTTTTAACTAGGTTTTTCGCCGTGATGATATCATGATATATAACCTTCAGCAAGACGTTAATCGGTAACCTGCGGCAGTGGAGGAGATGGAGGTGGAGTGTTTCATGATTAAATATTTTGAAAAAATTGATTAAGCAAATTAAATGGGATTCCTTAATGAAATAATTCTCAGAGGTGTTATGCATTATATATTCCAGATAGAGGTGTCACATATACACACATTGGGTTCTTTACCATAAAACACCCACCAATACTTAAAAATACTATTCTCCTATAATCTATTTTCAGTTACTTATATAAATTAGTGAGATAAAAGAAATGAAATCTCTAAGACAAAATTTTGCTAAATGACAGCAATGAAAGTATATGAAAATACCAGGCACTAAAAATGTAATAAAACAAAGCAATTAGGAAATTATAATGATTTTGAGAAGCATCACCCCTATGGGAACAGACATATTAAAAGAGAGTGCTTCCTGAAATTTCTAATACCCCAGCTTCCTTTAAAGAAATAAACAAAATTTTACATTGCATAATAACTATATGAGATTAATAAGCAGAAGAATCCAGTGATTATTGTTAAAGAAAACTTTGTAATACATACACTTTAATTTCTTTTTGAACATTGTTTTCTTATTTCATTATTTAATATTTGTATTTGTTATGCAATACTCTATGCTTTGCTTTTGGCCCAAAATATTTTCTCTGAAAATCAATCACTTTCTATTTCCACATTAAAACAAGACTAAAAAATTCTATACTCATATTTTTGATAAATCTATTAATTACATATTTATTTTTCTATTCAAAGTAATGTTTCCTACAAAGTAAAGTTTGCATTAATTTTTTTATTATTCTACTTTAAGTTCTGAGGTACATGTATAGAATTCGATACCCATTTTGCCCTACACAATTGCATTTGAGAAGGAGTGAGTGAATGATACATAATGTTGCCTAACCTACAGCCTCTTTTTGGCCTTTCAGCTAGTCTCATTATTAAGATAAACAACAACTGCTCTTGCACATTAAGGGTGCACAACGTGTACTCTTTTTTACTTTATGAATAAGGTTCATGACCTAACTTATGTCTCTGGAGGAGGAGTTGAATAAACTTATTCTAACTATTCAATCACTCGGAACCCTTTCCTTAATCATAGTTGTCTTTTCTCTCTCCTGAGATTTTCTGAATAAAATGCAAATAGAAGGAAAACATCAGTGTCATCTTCTCCCTAGTCTGAAGTGTCACTTCACCCCTAATCAGGGTGGCAGTCTCATGCAAAGTTTTGGTTCTGTCAGCTAAATACAATGAGAGCTAAAATCTCTCATGACAGAAAAGAAAAGAAAGGCATTTCCAATATGTACAGCTTTGAAAAGTTAATTGAGAAAATGTTGTAAGTTGTTGTAAGTTAGGCAAAGAAATTCAATTTTAAATTGAGTTGGAATTAAATATGAATAACCATATTCCCACTGAATGTAAGTATAATTACTATTACAAACATACATAAACTTCAACATATATTTCATTAATGTTATTCAGACCCGCTGCATGTTAAAATTATGGACATTCACTTAAAATTGTTTCTTATAATATGAAAAAAATGTTGAGAAGTAACATTGATTAGTGAACTCAATTCTGGAACTCCTCGGTTTTAGTAAAAACTTTATAATAACAAGCATTGGTGATATACCTCTTGGATAGAAATAGATTACAGTTTCAAACTTGCCAATGAATTTTGAGTAAGAGGAACTCTACATGTTGTTATCCTAGCTTTTGCTTAGTTGTACAAACTTTGAAAAGATAACTGACATAATTGGGTCTCAATTTCCTCATCTTGTTAAGAGGATTAAGTGAGTACCTGTTTCATAATATTTGCACAAGGATTTGTTAACTGATTTATCCCATGACCTAGTTATTCTGCTCTGAATCATGATTTTGTTTTTTAATTATTGATAACTATATGAATATTTTAAGTCATCTACCTTTCTCCCTTTCTTTAAGCTAAGATCTCCCTCTGCACCCATTCTTTGTGAATAACTTCTCCTTTCATCTTGCACTTGCAGGTTATATTTTCATTAATCAGCTAAATAAAACTACATTTCTCTCATCCAAACTAGCATCTGCCATCCATCAATAGGGGTAGTTCTAGAGTCTCTGCAAACAGCTTAGAGTGAACTCTTTTTTTTTTTTTTTTTTGCGATGGAGTCTCACTCTGTGGCCCAGGCTGGAGTGCAGTGGCGTGATCTCAGCTCACTACAAGCTCCAGGTTCACGCCATTCTCCTGCCTCAGCCTCCCGAGTAGCTGGTACTACAGGCGCCCACCACCACGCCTGGCTAATCTTTTGTATTTTTTAGTAGAGATGGGGTTTCACCGTGTTAGCCAGGATGGTCTTGATCTCCTGACCTCATGTTCCGCCCGCTTTGGCCTCCCAAAGTGCTGGGATGACAGGTGTGAGCCACCGCGCCTGGCAGAGTGAACTCTTATTGCTGGGAAATCCTTCCTAAATCTCCACTGATTCAAGTTTTTTTTCCTAAAGAATGCTTCAAAAGCCCTGGCTTTGTCCTATATTCATTTATCCAACCCCCATTTTCATCCCAATCTATTACAGTCTGACTTCCATTTATATAACTGTAATTAAATGATAATGAATAACATTACATTTTTCTCACACCACATTCTCCTTATAGATTTTCTCATCCACATCCGTGCTTTTGCAAAACACCTATAAGCAGATATCACCAGAGCTATCCTGCAGGTTCTAGAACATATATCACACTTCATATTTGACATTTTCATTTGGATGTTACTCAGGTATGTGGAAAAAGCTGAAATTTACAGAAGTAATCTCTTCTTTGTTAGCAGGAGTATATTCTTTTTGTATGTTAGCAAAAATACCAAAAAATATATTTTAAATGGCCAGTTTTCTTTCTCATCATCCTGAAGCTCAATAAAATACAATATTGTATCTGTTACCGAAGGCAGAGAAGCAATTATTTATTACTTCTCACACATTTTCATGTCAACTGGATGGTTCTTCTTGTTTATGATTAATCCAAACATTCATTTACAAATATTTATGGTCAGTTACAACTTAGAATCTCTCAAATATTTGGAGTTGGGTTGGTTGGGCTTGTTCTTATGGTGGAGGCAAAAGAGAAGGAAGGAAGGAAAGGAGCGCAGCTTCTTGAAGTCTGGTCTTAGAAATGTCATGGTGTTGTTTTCTCTGTATTCTATTAGTCAAGCAAGTCACAAATTTAGCTCACGTTCAAGGAATGAAAGAAAATAATCCACCCCTTGATGGGAGAAGCTGCAAAAATTATATGGGAAAGGATTCTGGATCCAAAAAGGGGAATAATTGCAGACATTTTTGCAAACAATCTATCACAATGACACAATTGACTGTTTTCTTGGAACTTTCCTTTCTTGGATTTAAAAGCATCACTAATTCTTTTTCTACTTTAAACTCTAAAGCTATTTAGCTTTTCTCATTTACAGGGTTTCTGTTAATTTTCTCTCTGTTAGTTGTGCTGTTTTTCTTTTTCTTTCTTTTTTTCTTTGAGCCCCATATATTTCTCCTTTGTTCTCACACTACATTCCCCTTATGGGTTTTCTCATACACATCCATGCTTTTGAAAAACACCTATAAGCAGATATCACCAGAACTTGCTATCATGGCTGAAGGTGAAGGGGGAAACAAGGACCTTCTCCACATGGTGGCAGGAGAGACAAAAGTGAAAAGCGAAGCGTGAAGAGCCCTTTATAAAACCATCAGATCTCATGAGAACTCACTCACTACCACAAGAACAGCATAGAGGAAACCGCCCCCATGATCCAATCACCTCCTGCTGGGCTCCTCCTTCGACTCATGGGGATTATGAAAATTATAATTTGAGATGAGATTTGGGTGAGGACACAGAGCAAAACCGTATCACCAATCTATCCAAACCACGAATCTACCAATACTACTTCCTATGTCTTGATACTTTTGATTTCTCCAAGATATTATCAATTCCCTGGATTACTAAAAAATCAATGTATTCTAGCTGGTCTTGGCCGTCTTCCTTTTACCCTAGTTCCTATACCACAGAGATCTAGAGATTAAACATAAATCTTACTATCGGCTGGGTGCGGTGGCTCACACCTGTAATCCTTGCACTTTGGGAGGCCAAGGCAGGTGGATCACGAGGTCAGGAGTTCAAGATCTCCCTGGCCAACATGGTGAAACCCCGTCTCTACTAAAAATACAAAAATTCGCTGGGCGTGGTGGCACGTGCCTGTAGTCCCAGCTACTCGAGAGGCTGAGACAGGAGAATCGCTGGAACCCAGAAGGCGAGGGTTGCAGTGAGCCAAGATCCCAACACAGCAGTCCAGCCTGGGCGACAGAGCAGGATTTCATCTCAAAAAAAAAAAAAAAAAAAAAAAAAAAAAAAAAAAAAAAAAAGGCCGGGAGCGGTGGCTCACGCCTGTAATCCCAGCATTTTGGGAGGTGGAAGCGGGTGGATCACGAATTCAGGAAATTGACACCTTCCTGGCTAACACGGTGAAACTCCGTCTCTACTAAAAATACAAAAAATTAGCTGGGCGTTGTAGCAGGCGCCTGTAGTCCCAGCTACTCGGGAGGCTGAGGCAGGAGAATGGCGTGAACCTGGGAGGCGGAGCTTGTAGTGAGCGGAGATTGCGCCATTTCACTGCAGCCTGGGTGACAGAGCGAGACTCCATCTCAAAAAAAGAAAAAAAAAATCTTACTCTCATGATCTGCTAAAATCTTCTTCAGTGACTTGTCATGAACCTCAGAATGAAAAAAACAAGCAACCTAAAACAACCACCAAACTTTAGCAAGTTCTATATGATCTGAATACAATTTAAGTCTGCAACTTCCTCCTGTACAGCATTTTTTCTTTTCTTATGCTTCAATCATACAGATTACATTTCAGTTCCTGAAAATAACTGTCTTATTTTTTTCTCAAAAATCTTTACATTTATTCATTGCTCCTTCATGTCTCACTTGCAAACCAGTTTAGGTACTTCCATTATCCCAAAGTTTTATTTCATTGCAAGTATAATTAGCTTAAGTTTCTCTTTTCTGTTCTTTTTAAATTCTGTGAGTTTCTTGCTCATCAATTTATCTCCAGTGTTTGTCACAACCCCTGAAATATCTGCGGTACTAAATTAACTTGATTGTTAATGAATGCAGGTATTAGAAATTAATATCTTAAAATAATTTTACATATAATTTTCTAGATAACCTAGGAAAGCAAAATTTTGTCAGTGTCCAGTTTCTCCATAGCTCACAGACATAATTTCTAGAACATAATTTCTAACAGTGGCAGTCATGTTTAAAATTAGTTTTGAGGACTTAAAATATAGAACACCCTACTTTCTCGTATGACGTTAAAAGGATTTGTATTTTTAATAGTCTTTATGTCTATTTTTATTTCAGAAGTCCTTTGGGTATGACTTTTTTATAGTTCTAGATGATTTCAATACTGTAAAATTTAACTTAATTTTACCTTCTGTAGAATTCTAAGTTGATGTTATATAATAGAAATATCTTTTGAGTGGTCAGGAATATTTTACCTGTTGCTTTTGAAATTACTGTAGAAAAAGTAAGGAATAAGAAATCTACATTCAAATTTTACATACTTCAAGAAAATTTCAGAAGCTTGTTACCTTCAAATATTCTACTGCCAAGTATTTCAAAGTGGGTTCTGGATAACTTTAAGTGATGATGTTTCTAATCTGATGGTGTTATAGATATTTTCAGCTTGCTTTATTCTCCTCATTTCTCTCTCTCTCTTTTCTTTACAATGAAGGGCAAGCAACCTTCCTTAAGGCATCACTGCATTAAATAAATTCATCTGTTTAGTGTGAATATTAATACAAAGGACAAAGTTAGCTTTGCCCCAGTAGTGGCCTGAAAACACCTACCTAATGCCTGTTGTTAGGCTAAATGTTTCACAGACAACCGAACTCAACTAACCACGATTGAATTAAATGGATGAAAGATGGAGAGAAGGACAATTTACCTAAGAAAATAATTAAAATGAGTTCTTAGAGCTTACCTGAGGTAGACTTTTATCTTTTTAAATGCCAAGGAAAGTCAAAATTATAAATGAGTAAATATATGATGTTTGCTAAAAAAAAGAAGTTTGCTTTTTATATTTTAGATTAAAAAATATATGTGCATATATAATTACCACAAAAAGTAATTAACATGAGATGCATGATCAAATGGTGTTACATTTGTTACATTGGTGTTATCAAAATGCTTAAACATTTTGATATTTGTTTTGTTATTGCTTTTAGATTTTGACGTCTGTTAAAAATCATATTTAATTATTTATACTCATAACATATTTGATGTGGCTGGTGTGTAACTATGAATAGGTAAGGGTTTTTATATTTGTATAAAAATGTGATTGAGACAATTGAGAAAGGGATTTTAAGATTATATTGTTTTGTTACTCACCATCTTAAGTTTATGTGACTTTGCAAAAAATTTAAATTATTTCCAATAACTAGATATTTGCTATCCCTTAAAATGTCAAAAGAGGTGTCAAAGATCTCAAGTATTTCAAAAATATAGTTTCAAAACAGAAAATTTGGAAAGATAATTTCATCTTTTCCATGTCAATGGTAAATATAGGCAAAATATGTAAAATTATTTAGCACAACTCAGGTGACCTTGGGGAAGTTAATATTCAATAAGCTTTTTATTTATGTATTTATTTTTGTTTTTTTTTGATAAGAGTTTCACTCTGTCGCCCAGGCTGAAGTGCCGTGGCGCGATCTCGGCTACTGCAAACTCCGCCTCCCGGGTTCATGCAATTCTCTTGCCTCAGCTGGGACTACAGGAGCCCGCCACCATGCCTGGCTAATTTTTTTGTATTTTTAGTAGAGACGAGGTTTCACCTTGTTAGCCAGGATGGTCTGGATCCCCTGACCTCGTGATCGGCCTGCCTTGGCCTCCCAAAGTGCTGGTATTACAGGCGTGAGCCACTGAGCAGAGCCAATTAAGCTTTTAAAAAATAATTTACGTGGCCTTTTTGCTTCTTTTTGTAAAAATTATTTTACAATATGAATGAACTAAAAAAGTACAAACTAAAACAAGAAAATCTACATAGATAAAAAAGTGAAAATTAGTAGTAAATTACATGATTAAAATTAAAGTTCAAACTGATTAGCAATATGGAGAAGGTAGAATAGCAAGAGGATTCAGTACATTTTCCAAGATTTATAATTCACCAAACAGAGTCAACATTACCATGAAATTATATGTAGAGCAATGGTCAATATATTGGAATATGAACTAGGATTTTCTATATCAACTCTTCAAACACTCAGAGTCAGTTTTTCATTAGTTGTATCTTAATATGAATCATTTTTTCACAAAATATATATGTATATACCCCCACCCACATATATAAACAGATATGTATACACATATACTTTTTAAAATTTATTTCAAGTAGATTTGCAGTCCTTCTAGCCTATTTTTTTAATTGAATCATATTTTAAAAATATTATTTGACCTTTATGTAGCCCAGTGTGAAAATGGCACATGTAAATTTTCATTATCATAAGTGAAGATAGTGGAACTTATTGCTCTTCAATAGTTGATTTTTTTACCCAATAAAATGTGAGTAATCTAGTCTCTTTGTGTGTAAAACTTAATAAAGCTTTTAAAAGTATCTAGATTATCCTAACCTTTTAAAAAATTTCGTTTTATAAGCTTTATAAGAAATCTTAGTTCTGAAGTTAGCTAACAGTATTAGATAGACTGGTTTCACTCGCCATTATCCTGCTGTTGCTTTAGTCTTGGACTTTCTAGTCATTTATTCATTGTGTCATTTATTCATTCGGTATAAAACTAGGCATTGTTGATATGCACATTAACAAAGCATACAGGACTCCATCCTTTATAGCGTTTACAGTCTAGTGTTCAAGACACAGTACTAAAACACAACAGAAAGCAGGATGTTAAAATGTTAAGTAATCACTGCTATGTTAAGGGATTGTCCAGTGCTCTGCAACACAGAAGGGATTTGAGGGCTCGAAAAAGGCAATACTATCCAAATTGGAAGCATAAGGATAAATTGAGGTTTTCTAACTTGAAAAGTGGAATATTTGGGGAGTTTTAGCATAATGAGAGATCAGGAAAATAGGCTCAGAAAAGGAAATGACATGTTTCAAGAACATTATGCAGAAATATTTCTTCTTGTAGCAGATCAAAGAAGCTTTGCAAGTCTGAATTCCCCAAAGCAGCCTTACT
This sequence comes from Homo sapiens, assembly GCF_000001405.40. NCBI lineage: Eukaryota > Metazoa > Chordata > Mammalia > Primates > Hominidae > Homo > Homo sapiens. The sequence continues at coordinate 191,747,986 of NC_000001.11, read as the reverse complement.
GCATCATTCCTATATTGGTGAACTGCATCTTTGCATGTGTGTGTGTGTGTGTGTGTGTGTGTGTGTGTGTGTGTGTGTGTGTATGTGTCTGTCTCTGTGTGTGGACATGAAGCTTTCTTGAATTTTCTAAAGGTAGGTGTTCTTCAAGAATGAGGATCATGATTTTCTGTTATATTATCAATTCTATTTGTGTGTAGCTTAATGACAATCAATTTGATGCTTCTTGTGGTCATATGCACCTTCCTAAAAATCAAACTGTGGCATTTACATTTCAACAGAAATGTGAAAATTGTGCCATTTAGTGTATAGTGTATTTTCCGATGTGATCAAGTTACTGAATTATTTGTGATGCTGAACATTTAGCAATAGAATCTCACTAATCCCAACTTACTATTCAAGATGCATGGTTGGAGCTTATTTTAAAAGCAGAAGCACATTTGCTGCTACAAAACAGTCTGGCCTGGCAAGGCCAAGGAAAGAGAGGGAGAAGCTATCTTTAGTGCCTTTCTCTGCTTTGACCTAGAATGGAGTATTGAGAACACCTTGAAAGAAATGAGAATGGATTTCAGAAATTTCATAATCATCAGAAATTGGTAGCTATTTTACTCTTTGTCTTTAAATTTGCCAATACTTTTATTTTTCTTGAATTTAGAAATCTATGATTTATTTCAGTAATTTGATGTTCTTTCTCCAGAATAAGATAACATGTGATCTGGTCAAGTCAGCCAGAAATCTCCAGTTTTATTCCTATCTTCTTTATACTACATTATATTGACTGCAAAGTTCAGAAAATTCTATTTTTTTGTAGCAATCATTAAAAACTTCAAATGCTTTTAGCTAGTACTTAAACACAGCTGCTATTATATTTAGATATGCTTTTTGTTATTCATAGGTATGAATTTTTTTTTAAGAGATGGGATCCTGTTTTGTTACCCAGGCTAGAGTGCAGTGGCATGATCAGGGTTCATTACAGCTTCAACATCCCAGGCTCAAATGATCTTTTCATCTCAGCCTCGTGAGTAGCTAAGACTACAGGTACAAGCCACCACACATGGTTAATTTTTTTTTTTTTTTTTTTTGTATTTTTAGTAGAGATGAGGTCTCACTATGTTGACCAGGCTGGTTTCAAACTCTTGGGCTCAAGCAATCCTCCTGCCTTGGCCTCCCAAAGTACTAGGATTACAGGCATGAGCCACCACTCCAAATATCTTATTAAAGCTAAATTAAATGCATCATTGGAAACTTTAATTTAAACCTTATTTTTATACTGCATTTAAATTCAAAAAGTGCCAAACTATAAAGTACTACTTCTATATCCACTAAAGTGTTTACTATTTTGATTTGAATCACTAAATCAAAAATTACTTTTAAAAGAGATACTGTTTTTGGGGAAAAGTCACTAATGACTTTTAAAAAGTTAAAAATATCATTTGGGTTAGTTGTTTACTTTCTAGGGAAATTAATTTTGTCATGTAGAAATACTTTGAAAGGTTTCTTCAGAAAAAATGTGACTATATGTGATTGCATCAAATCCTATTGTGATGAAAACAAAACAGTTGTAAGAATTGACCAGTTTAAACTATGGAATCCTAATAATATTGCATTACCAATAGTTTTCATTGAAAGATACTGTGTAACTTATAAAGTATTATATTTATGCAAGTAAATTTATAAAGAAATATATATAAGCAACAATTAGAACAAATAGTATTTCAATATAGTATAGCTATAAGTGGCTTTTCTTCTAAAGTGCATAATAAATAAAATTTTAAGTTATTTATTAACTATGTCACTGAGCTTTCACATTTTTGATCCACAATAAATTATGTTTAATGAATATATTTGTAAAGTTGGGTAAATAAAAAGAGATCACAGGCTTTTATATGAAGGAAACAAAACATTATATTTTTTCTAAATATAGTGATTTTATTGGCAGAAATTCATACAGAATTTAATGTTTGGATTGTGGTGTGTGGATGCAGGAAGATTATGCTCTATGCTTTTTTTCCCAAACTTAATTGACCATGAAACACTTTATTTGCCGACCATTTTATAATGATAATGGGAATCTCTCTTTGAGAAATCTTGGCAACGTATTAAATGGAAATAAAGTAATTCTTAAAATTTGTACGAGATAAATAAGTATCAATTTTCTTTCTGATTCAAATTCATTACCTATTCTGCTATTCTTGTTTTGAGAAAAATGTACAATATTTTAAAAGGGTAAATCTATTTGATGTGCATTTTGGGTGACCTCCATCCAAGTCCTCTGTCTAGAATTAGTACCCAATTCAAATACCAACTACAACCAGTTTTTTTCTCTCGAATGATATATGCTCAGTTCATTTTTATTAACTGGAGTTTTGAAACAAGCATCTAATTTATTACATAATGAATAGAGCTAGAAAAAAATAGCAGAGAAAAGAAAAGCCTCCGTTAATTTTCTCTTCTATCCCCTACAGCAGAAAGGCCATAAATGAACTATTTTAACCTGCATTCAAGACTAGAGCACTAACTCTGCCTGGTCCCCGTTCGACCTTGCATGGCCTATTAAAGTCAAGGATATCTTTCAGAAATGATGTTACACTAAACAGGTCTACTATGTGATCTCATGGTGAAAAAGTATGTACTCTTACGCCCCAAGACCCAGTCTTAAGCAAAATCCTTCATCATGTCCTCTTTCCCAGGGACCCTATTTCAACGTTACTACTCAGGAATAATGCAAGAAAAAAAGAGGTTTCATGACAGAACTAAGTGACAGTCCTTTCCAAGCAATTTTTGTCCTTAAGGATGTCAATTTGTCTCTGACTTTTTATTAGTAATTTTGCTTCTGGTGGTAAATTGAAAGGTTGGAGCATGAAGTCTGCTGTAATTTTAGAGTTCAAGAAATCAGAATGTGCTCAAAATTATGGCTGTCTACACTGGGGCAAATTATAAATGGATATTTGTACATTAAGGATCTAGATTTTAATTGTATTAAATGAGTTTACTGATTTCTTTAAATTCATAAAACAGATGATTTTTTCTATTAAATGACCTTGGAAATAATTGTATTTTAAAATTTGACATTTTGGAATCATTATGAAAATTTTGAGTTGATTTAAATATGCTATATATCCTTCATGTTTAAACATGCAGATAATGGCCCAAAAATATTCCCTTTCTGTACTGCTGATGTTGTCATAATTTATGTCAATATGTCAGTTCTTTGTGTCTTATTCTGTGCTCTTAAGCCATATGCAGAAACATCTGATATTGTTTTGTATATATAATATATGCAGTTTTATTTTGAAAAGGTTTTATTTATTTATTCAACTAATACATATTTCTTTGTATATTTACTTCAGGTCAAGCACTGAGATAATGAAGTATGCCTTTATTATTCTTGCCTACAATTTTGTTTACCATTCATTCACTGGTGACCCCCACCCAACTCCAACACACACACACAAAAAGAGATAAAAAGAGCATGCTTTTCCTTAGGCTATAAGTTTTCCTCAATAGCAGTCCATATGTTTGGGTAAAGATGCACATGTGCAACTCACAATTGTCCTAAATCTCTTAATACCCTCTAAACAACTCAATATTTCTTTTAAACATTCATTCTACCTTCTCGGTTTATAACTGCTATGATTTGAATTTTTTTCCTCCCATACTCACATTAAAATTTAGTTGCCATTGTAACAATATTAAAAGGTGGGACCTTTAATAGGACTCTACTCTCATGAGTGGAATTGGTGACATTTGAAAAGAGTAAGTTTGGCTCTCTCTTGCTCTCTTGACTTTTTGCCTTCCACCATGTGAAGACAAGGCAAGAAGGTCTTCAAAAGATACTGGCCCTTTGATGTTGAACTTCTTAGCCTCCAAAACTGTGAACCAATAGATTTCTGTTAATTATAAGTTACCCTGTCTCAGATGTTCATTTTAATAGCACAGACTAAGATAATAACCAAACAGCTATTTTTATAATCACCCCTATATGCTCATAGGAAGACATGCAATTTAATTGCCATCAGTCAAATGTACCTGCTTGAGATTGATATTTAGAAACTGGCCAAGTGAGGAGATAGCAGTGTGCATGACACCCATTGTATTGAGTGGAGGTAGCAGCAGAGAAGATGCAGTTCTGGGATGGATGGGAGGTGGCAGCTCCTGACTGAAGCAGAGGGAACTTAGTTTCAGTATTGCCAGCAGTGTCAGCACTCTTGCTAGAATGCTGTTGTAGTAAAATTCTTGAATCATTCTGGGAAGCTCACCCTAGAGCTTTATCAAAATTTTATAATCTTCTCACTAATGTCAAATAAACTCCTAACTGCTTAATGTAGCAGGAATAGATTATTTGAACCACAATTAAGAAGTCTAATAGAGCTCAAGTGACTCAACTAGATGTTCCAAGAGAGATCATTGGAACTGTGCTAAAAACCATTCAGTGTCTCTCATGGCCTTGGCCACACTGAGTGCTCATTATAAGCTTTTGTCCACATTAAAGACAAACTATAAGAATTTTGTTTAAATAACTGAGATGGGAGATTTTTATTGCCTCTAGGTGAGCCCAAGCAAGTCAGAGTTAAACCCGGGGAAATGTAAACCTCAGGACCATGCTTGCTTCAGAATAAAATGGGGTGGGGGGGGATAGATAAAAATAATAATTTAAGAAAATCATTCTGCACACTTGATCCCAGTGTGCAACTCAAATCATACATACCCCTGGAACTTTCACTTATGAAAATCAATACACTACCCTTTTTGTTTAAATAATTTTGCTCTGGTACTCTGCCATTTTCCATAACATTTCTTAAAATTACATACATGACCCAATGCTATATAGGTGAATATAAAGAGTTCTTGCTTTTGAGCTATAGGGAGGGCAGATTTTAAAGAAAGGAACAATGTAATGTCTGCTAGAGTAAAGGTATTTCCCTAAAGGTCCATGGGGGGATAATAAGCTTTTGCAGGGAACCTATAGCCCCTGGAAAGATTATTGAGAAGAATAATTAATTGCTCTGAAATGAACTGTCAAAAATTAGTACAATAACTATGTTGACAAGATGAGAAAAAATGATCTGGAAAGACTCAAAGCAGATTACAAAATTTGTAGAGATAGATATTATGTAACAAAAAATAATAGTTGAATCATGTAACCCAAATCCTCCTAAGAGGCTCCTACTCCCTCTACTTAACTGCTTTAGAGTAATAATGCATGTTACAATGCCTATTTATAATTTCCCTGAAGTTCAGTCGGCACTCTCATTGATTATTCACAGTTTATAATTAGACACAAAAGCTCAGAATCATAATGCACAGAAGTAAATGCTTGGTCATCTTATGAACAAGCAAATCAAACAAATCTCGTACATTTTCCCTTGAAATCTCAACAATTATAGTTTCTTTATTAAGGTAAAACAAAGTGTCAAATAAACTTTCAAGACCCACATTTCTTCTTAAAAGCTGCAATCATATAATTAATCACCTGAATCATCACAAAAGATTGTACCACAGTGTTACAACTAGCTTAAACATCTTAACTTGCAGATGGAGTTTTTCCTTTATCAAAAGGAAGTGCCCTCTTGAAAAATGTTGATTGGAAGAGAAAATCCATTAAAAAGTATGTGGCTTCCCAACGTGTCTTGGTAATAAGTAATATTCAAGGCATTCTTTTAAGAAAGAATCCTCTCAGAATGAATAGAGAATTATTTTTTTTTACAGTGGTAATGATAGTTGATATTAGAATACATTCCTCCTAGCATTAAAAGATAATGAAAGAGGACAGCAGTAGGCAGACTGATACGTATCTATGCCATTAAAAAAGGATGTGTATTTTTTTATGAAAGAACAAAGTATGTAGTAGGAAACTATTCAGTTCTATTTTTATAATATGAGATGAAATTTAATATAAGAATTTAGGTGAAAATACTGAAATATGAATAAGCTATAGTCTTGATAAAATTGAAGACACAGAATAAAAGGCAGAAAGCTAAAGGGAGAATAAATAGATGAATAAAATAACTTATTTCCTAAGAACTTTACTCAAGACAGAAATCAACAGAAATATTGAAATGTCGAACATGGATAAATAGGACACTAGCATTAGGGATGATGGGATGATTCAGATAGGTAACATTTAGCAATATTTTTCATTAGGATATGAATTTTAGTGAGGAAATGTGAGTTCAGAGAGGAGCAGATTCCTTTTCAAAAAGCTACCAATCAACCAATAACAGCAAAAGAAGAAAAAAAATTAAAAACTTGGATTTATAAGCCCTCTTTCTTCCAAGAGACTCAAAATGCTTTAAATATTGCTGCCCTTCTCTTTTCAGACAATAGATAATAAACTGCTTACTTTTACAGGTAAATTCATTCTTCCCAGGTATTTTGGATTACTCATTAGTGTCTCATATTATGAGCACTAACATCTGAGATCCCTCACAGATCTTCCTACCGATGAATAATATACATAATATTCAATGAAGTAAATTAAGTTGCACCAATAAACACCAAATTAGAGAGTATATCTATATAATAAAATATATAATTCTCAGCACTCACTACATTCTAAACAGTTTATATATTGACTCATTGAATCTTCATTATAATATTATGAGATAGCTTCTATTGTCACTATTAGTTTACAGATGAGGAAAATCATGCACAGATAGGTTAAGCAAGTTTTTTGAGTCGTAGTACATGGCAAAACAGGATCTGAACCAAATTTCTAGATCTCTTGTCCTTAAACATGATGCCACACCCACTCTCATACATTCTAGATTTGGTCCAATATAGCATTCAAAAATAAAGACAGAATAGTATAGGTACTTCTTGGTCACAGTTCCTTTCAAATGAAAACGAAAAAAATTTTCAGAACACTCCTAACAGAGTCTTACAAAAGAAGATGGCTTGTTTAATCCTAACCCAATCACCAGCAAATGTTAAGGGAACTATTACAAATGACTTACCCCAACCCTAATTTAGCCATGGACCATTTACTGGGGTTTGACACAATGTCACAGTATCGAAAAAACCCTCTGCACTTTCTCAGATTCCCTCATCCACCTTCTTTCTTTCTCTTGGTCAGTGCCCTATTCCCTTCCTGTCACACTTCCACTTTCAGATTATGAGGAAATATGAGGTCTGGCTTCCAGAGCAGCTGCTGGGAAGCCTCTAGACAAACCCAGAGACATGGAGGATTTAGCGCTCCATGAGGTAAACTTTAGCCAGTAAAAGATAAGAAAAGGAAGTTAGGAGAGAATCAAAAAGACAAATCCTCCTTCTTCTGCCTACAGTGAACTGCTCTGAGGTTATTTCTTCTTGTCAATTTACTGAAGAAATCCTCAAATGCATTTTACACCTGTTGTATCCCTCCATAGCTTCTTGTGAAGCGGTAATCACTGCTGGCAAAATGTTGAATAGCTTTTGAACTTTTGATCTTTCCTTGCCTCACTTCCTTTTTGTCCTCATACTTACTTCCCTGACTAGCATGTCTCCAGTAATTATAATTTAACTTTGTCTCAGGCTCTGCTTTTAGAGGACTGGGGCTGATATGGCATCCAACTGTATTGAAAGAATTGAGATTCGCTTATCAAGAAAGGAACGGGATGTTTGATCAGTGGGTAAACAAATGTCCATTACATTGCACAAAGTTTAGTGGTGGACCCTAGATCAAAACTTTGGTTTACCAAACTCCAAAATCTTATTCATAAATTCTAAGCTAAATTGTATTAACAGAAGTACACACGTAGCCATTGAACTTTTTGCTACACAGATTCCAGGTAAAACAGTAAGACCAGGTATGACTTTTCCTCTGGCTCCTGTCTATGACGAGGGAAAAAAAAAAGATTCTACAACACCTTTTCTCTTTGAGTTCATACCTGCCAATCCTGGTAATTATTCTCATCTGAGAGTTTGATGGACATTTGTCTTTCTCTCCTTAGTAGCTGTAGTTAATGTTCTGTGCTGTACAACAATCTCCTGAGATGAAAATCATCTCGGTTTTAGTGATTTATTGCTTCAGTTCACCAGGTGTTCCCTCATTAAGAGTGGGGGACTGAGTTATATAAAAAGCATGCACCTTAATTTATAGTCTGAAACAATATTATCAATCAGCCTGCTCATATGCAATACAGAAATATTAATAGTGACAGAATTTTACCTCTAACTTTTGATTTTGGATTTGTCAATGTATGTTATTACTTATTTCTACCAACTGCCACTTAATATTCTCAGACCTCGATGACATCATAAATTTTATTAATTATTACCATTCCTGTGACTGACAAATCATTCATCATGGGAGTCAAGTGAGGACAGGCAGGATTTTCAGTATCAGAGGTAAGTGAAATTAGTGTAACTCAGATTGTCATTTTATTGAAAACAGTGGCTTTCTGTTCCTAAAAATAAAGAAAATATATGCGTCAATTTGTAGGGTGTGAGACCCAGTTCTGTGTGGAACAGAAGAGGTGAATGGGGATACATAAAGGTCAGTGGGCAGTGACAGACTGGCCAGACAGTGACTGATTGACATTTGTAACTGGAGTGGGTTTCAGGGCTGACCAGTATTACCTAAAAGCAGGGACTACCAGAGACCTTTCCTTCCCTTACAACCAGAACTTCACTGAGTGTCATGGAACCTACACACTTTTACAAGGCTGAGAGACCACTGAGAAGAGAATTTCCACTTGGAGAAGTTCACTTAATCTCAGCTAAGTCTCCAGGCATGAGTAGATTTCACCTCTGCAGGACAATTCCTCTGATGATACTTAGGAACAACATAGAAATGTCTCATCAAACAGTAGTGAACATAGTTAATGTTAGCACAGGTAATGTGTGATGGTCATTGGAATGGTGATAGTGACTGCCATCATCAGCTTGTCTCCCACGTAGGTGCCTTGACCTGGTGGTACATAGTACCTGGTTCTGGGCCCTGCCTTTATACTGACTTTGATACACGAATGCTGCATATAGTTGGACAGATTTTGCTGTGCACAGTTTTTCACATCAATTTCCTCAAATTTTCTCTATTATGATCTCCTGTCCCAGTTTCCTTGTCTTAGCCCCTTCCTACTTTTTATATATTCACACCCCATTCAGTTTCCCCCTCTCCTCCTGATCACATAAACTTTGTCCAGAGAGGGTGGGTCTGCGTCAGTTTTCCTCTCATTTCTTTGTAATATTTTGTTAAACATTTAAATTCTGCCCTTTTATAAAGAATCTTATGCTCTAAAGCATATCTTATTTTTACCAAACAAAACAAAAATGGACTCACAATTTTTTATTTTTATAGAGGATTCAAGAGTCTGTTTTGGAAGTCAAAAGTAAAATATTACCTTTCTTTTACATTAAATTCCTGCTCTCACAAGTCTAATTCTCTGCATAAGTGAATGTGAAAAAAACAAAGATTAATATCTCAAAATTCTTTCTTTGAACTGTGTAAGTGTGGAGACTTCCCAGTGTACTTTTGCGCGGAGAGAAAATGTGCAAGTGGTGGTCCCATGAGAGCTTTCATGACTAAAACATTAAGCCAAATTTCTGTATGCATTTCATTTCTCCTAACCTACTCCCCACCTTTATCCCTTGCATAATGTACTATTAATATTCCTCTACTTCTCCCAGTAATATACCTTCACTGTAGACTAGCCATCCTCTTCAAAACCTCTGAAGCTGCTCTAAATGACCACTATTGCTGTCCTCATTTAATGTTCTTTCTCTTGCCTGAACCTATACTTCTACTCAATTTGTTACACTCTTGCTTGTTTTGTATAAATGAATAGGAGGAGAAGAGAACTCTTGCCAACCTTCCCTCTAGTATATACATCAAGTTTCTGGAATGAAGCCTGTCCAATTAAAGCTCTTGGTAAGTATTTGTTAAATGAATAACTTGATCTTGCAGGGTAAAGATTTTTTCCTGTTTCCTTTCCTAGGCATTCATATGACCTGCCTGATTTCTACCAAAGGTAAATATTTGAGCTACTCCTAGTGGTATTTAGTCATATATAACATAGTATAGTTGTATATATAATTGCATATGCAAATATAAACATGTATGTATATATGTGTATATAATAAGACTGTCAAGCATTACCTCGTAAGATAGCATGATACAGGTGAAATACTATGGATTTTGGAATCACATACCAGGGTCATATTCCAAGTTCATACTTTACTAGATCTCAGTACTTGGGGAAAATATCTTTACTGATTTTTCATTTTATATATTATAAATATGATATAATACCCTCTTAAGATTTCACTTTAATAGAACAAACGTTATGACACAGTTAATATCATGCCTGACATATTAATGACAATTAGTTCTTTTCACTCTACATAATATACATACTCACTGCCACATGCATATTCACACATTGGATAATAAGGTCTTTGGAGAAAGAGATCACCACATTCTTTGCTCTCTCATAGTGTGATAGTGCCATACACAATAGTTGGAATATTTTTCAAATTCAACAGTGTGAATGTTTAATCAGGTGGAAGTCAAGATTAAAATATTTGAGATTAAATTTACAACTAATACTTGAGGATTCTTTTATAGCATGCATTATAAAATGATTCTTTATTAAATATATAGATTTTATAGTCAAAGTATTATGCTAATAGAAAAAACTAAATGAGTATCATGTGACTCTAGGGATGGTAATGAGGTTGTATCTTGTTTAATGTTGAGTACTAGCTGAAGCACACATATTTTATCTACATTTTTAATTTAAATATGTTAAAGCTAAATCACCAGTTTAGAAATTTGGGATAAGATTTTGCTATTGCTGTGGTTATTATTGTTGACATCTACAATACCTGATTACCCATGAAGCCAACTAGATAAGTATTGTTTCTCTTTCTCAAGGCTCAGAAATTCATTATGTGGCGAGTACTGAGTGTCTTTTAGGGTGATGAATTGAACGGAATTTTATAACATTGTTATAAATATTATTTTTATAAATATTACTTTTCTGAATCCCATCAAGCCTTTAGATCTGTGAGTCATAGCAGTTTTTGAAAAATATTATAGATAGAAGAATCTGTTTGGCAAACACTATGAAGATATAGTCAGTCAAATCTAGAATGTGGAAAATCCTATAGGGAAGTTCCTGCAAAATATAAATGTCTTTAAAAGAGAATGCTATTAGAAATCTATGCATTCCCCATCAAAATTCTAACAGCAATTTTACAGAAATAGAAAGGGCAATTCTAAAATTCATGTGGAAATATGCAAGATCCCAAATAGCCAAAGCAATCTTAAGCAAGAACAGGTCTGGAGGCACCACATTCCCTGATTTCAAATTATGTTACAACATTGTAGTATTCAAAACAGTATGGTAGTAGTATAAAAGCAAATATATCAACCAACAGAACAGAATAGAGAGCCCGGAAATACAGTCAACACATTCTTGACAATGCACCAAGAATACACGACTGGAAAAGAATAGTCTTTTCAAAAATGGTGTTAGGAAAACTGAATAGCCCCAAGCAAAAGAATTAAATTGGACCCTTATTATATGTCATACACAAAAATCGGCTCAAAAGAATTAAAGAATTATTTTAAAACTTGAAACAATAAAACTTCCAAAAGGCAATGTAGGAAGTAAGCTCCTTGACAATGGCATTGGCAATGATTTTTTTTGGATATGAAACCAAAAGCATAGGCAACAAAAGCAGGAATAAACACATGGGACTACATTAAACTAAAAACAAACAAACTAACAAACAAAAAATTCTCCATAGCAAAGAAAACAATCAACAAAATAAAAAGGCAACTTATGGAATAGGAGAACATATTTGCAAACCATATATCTGATAAGGGGTTAATATCTAAAATGTATAAGAAACTCCTACAACTCAATAGTTAAGTATGCAAATCAAATAAACCAATTAAAATTTGGGCGAAGAACCTAATAGACATTTCTCCAAAAAAAGACATATAAGTTTCAATAGGTATATTAAACGTTGCTCAAAATTTTAATCATTTGAGATACTCAAATTAAAACCAGAATTAGATATTACCTCACACTTGATTGGGTGGCTATTCCTACAAAAACAAAAGATAACAAGTATTAGGGAGGGTGTGGGCAAAAGGAAACGCTTGAACACTGTTGGTAGGAATGTAAAATGGTGTAGAAGCTATGGAAAACAGTATGGAAGGTCATCAAAAAACTAAAAGTAGAATGACCACATGATCCAGTAACCCCACTGCCAGGTATATACCCAAAGGAATCAAAATCAGAATCAAAGATATATCTGCACTACTATGTTCATTGCAGCATTATTCCCAACAGCCAAGTCATAGAAACAATCGAAGTGTCCACCAAAGAATTAATGAATAAATAGTTGCAGTATATGCCTAGAGTGGAATATTATTCAGCCTTTAAAAATAGAAGGAAATCCAGCCATTTGTGACAACATGGGTGTACCCAGAGGGCAGTATGTTATGTGAAATAAGCCAGACACAGAAAGACAAATAAATATCTCATTTATATGTAGAATCTAAAATAGTCCAATTCATAGATGTAGAGAGTAGAATGGTGGTTGCTAGATGAGGCAGGAAGAAATTGGGGAGTGATGGCTAAAGTGTAAACAGTTTCAGCTATGCCAGATTAGTTCTGGACAACTAGTATACTGCAAACTGCATATTGCCAGCAATAGTGTATTGTATACTTAATAATTGCTGAGAGTGTAGATCTTATGTTAAGTGTTCCTAATACACACACATTCATGCACACATACAAAATAATGAAATAATAATAATAGTAATAAGTAGGGTTGGACGAAACACTGGGAGATGATGGATATATTTGTGGCCTTGATAGTTCTGATGGATTCACAGAGGTATACCTATCCCCAAATTTGTGGACATATATAAATTAAATACATACAGCTTTTTCTCACTGAAGGAATTTCAAACGATAAAAAATAAAAATAACAACAAAGGTTTTTAGGTACTGCAGTGCAGTGATTTTAGATATTTTTTATATTATTAAAGCAAGGGTCTGAACCCCTGCACCCCACCAAATGTGAACACTGTTAGAGATTAAAAGTGACTTTGAAAAAAATCAACAAATGCCATAAATCGACTTTATTTTATTAAAGAACTGAAAATAGTATTTTAATACATAATTAGAGAAATATCAGATTATATTAAAAATTGTTTATTTTTGCAAGGTGTGAAAATGGTACTGTGGTTTCTATTTTGAAAAAATATATATATCTACTAGAAACACACACTAAAATGTTGTAGGTGGAATTGTACAATATATAGGGTATGCTATTAAATACTCCAGAAAAAATGATGTACATATATAAAAAGGTAGATAGATAAATAAGTTGATCAATAGATAGGTAGATAGATAGGAATGAGTTGAATTAAGATCATTCTGTGGCTAGGTACTTCCAAATGTTATATAAAGATTCTTTGTTCCTAATAGTAAGTGATCCCAAGATGGCATTCTTGTAGAAAGGAAGGCTCTTTGTACTCCTTGTGACTGATAGTATTTATAACTGCTGTTTCTAACTTAGGGCTATATGTAAAAGCCATTTAGCACAGAGAATTTTCTCAGGAAGATAAATAGAATAAAACTTACAGCTCTGAATACTAAAACAGTGCAACTCAGTCAGTACAATGGATATAAAATGCTTACAAAATTGGTGCTGTGAGAACACTACCCTTAAAAAGCTTCTATTTATACTTTACCTTTTAAAGTAGTTTCAATCTAGGATATAATAAAATATATAGAACCTCCTGCTATAACATATTTGAAAATAGCTGTGATGTCTATTCCTTTAGTTGAATATTTGTTATTATTTTTATAATTAAAATTATTTTACTATAAAATAAACATCCATATGATAGATATTCCATCAGTACAAAATTCATTTAGCCTGTTTATTAAGTCTCTAATTGTATATTTTAATAGATTTACAGAAATATTTAAAATTCAGAAATTGTGTAGTCTAGTTAAAGCATTTGGATGGCTTTCAGTATAGCCTTACCCGATAAGTTCAGCTTTAACATGGGCTTTCCTCATTACTCAATGAATAGCATCTCTAGAGAATATCATTCTCTAGAACTTTGAGACTAAATTATCTCTCAAAAGTGGTCTCTTAAATCCATGACAACCTAAATAAAAGGCTAATGTACCTTTGTCATGGTTCTTGACTCCCCAACCTTAATTTCTTAAAACTTAATGAAATTTCTGCTTTGGCCCATGAAGCATTAACTGTTATAGAAATTGAACTCCTACTGTAAACTAGAAAAGCAGAGAAAATATTTCAAAACAACACTCTTTCAGACATTGTACAATAGGCTCCATAAGGGCTGTGATCTCTGAGGAAAGAAAAATCAGCTAGGGTAAGTCCCTAATAGCTCTAGTGCTCTGGCTGGAAGTAGGTTCCAAGACATAGTGGAAGGAGGAAGAACTTAAAGGGAAGTCTCAAAGTCCTGCTGAGTTATGGAGTCAGAGATTGCAAGTCTAGTTTGAGTAGAAGGAAGCAGTAAAGAGAATTTTACAGATCTGTAGAGGTACCCTTCACATTTCTGGCTAAGCATGCACCTGAACATCCATGGTGGGAACCTCCACAGGGCTAGGAAAAGAATCATCAAAAACCAGCAGACCAAACAATTACCAAAGCTCACACGTGGCTTAGAGATACTATGTACTCATCAGCCAGGAAGAAGAGATACCTTAATACATGGGACATCAGGTACAATACTCAGAAAGATATTTTTGTTTACTGGGAGAGTTTTTGTGGAATTGGTGTTAGGCTTTAAGTGTGACAAAATTAATCAGTGAAGCCATCTGCAATCTGTACAAGGAATTTTTTTAGGGAAAGTTTTTGTTGTTTATTATAATTGCAATTCCCTTAATAGAGATAGTGTTACTCAGGGAATATATTTATTCAGGAGAGAGCTTTGATGATTTTTATTTTTTAAGGAATTGATTCATTTCATCTGAGTTGAATTTATGGGGATAAATTTGTTCATAATATTCCCTTTTATTCACTTAATATCAGTATATTCTGTAGTAATTAGCAATGTTACTGTGTCCGTAATTGGTGGGTTCTTGGTTTCACTGACCTCAAGAATGAAGCCGCGGACCCTCGCAGTGAGTGTTACAGTTCTTAAAGGCGGCGTGTCCAGAGTTTGTTCCTTCTGATGTTTGGATGTGTTCGGAGTTTCTTCCTTCTGGTGGGTTCGTGGTCTCGCTGGCTCAGGAGTGAAGCTGGGGACCTTCGCGGGGAGTGTTACAGCTCTTAACGCGGCGCATCTGGAGTTGTTGCTCCTCCCGGTGGGTTCGTGGTCTCGCTGGCGTCAGGAGTGAAGTTGCAGACCTTCGCGGTGAGTGTTACAGCTCATAAAGGCAGTGTGGACCCAAAGAGTGAGCAGCAGCAAGATTTATTGCAAAGAGAGAAAGAACAAAGCTTCCACAGTGTGTAAGGGGATCCCAGCGGGTTGCCACTGCTGGGGCAGCCTGCTTTTATTCTCTTATCTGGCTCCACCCACATCCTGCTGATTAGTAGAGCCGAGTGGTCTGTTTTGACAGGGCGCTGATTGGTGCGTTTACAATCCCTGAGCTAGACACAAAGGTTCTCCAAGTCCCCATCAGATTAGCTAGATACAGAGTATCGATTTGTGCATTCACAAACCCTGAGCTAGACACAGGGTGCTGATTGGTGTGTTTACAAACCTTGAGCTAGACACATTTATAACCCCTTAGCTAGACATAAAGGCTCTCCAAATCCCCACCAGACTCAGGAGCCCAGCTGGCTTCACCTGGTGGATCCCCACACCGGGCCGCAGGTGGAGCTGCCTGCCAGTCCCGTGCTGTGCGCCGGCACTCCTCAGCCCTTGGGTGGTCGATGGGACTGCGCGCCGTTGAGCAGGGGGCGGCGCTCCTCAGGGAGGCTCGGGCTGCACAGGAGCCCACGGAGGCTGGGGGAGGCTCAGGCATGGCGGGCTGTAGGTCCCGAGCCCTGCCCCGCGGGAAGGCAGCTAAGGCCCGGCAAGAAATTGAGCACAGCAGCTGCTGGCCCAGGTGCTAAGCCCCTCACGGCCCGGGCCGGCAGTGCCGGCCGGCCGCTCCGAGTGCGGGGCCCGCCGAGCCCACGCCCACCCGGAACTCGCGCTGGCCTGCAAGCACCGCGCGCAGCCCGGGTTCCCGCCCGCGCCTCTCCCTCCACACCTCCCCGCAAGCTGAGGGAGCCGGCTCCGGCCTTGGCCAGCCCAGAAAGGGGCTCCCACGGTGCAGTGGCGGGCTGAAGGGCTCTTCAAGTGCCGCCAAAGTGGGAGCCCAGGCAGAGGAGGCGCCGAGAGCGAGCAAGGGCTGTGAGGACTGCCAGCACGCTGTCACCTCTCATTACCTCTGTCACTTCTAATATTGGTAAGTTGTGTCTTATAACTTCCTTTTTTTTATTTTTTTGCTGATCAGTCTTGCTAGAGTTTTATGAATTTCAACTGATCTCAAGAAGCCAGCTTTGATTTCACTAATTTTCTGTTGGTTGGTTTTCTCTTGATAGATATCTAGTTTGTTCTGGATTTTTCTTAAACACTCAATAAGATAAGTTTTGCTTTTGAATCTTTAAGATTTTGGATTATGTATTAATTTCCTATTTAGGCTGTAACAGATTATCACAAATTTAGTAGTTTAAAAAAAAAAAAACAAAAAACAGTAATTTATTCTCTTAAAGTTCTGGAGCCCAGAATCTTGAACAAAGTTTTATGGGGCTGGAATTAAGATACCAGCAGAACTTTGGCAGGGGACTCCATTGTTTGCTTATTTCAGATTCTGGAAGTCCCCACACTCCTTAACTCATGGCTGCATCACTCCAATCTCTACCTCCATAATCACATCTCCTTCTCCACTTCTTTGGCCAAATCTCCTTCTGCCTGCATGTTAAATTCTGAGTAAATTTAGGACCCATCCAGATATTCCATGATAATCTCCCATCTCAAGATCCTTTAATTTAATTGTATTTGCAAAGTCCCTTTTACTAAATAAATTAATATTCACAGTTTCCAGGGATTAGGCTGTGGATATCTCGGGAGGACATTTTTCAGCATACCATCGGTGACTATAGCAGTAGTGTCAATTGCAAGCAGTGAAACTGGTAATTCAAATACTGGCAAACTGTCCTCCGAAAAGTTGCAGCCACTTATTATAACACAATAAAATATGGGTTCCTTTTTCCCTGTGCTCTCATAAGTAGAATTTAATTTCAAACATTTGAATCTTTGCTCACCAGAGATGTGAATAATTTCATTATATTCTTATAAAATGTAAACTTCTTTCATTAGTAGATTAAATATATTCTTTGGTCTTCTGGTTTTAGAATCATGCTTAAAAAGTACATTTTACATTCTAAGCAACAAAATATTCTGTACATTTTCTTCCATTATTTTTAGAAACTCAATCTGAAATCTATCTGCAGTTTATAAATATTGATATAATTTTGTGTGTCTTAACTTTACCAAAATATTGACTTCATGATTTTTTAAAACATCTTTATCATTTTTAATTTTATTATTTATTTTGCTATTAGCCTTGGTTTCCTAGTACCTACTAATATCCTAATTTTGTTTTTATTTTGAATAAATTTATTTGAAGTGTTCTATGCCCATCTTTTTGCTTTCAGGCTTGTTGTGTTACTTTCATTTACACATTTGTATTATGTAACTTGAAGCTAGATTGTTGCTGTTTCATTTATTTATAAGTGAGTGATATTGTTTGTCTCTTGTCCCTACCCCAATCTCCTGTTGAATTATGATCTCCAGTGTTGGAGGAAAAGCCTGGTGGGAGGTGATTGGATCATGGAGGCAGATTTCCCCATTTTTCTCTTGTGATAGTGAGTGAGTTCTCATCAGATCCATGAGATCCGGTTGTTTAAAAGTGTATAGCACTTCCCCTTCACTTTCTGTCTCCTGCTGCCATGGGAAGATGTAGTTGCCTCTCCTTTGCCCTTCTACGATGATTGTAAGTTTCCTGAGGCCTACTCAGCCATGCCTCCCGTACAGCTTGTGGAACTATGAGTCATTTAAACCACTTTTTAAAATAAATTACCCAATCTCAGGTAGTTATTTATAGTAGTGTGAGAATGGATGAATACAGAAACTTGATACCAGGGAAGTGGGACATTGTTATAAAGATAACTGAAAATGTGGAAATGACTTTGGAACTGGGTAACAGGCAGAGGTTGGAATAGTTTGGAGGGCTCAGAAGAAGACAGGAAGATGAGGTAAAGTTTGGAACTTCTTAGATACTTGTCGAATGGTTTTGACCAAAATGCTGGTAGTGATATGGACAGTGAAGTCCAGGTTGAGGTGGTGTCTCAGAGGGAGATGAGGAACTTACTGGGAACTGGAGTAAAGGTCACTCTTGCTATGCTGTAGCAAAGAGAGTGGTGGCATTTTGCCCCTGCTCTAGAGATCTGTTGCATTTTGAACTTGAAAGAGACGATGTAGGGTATCTAGAAGAAGACATTTATAAGGAGAAAAGCATTCAAGAGGTGGCTTGGCTGCTTCTAAAACCCTGTGATTATTTGCATAAACAAAGAAATGACCTGAAACTAGAACTCACATATAAAAGGGAAGCAGAGCACGGAAAAATGCCTCCAAGGCATTTCAGAGACCTTTGCAGCAGTCCCTTCTATCACAGGTCAGAAGGCCTAGGAGGGAATAATGGTTTCATGGGCCAGGCCCAGGGCCTTGTTGCTCTGTGCAGCCTCAGGACATGGGGCCCTGCATCCCAGCCACTCCACCCTTAGCTGTGGCTAAAAGGCACCAAGGTATAGCTCAGACCATTGCTTCAGAGGGTGCAAGCCCCAAGCCCTGATGACTTCTATGTGGTGCTGGGCCTGTGGGTATGCAGATGGCAGGAGTTGAAGTTTGGAAGCCTTTACCTAGATTTCAGAGGATGTTTGGTAATGCCTGAATGTCCAGTTAGAAGTCTTCTGGAGAGACAGAGCCCACATGGAGAACCTCTACTAGGGCAGTGAGGAAGAAAAATGTGGGTTTGGAGTCCCCACACAGACTCCTTACTGGGACACTGACTAGTGCAGCTGTGAGGAGAGGGCCACTGGCCATCGTCTTTCAGACCCCAGAATGGTATATCCACTGACAGCTTGCACCGTGCACCTGGAAAAGCTACAGACACTCAATGCCAGCTCATGAAAGCAGCTGCAAGGATGGTATCCTGTAGAGCCATGGGGTGGAGGTGCCTAAGCCTTGGGAGCCCACCTTTTGCATCAGCACGCCCTGGATGTAAAACAGGGAGTCAAGGGAAATTATTTTGGAGTTTTAAGACTTAATGACTGTCCCGCTGGGTTTTGGAATTGCATGGGGCCTGTAGCCCCTTTGTTTTGGCCAATATCCTCCATTTGGAATGGGAGCATTTACCCAATGCCTGTATTCCCATCATATTGTTTTTGGTTTTACAGGTTCATAGGTGGAAGAAACTTGCCTTGTCTCAGATGAGACTTTGGACTTCGACTTTTGAGTTAATGCTAGAATAAGAGTTTGGGGGACTGTTGGGAAGGTATGATTGTGTTTTGAAATGGGAGAAGGACATGAGATTTGGGAGGGGCTGGGGGAAGAATGATATGGTTTGACTGTCCTCATACAAATCTCATTTTGGATTATGATCTTCAGTGTTGGAGGAGTGGCCTGGTGGGAGGTCACTGGATCATGGGGGTGGATATTCCCCTTGCTGTTCTTGTGATAGTGAGAGAGTTTTCATGAGATCTGGTTGTTTAAAAGTGTGTAGCACTGCTGCCTTCTCTCTCTCTCCTGCCACCATGTGAACATGTGCTTCCTTCCCCTTCACCCATCTGCCATGATTGTAAGTTTCCTGAGGCTTCCCCAGCCATGCCTCCTGTACACCCTGTGGAACTGCGAATCAATTAAACATCTTTCCATTGCAAATTACCCATTCTCAGGTAGTTGTTATCACAATGTGAGAATGGACTAATACAGTGAGTTTTTCAAATACATCTTTGACTTGATTCTGTCATCTTATTTTATGCTTTTCTTTCATTAGCATTCTATTTTCTTATATTTTTTCTTTTTCTTCTGTCACATTAAAGCATATCATTTAATTTTATTTCTTCTGGCAGTTATGTTTATTACTTTAAATGACATATTTAATACTTTTTAAAACAACTATTAGTGTCAGAACAGAAAGAGTATCTTATTGCTGTCCTGAGGATGAAACATGAAAAATATTAGTGATCTTTGAGGTCCCCCTACTACATTTATCATGCTGTGGTCATCCGACAACAACTTCACTGATTTTCTTAGTTTATTATATCTATTCTGTTATATGTATATTAAAATTATACATAGTTGCATTATAATTACAGTATTGTTTAGATTACTGTCAGAGTGCAGTTCCACCCAGCCTTCAGTTCTTTCATAAATAATGGGGCCTACATAGATTACCTCTACTTCTCTGAAGTCCATTTTATCTTTTTCTGCATATGGAAAGAGCATGGATCAGAGAAAGGGCAAACTTCATTCTCATTTAAGGGGGAATGATGATGACATTTGGAATTTAGTCTCTGGTGATTGGCTCATGTATTTTTAGTGTGGGGATCAGGGTCTATGCCTTTTCCTTGGGTTCAACTGCAGGTCCCTTTTCTTCCTCAACCTGGCTGCTTCCTTTCTGTCTGTAGATTATCACTTAAATTTTTAGAATTTAACCTCTTCACATCTTTCTCTACATTACTTTTCAATTATACTCTATTTATGGAAATTTAACTACCTGTATTGATTTTATTATTGTGTTACTTATAGAGGAAATTCTAGCATTATTAATTTGAATAAAAAATAAAATCCTATAAAATAAATGTCTTTTTAGTATTTATGTATCAGTTCTTTGAGAATTTTAGAGACAGACGTTAATAAGAAAGCCATGTTACATATATTTCCCTTTCTAATTTCCATAGTTCATTCAGAGTTTAAAGGCTATTCCTTGAAATTCAAACAACAGGAAAATAAAAATTCAACCTAGAAGATATTTTTGTCACATATAAACCAATATACTAAATGTATAAGAAAGCTGCATATGCAAAATCTATTTTACTTGTGTAGATGCTTTTGTAAGGGGCCAGAGATCCCCTTCAAACCCCCTTAAGTTTTTATGTGTGCTCTTTAGCTAGATCAAGAAATCAAATTGACACCAGGCAGATGAACAAGAAAAAAGCATGCAAATTTTTATTAATTTTGCATGTACACAGGAATCTTTACAAGAGAATGAACTCCAAAGAAGTAGCCAAAGGAAGATGCTATTATATTTTTTAGGCAAGGAACAATAAATTTGAAAAAAATGGCAGGACAAAGGGAATCTATCTAGAGACAGCAAATTTTGAGAGGAATCACTAAGAGATATATGGGGTGGGGGAGGTGTAAAACCAGTGGAAGACAAGGTTTACTTCAATAAGTATGTTTATTCGGGTCCGTGGCAGTGCTCAATTCAAGTCTCTGGTGAAAAGGGCTATTTTCTCACCCTGGTATAGGAAGGGTATCCCTGCCAGAGGAATCTTTTTTTTTTTTTTTTTTGAGATGGAGTCTTGCTCTGTTGCCCAAACTGGAGTGCAGTGGCATGATCTCGGCTTACTACAACCTCCACCTCCAGGGTTCATGCCATCCTCCTGCCTCAGCCTCCTGAGTGGCTGGGATAACAGTTACCTGCCACCATGCCCGGCTAATTTTTGAATTTCAGTAGACATGGGGTTTCACTATGTTGGCCAGGCTCGTCTCGAACTCCTGATCTCAGGTGATCTTCCCACCTCGGCTTCCCAAAGTGCTGGGATTACAGGCATGAGCCACCATGCCTGGCCCCAGAGGAATCTTTACAGCTTGCTGCATGCAGGAAGAGATAGGTCGGCTAGCCATTTCTGCAATTACAATTTCTCCAATGTTTTCAGCTTGAGATAATCAATATACCAATTCAGCATATTTGGGGATGGCACATCCTTCATTCATTCAGAACTTAACATTCATATCTTAGATAGGTATTTGAATAAATGCAGAGTCCTTAAAAAGTAACTAGGTAGATTGATATCAATTATTTCATTAATTGAGTCTTTGCATAGTAGAGAAATATAGAAAGTTATTTCTATTCTATTTTCTGCATTATTTAAAAATTTTAAAGTATGTGTAACATGTAATGCTGGATCTTTTCAAGAAGTTTATAACTTTGAATAACAGTCATCCCTCGGTATTTCCCCTGGACAAATGTGAAAATCTGCTGGATGCTCAAGTTCCTTACATAACATGGTGTAGTACAATTTTGATTTGCAGTTGGTTGAATCTGCAGATGTATAATTCATAGCTCTGGAGGGGTGACTGTATTTTTCTCTCTTCTTCTCTACCTCTCTCTTTCTCTTTTTTCTCCTTCTTTGCCTTTCTGTTCCTCTTGTCATTCTTTTTGACAATACTCCCATTTCATTTGAAGTTCTTATAGTCCTTAATATCTATACCAGTTTATGCTGCATTAAAACTGTAGATGAGGCAAAATAGAACAATAATATAATAGTGGCTGTCAGCAATAAAAATATGCATTCCATTAGAAAATATGTATATGTGTTTTCTCAGGTGGAAAGTAAATATCTCCTTCTGTAGTAACTTCTTTGTCCACACAGTTAATTACCTGCTAGATTATTAGAATAAGAACTTGTTCTCATCCAAAATATTGGTATATTCACCAAGAGCCGCATTATAGAAATATATGTTGGAACTGTGTCTAGTTGGGGCAATGTCAGAGTTTCAAAGAAATTCATAAATAGGGAACTAGAGAGGGAAGTGATTCTTAAATGCTTGTTCTGAAAAAATGATGATTTTTCTCAGCTTGAACCCTTATGAAACCATCCCTCCCATCAATGTCAGAGAATGACTTGCCTTCTTCTCAGTTGTTTTCTTTTTCCAAATCGATTAACTGGAATAGAATGATGTCTCACAGTTTGATTCCTACTTTCTTAAATTTTAGAAGAAAGTAATCAGAAATTTTCAGTTCTGTTAAGTTGTGGTATGATGTGAGTGTACGTGGAGTATGCATGTTTGTGTGTTCTGTTCAGACAGAAATAGAGAAAAAGAGTAAAACAAACAATGATGGAAAAACTAGTCAAATTTAAGTTCCTAGAGTATTATAGGCATCAAAGATTTGGCTGTTGTATTTTGAGAAATTAAATTAGGCTCTTACTAATATACAATCAACTTTTCATTTTTGTTCCTTTGAATATCATCTAAAGTTTCTTACTTTCTGTCTTGCCAGGTTGGGGTTTATAGACTAGATACTTGCCATTCAGTAAATACCTATTTCTTTCTGTCTTTAATTTCGATATATGGATAGTAGATAGGTATAAATTAGCTATAGATAAATAGATATAGACATACATATTTCCCTTATATAGTTTATACATACATACAGATACATACATATACCTTTTATATTTCACAGAAAAAAATACATAGACAAGGATGTAAATGATTTTGAATCTTTGTTCCACAGAGATTTTAATTACGAATTACCTTCATTTTTAGAGACAACCTCAGGCTTAATGCTTATTTCTTTTTGTTCCATCCAAATAGAGAATGTCAGATATTGTGTCATTGGAAATGGGGTTGAGATAAAGTGGAATTTTTGGTAAGTAGGGTAGGGAAGGAGGAGCTTGAGGAGGGAGGCACTATGACATATATTAATATATATTAAGTAGTTACCGTGGGCCAAGCACTGTATGGTATACCATTAAAATTATTTCTCAGAATGCTGATTGACTTCAAGCATTTTATGTCTTCCCTCACTGATGCGGTATCATAAACCTTGATAATTATGCCCTGATTATCACAATATTTGGATTGTCCTAAAGCAATAGTATGGAAAATTGAGACTCAATCTGGAATAAACAGAAGTATGGGTTTGGTAGCCCCCAGAGATCCCTATCTCCTGATATTTACACTAATGTTGTGTCTCCTCACCCAATGTACCAGTGACAAATGTTGGCCAGAGTAACCATAGAATATCTCAAAACTGATGCCAAGTCCTGAGATTGGGGTATAAAAGGCAAAGATGACTTCCTTCTTGGTCTCTCTCTTTCTTTCTCTCTGGAAATATTAATACTGTCTCTGGGTGCAACTGGCTGCCATGTTATAAGCAGCCCTTTGGAGAAACCTACCTTGTGAGAAAATGTACCTTCCTTCCAGTTATGTGTGCCAGCTTGAAAGCCCATCTCCAGCTGTGCTCAAACTGTCAGTTGATTGCAGTCTTAGCTGAAAGCTTTATTGAAGCTCACGAGAGACCAGAATTACCTAGCAAAGACACATATCAATTCCTGGTCCTCAGAAACTATATGAACAATGTGGTGGGTAGAATAGTGGCCTCAAAAGATACATTCCTAGAACTGATTAATATGACATTATTTGGAAAAAGTATCTTTTGCATATGTAATTGAGTTAAGAATCTTGAGATGAGATTACCGTAAATTAGGGTAGCCCTTAAATCCCATGAGTCCTTATAAGATGAGAGAGGAAAGAAGAAAAAAGACAAGTATAGAAAAAGGCAATGTGAAGATGGAGGCAGAGATTAAAGTGATGAGGCTATAAGTAAAGGAACATCAAGTATTGCCAGAGACACTAGAAGCTAGGAGTGAGGCATGGAATTGATTATCTATCAGAATTTACACAAGAAATCAACCCTGCTCATAACTTGATTTTAGACTACTAGCCACTGGCACTGTGAGGGATTAAATCGCTGTTGTCATAATCCACTTAGTTTGTAGTAATTTGTTATGGAAGCCCTAGGAAACAAATATAGATAAAAATAATTTTTGTCTTCAGCTGCTAAAATTTGGTGTAATCTGTTATTCAGCAATAGCTAAGTAATAACAGGTTTTGATACCTGGAATTATCATGCTTTGTAACAAATGCCTTAATGCGAGAGAAAGTCTAAATTGCATTGAACAAGCATTAGAAAAATTTTGGTCTTTTATCAGGCTACCACTGAGAATTTAAAGAATGTGAGGCAAATCTTCTTGGGAAATGGAAGAAAATAATTTCCTTTTATGTGTTGACAGAAAAGCTAGCAACATTCTTGCCTACAGTTGGCAGGAAATTAAAATGTATCAAATGAACTGGGTGATTTGGCTAAGGACACTCCTAGGTAGAGTGTAGAATGTACTTGCTACTATCTCCTTGGTGTGGTTAGTAATTGTGAGAGTGGAGAGCTAAACTAAAGGAGGAGGTCTTTCGAACATGACAGATAGAAATGATAACTTTGAAAACTATCAGTTTCACCCAATGACAGATAATGCTAAAATTTAAAAATGCCTTTTGAGCAAAGATGAATTCTAGAGCTCTATATGAAAAAGTATGAACTAAATATAAAGCCAAGAGTATGATTATAACATTTTTATTAATACTTAAGTCTAACCAATAGTGATATTTTAGAGTATTGTTCAGTTAGACAAAACTCCTTCTAAAGAATTTAAGGGAACAACTCACAGATACTCTCAACAAAACAGTAGGACTTGTGAAAAGCTCAGGGGTGTTCTCTCTCAGCAGAAGCTCAAATTAGTTAGAGAAGGGCTTAACTAGAAGAGGTTTGTGGGTGTGGTTTTTGTCTAGATCCACTTCTATTTGTCTATAGATCAAGGGAACCTAACACAGATTACAGAAGCTTAAGCCTTGAGCTGATATTGTAACATGATGAGACTTTTAGGTCTTTTGAGAGATGAGTGCATTTGCATGGGGTACAGGCATAAATCATCGATGTACAAAGGGCACAATGTGGTAGTCAGCCTCCAAAATGACCCCATTTGTCTCCCCTGCCACACTATACCAGTGTTTTCTGTGTGACCAATAGGATACAGTGGAAATGATGAAATGCCATTTCTGAGATTAGTTTATAAAAGACACTGAGCTTCTTTATTGGTCAATATCTCTCTTATAATATCTCTCTTTAATTGCTCACTTTGGAGGAAGCCGGTCACCATGTTGTGAGAAGGTGTATGGAAAGATTCACATAGAGAGGAACTGTCTCCTATAAACAGCCACAGATGTGAGGCTGGAAGCAGGGATCTCCAGACCCAAGCAAGCCTTCAGTTGACCTCAGTCCTGGTCAACAGCTTGATTACCACCTAATGAGAGACCCTACACCTAACCACTTAGCTAAGTCACATCCGATATCCTGACTTCCAGAAACTATGAGATAATACATATTCGTTGTCTTTAGATACAAAGTTTTGAGGCACTGTCTTATACAAAAATAGATAGTGCATTAGAAAAGCATTCAATGATGAGATTAGCAATAGGTAAAAGGAAAAGGAAAGCTTCCTTGATACCAAGAAAAAGGGATATTTCTTTTAGCCTGCAAGGCTAATTGTCCTGTTAAGGTCAAAAATCATTTCTTTTTTTTTTTTTTTTTTTTTTTTTTGAGATAAGAGTCTTGCTCTGTCACCCAGGCTGGAGCACAGTGGCATGATCTCGGCTCACTGCAACCTCTGCCTCCCGGATTCAAGCAATTCTCCTGCCTCAGCTTACTGAGTAGCTGGGATTACAGGCACACACCACCACGCCCAGCTAATTTTTGTATTTTTAGTAGAGACGGGGTTTCACCATGTTGGTCAGGTTGGTCTGGAACTCCTGACCTCATGATCCGCCTGCCTCAGCCTCCCAAAGTGCTGGGATTACAAGCGTGAGCCACCGCGCCAAGCCCAACAATCATTTCTTTAGTGTCTATCAGTTCTTGTCAAGTTGCTAGAAACCTAAATGCTAAAATATAAACACTGCATAGTTAATACCTTTGCAAGTTATAATCTAGAAACACAGGCCTGTTTGCTGACTTGTTTCTCTCTATCCTTTGTTTCCTTTCTATCTGTCTCCTTTCCTCCCTCTCTTCCTTTGTCCTTTTGTCCTTCTTTCCAAGCTTTGTTTCTCCCGTGTTTTTTCTCTGTCATGATCAAGTGCTAAATAGAAAGTATTCTGTCATCAGGATCTTTATTTCTACTTTTGGAAGGAAGTCAGTCCTTTATTGAATGCTATGAGGCATGCTCACTTCCAGATAATAAATCATTTATTCGGCCGGGCACGGTGGCTCACGCCTGTAATCCCAGCACTTTGGGAGGCCAAGATGGGTGGATCACAAGGTCAGGAGATTGAGACCATCCTGGCTAACATGGTGAAACCCCGTCTCTACTAAAAATACAAAAAAAAAAAAAAAAAAAAATCAGCAGGGCTTGGTGGCGGGCACCTGTAGTCCCAGCTACTCGGGAGGTTGAGGCAGGAGAATGGCTTGGACCCGGGAGGCAGAGCTTACAGTGAGCTGACATCACGCCACTGCACTCCAGCCTGGGCGACAGAGACTCAGTCTCAAAAATAAATAAATAATAAATAAATCATTAATTCGAAACCCAAAGCAAACCAAATATCAAAATACCATTAAGAGCAATCGACCTATACTGACAACGAAGAATAATAGAAGTTTTGGCATTTTTTTTAACAAACATAACCAATTTTGTATTAATTTTCATTAAAATTGCAGTGGCAAAATTAAAACACATATTTAAGATTTATGTGTGTCCTTTTAATTGAGCAGTCATTTAGCCATATTTCATTTTGGCTTAGTTGTTTCAAATACATTTGGTGATGTGACATGAGGTCTGTTATATGTTTATAAACATAAACTGATTAACTGATAAGAAACTGCAGAATGCTGTAGGGTATTGCAGTTGACTATGCATACTTGCTTAGAATCCAAAAGGCAAAGAGCAGATGGGTTGAAAATATGATATGGAATGACAATGTAGCACCTTCAAAAGGTGCTGGAGGATTGTTCTCTTAAAAAATCAGAAATACCATATTGCTCAGAATGGACTTCTTTAAAAGAAAATCTAGAATAAATATTCACAAAATTTTTTTCACTATCAAGCCTTCTTTCAAAATAAATCATGTAACACTGGTTATTAAGAATAAATAACGTGACCCAGGCATGTCTCTAAATATCTGCTGATTATACACACACACATATTTGTATGTGTATATGTTCAAATATACATACACACACGCAGATATATATACATTTATACAAACTTATCTATATATAAAAGCAATTTGGTATCTGCAACATAAAAGATACTTAAAGTTTATACTTTTCTACTGAAATTATGATTTCAAATTATTTATACTAGAAAAAATTGTTTATGAATCTTTTCCTCAGTTTGGGGATGAATTCAATTTTCTCTTTGTTTTTGAAAATTTTAAGCAACATCTGTTCTTAATTTTTTGAGACATTCTGTAGTTCAAAAGTATCATTGTGTACTATTTTAAATAGCATTTAGATTCAGAAACTATTTCTGTACAAACACATGTGGCAAAATTTTACTGCTGCTTGAAAAGATAGTGATATATTTTAAAAGCAAAAATACAGAAAAGTGTGATACTATTATAATATTACTGATAAACTTTAAAAAAAAGTAAGGTGGCATTTTTTATTCAGCTTTGGCCCACTTTCTATCCTCATGCTTTTTCTCTTCAGTTTTGGAATATATTCTTTTAATGAATCTGTAAAGAACACAGAAGAGAAAATATGTATTAAATACATGTTATATATATGAAATATATAAAGTTATGTACTAGCATAACTTGGGAGATATTGTGGGTTTGGTTCCAGACCACCACAATAATGCAAATATCTCAGTGAAATGAGTCACACAAATATTTTGATTTCCCACTGCAAATATAAGTTATGTTTACCCTATACTGTATTCCGTTAAGTGTGCAATAGCCTTATGTCTAAAATGTAATGTGTGTATCTTAACTTAAAAATGCTTTATTGCTAAAGATTGCTGATACAGAGATACAAAGTAAGCATATGCTGTTGGAAAAATGGCACTGATAAGTGGCTCCAGGTAGGGTTCCCACAAACCTTCAATTTGTTAAAAATGTAATATCTGCGAAGAGGAGTAAAATGAGGTATACTTGTATTGTGTAATTCACATGTATGAGATACAAAATAAATTATATAATATATAAGTGTTTTAGATATGTATATATCTGTGTGTGTGTTATTTGAAAAGTAATGCTGATTATTCATTGTAACTCAATTGAAGATTGCTAATTATTTCTCATTTTCTTACAAGCTGAAGCCCTTTGGTTTGGAAAATATAATAACAAACTTATATGCTAGGCAAGAATATTCCTGAGAAGTTATATATTGGTATATATGTTATGTATATATGTATACACATAAAAACAGAATATATATAAATATTCAAGTATATATATACTGCATATATAAATATTCAAGTATATATATACATATATACTGTATATGTATATATACATATATATGTATGTATATGTATATATATGTATATATGTATGTATATGTGTATATATATATATATACACACAGTAGGTATGTATATGTGTATATATATACACACAGTATATATGTATATAATTCAAGTCAGCTAGCGCCCATTAATGCCCATGCATATCAAATACATTTGATAATGTTGGTATCTAAAATAACAAGAGTACCAGATTCACTATCAGGGCATAGAGTTGGTATTACATATTAATGATGGCTTGTGTTCACCCAACAGATATTTATTAGCTGCTATGCACCAGGCAATATAATAAGCATTAGAGACAAAATGCTGGGTACAAATGAAACTGGTCCTCTACTTATGCAATTTATAATCTAGTGTTGGGATGGTCATTGATGGTATAATTTCATAAAATATATATGTTTAAACCTTTATATGTGATTTTAGTAAATAATCATTGGGTTCAGGGTCCTGATTTATGTTTACTACTACTAAGATCAATTTTCTCAACATTTCTGACACCACAGGTGTATGTGCTTTTTTCTCACACTACTCAATTTTCCAAGTCTCCCAACATCAAACGGGTGTCCTACAATTTAATTCAATTCTGACACTAACTCTCTGGATTATTGCAGACCCTACAGGTTAAGAGCTTAGTCACACAAGACAGTGCCAACTATGGATGCTGAAAACAAGTCTGGGCCACTTGTAATACTTACTGACTAGCTATAAAGTCATTGGTGAAGGAGGAGTTTTCCTATAACCCCCTCCTCAAATTTGATAATTCCCTAGAAAATCTTACAAAACTCAAGAAAATACTTTGTTTACATTTAATATTTTATTATTAAAAACGCAACTCAGGTACAGCCAAAAATTAAAAGATGCATAGGATAAAGTATGAGGGTCAGGGGTGTTGATTGTCTATGGCCTCTCTGGTCACACCATCCTTCCAGTACTTCAGTTTCTTCATTAACCCGAGAGTGCTTAGAGCCTTCTCCTACAGGGTTTTCATGAAATCTTTGTTACATAGGCACTAATAATTAAATCATTGGCCATTGGTGATTGGCTCAATTTCTAGTCCCTCTCCCAGCCTTAGCCAACTGGGATGGGACTGAAAGTTCCAACTCTCTAATAATGGTTCAGAAGGCAACCAGCTCCCATCCTAAAGCTATCTAGAGGCCCACCAAGAGTCATCTCATTAGCATAAATTCAGGTAAGATTGAAAAGAGCTTTTTTGTTGTTGTTGTTTGAGAGGGGGTTTCGCACTTGTAGCGCGATCTTGGCTCACCGCAACCTCCGCCTCCCTGGTTCAAGCGATTCTCCTGCCTCAGCCTCCCGAGTAGCCGGGATTATAAGCATGCGCCACCACGCCCGGCTAATTTTGTATTTTTAGTAGAGATGGGGTTTCTCCATGTTGGTCAGGCTAGTCTCAAGCTCTCGACCTCAGGTGATCCACCCACCTCAGCCTCCCAAAAAAGGGCTTTTTATGAATAAAAAAAGATGGTTCTCTCATCCTGATCACATGGGAAATTCCAATAGTTTTAAAATTTCTTGTGCCAGGAACCAGGTACAAAGATCAAATATATATATTTTATTATATCACAGTATCACAGTGTTCAAGGTCCCAGATGTTTTCTTTGAAGCAGTCAAGGTGTATCTGAGAACCAAGTGAGTGGTGATTAGGTTAAGAGAGAAACGATTTGTGTTCCTGAAGAAGAAAACATCGTTAAGGCCTTGAGCAACGTAGACTGTTTGAGGAACTAGGAATTTCTAGGTGGCTGGAATACTGAGATAGCAAGATGAAGAAAAGGATGATATGCCATTCATTTGAAGAGATCAAAATATTTAGAGCCTTAAAGGTATATGTAAATGTTTTTGTCTTTAATAGCAATGAAGAATAACTGAGGCATTTTCCCAAGATGGGAATAGGAGGAGGGCAGGATAAAGTTATTAGTTTATTTCTGTTTTGTTTGCAATGGAAAATGGATGAGAGAAAGCTGGTTAAGTTGATATTGAAGTAATCTAGTCAAAAGTTAATGCAAGTTTGGATTAAAACTGTGATGATAGAAGGTAAATAAAGAGAAGAGAATGAGTTTGAGCTTTACTTGGAACATTGTGATGGAGTTTCACTATGGATTAGATGTGAGGTTTGATCAACAAATGGATAGCGGCACAATTTATCCACAAAAATGTATCAACTTATTTTCCCCATTTTTCTTACAGTTCAAAAGCCAAATTCGATTAAATCATAATGAACAAATTTATCAGTGCCTACAAGCAGCCAGATATTGGAGGAAAAAAAAATCATGTAACTGTGACAACTTGTTTAATTTTAATGACCACACACTCAAATAAGCACTGAGTACGCAGTTCAACAATGTTACTTAGTTTCCCATGCGCTATCTTGAGAATGCTGTTCTATGACGCAAGCTTTCCCTCTAGAACTCAACCCACCTTGAAAATCTCAGCTGAATAAATCATCTTAAAATTCATTGAGAAATGAGAATGTATGTAAAAGCTATGCACTCACGTTCCAACCACCAAATTCTCAGGTTTCTGCATCTGTAAAGGTTTTCTGTCTTCCCTGCTGCTTTTATGGATGAAAGAAGTGAAGTGTCTCTGATCTTTAAAAATTAACCTGTCCAATTACCCAATTATTCCCTTGATCCTTTCTTTTTCCTTCTCATGGCTGTCACTTTTGCAATTATTTATTCCTCTTGCATATCACAAAACATTTCATCTTTATTAGATCATCTGTATTTACATGCAAAAAACATCTAGTAACTTCATCTTTAAAACAGGTTTTCCTTTAACTCCACCTCTTCTTCCAATTTCTGTTTCTCTATTCCCTTCCCTAACCAAACTTCTTAAAATAAATTTCTGTACTCATTATCTTTACTTTCTTACTTCTCAATTATTCTTTAATCCAGGTCAATCTAGTGCTAAAAACGTAGCTGTCAAAAGTTAAAAAATACTCTCAGTTGCCAAATCCAATAGTCACTTCTCTGTCTTTATTGCACTCAACATCTCTGCAATATTTAACATAGTTGACCAGTTTCTCTGTATGATACACTTGAATGTCTGCTACTGTGGTAGGCTGAGTAATGCCTCCCTCAACCAAAGATGTCCATGTCTAATCTTAGGATTTTTAAAATATGTTAATTTCCATGATAAAAATGACTTTGCAGATGTGACTCAAATCAGTTTTGAGAAGTGGAGATTATCCTGGACTATATGGGTAGGACTAATGTAATCACATGAGTCCTTTCGAGAGGGATGCAGGAGGGTCAGAGTCAAAGGTGTGACAATGGTAGTAGAGGCCAGGGTGATGCAGGGCCATGAGCCAATTAATTCAGAAAGCCTCTAGAAACTGAAAAAGATCAAGAAACAGATTTTCCCCTAGAACCTTCAGATGGAATGCAGCCTTGCTAAACTATTTTCGACTTCTGACCTCCAGAAATGTAATAAAATACACTTCTTTAAGCCACTGACTTCTTGAAGCCAGTGACTTTAAGCCGCTACATTGGTAGCAATATGTTACAACACCAGTAGGAAACTAATGCAGCTACTATGTCATCCAATATTCTGATTTTTCTTCTTATCACAATGGCTAATCTTTTTAGCCCTTCTTAACCAGCTGTTTCCTCCCCAGGGCTTGGTCTTGAGCCTTCATCTATTCACCATCTGTGTACTCTCCATGTGATCTCATTGTGTTTCAGTTGTTTTAAATGCTTTCTGTATGCTGATAACACTCCCTCCCCACTCTCTCACTTGATCTTTACACTGAATTCAAACTGCCCACTTTAAAGTTCTATGTCTAATAGGCACCTCAAACTCCAATGTAAAAGTCTTTCTCTCTTTAAATAGCACTGTGATCTTTCCAGAAGCTCAGAGCAATTCTCTAGTTATCATCCTGTATTCAATCTAAAATCAAATTGTGTGACAAGAACTTTACTAAAATATATCTTAAATCTATCCACATTATTTACTTCTTCTACCACTATCTTATTGCAAACCATAAAAACCCTGAATTATTAAATTGGTTCTACCTTTCCCTATTTTTTAAATTTATGTCTCTGTATTCCAATCGTCACACAGCAGTGAGAGGGACTTTTAAAATAAAACCGAGAATGATTTTACTCCCAGACTTAAAACTGCCAATTTCTTATCATCAATCTTAGAATTAAAGTAAACTTTTTTTACTATGGTCTTTAAGACTCTACAAAATGTTACCTCAAATGCTAAGGTTAGAAACTTGTAGTAGATGGTACTAGAAATGCATGCATAATATGGAGAGCTCTTAATGCTCTACTAAAAAATTCAAACTTTCCTCTGTGGTAAAAAATTTACTTGTAAAACAGAAGAGAACTTGTATTGCCACATTTGCCTTTTTGAATGATTCTGACACTCACAAGGGGGAATTACTGAAGTGAGAAAAGGTTGAGATATAGTTTAGTGTGAAGCCTGGGGGGAGCAGTTGGACCAGCAATGAGAAGCTTGTAGAAACACAGTGAACCAAACCACTCTTTCACCCTAATGTTTCTGCTCAAAGTTATATGGTCCTCTTATTTGTATACCTGGAAAGTTAGAGTTCAAAATAGCATTAATGGTAATCTAGATGATACATTTATTTTACAAATGAGAAAACTAGATTCTAAATGGTTAAAAGTCTTTCTTCAAGTCTCCTTAGAGAGATATATAATCTTGTAATTTTATTTCTATGTGTATATAATTATAAGCTTATTAAAGTATATAAGACTCTTTTACATCTTATAGAAGATTTTCAGCCTCTTAGGATACAGGAAAACAGTTATAATTCACCCATTTTTCAAAAAGGTAAGTAAAGTCAAGCATCTTACCTAAATAACTTCAGGCAAATAGCAAAAATAAAACCAGAATTTAGGTTTCCAGATTATTATTCTTCCTCACTTTATACTATATTGCATTACAAGTTCAGGGGATGCATTGTGCCACCAAACTCTACATATTGAATTTAGTGGTTCCTTCTCAGTCTCTGTGTCAGACTAAGAAGAATTCCATATTATCTGAAGATAGACTCTCTGAGAGTAGGATAGAATGAGCTAGGCTCATTAACATACATTTTATTTGATGTGGAAGCATATTTTGCATTAAAATTAAACTCAAATATTACTAGTTCATTTAACATTTTTTCTTCAAGCAGGAAATTTAAATGCCTATTAATGATATAATAAAAAAGAACAATTGTCTTTATGTTCAGTAAAGTACTATCTATAATATTTTATTTATATAGTATTATGCTTTCCATTTTAAGCTGGAAGATATAAAATAATTCTCATTTATATTAGTATTCCTTAGACAGTCTTTTAGAGAAGAATCCTAGGGAGATTGGAATAAGTCCTCAAATCATGAATACTAAGTAGATTCTGTGCAGCAGTGCTCAGATTAGCTTCTTAAAACTAGGTTGTCAGTAAAATACCTGATTAGCGTTGTGGGTTTTAAGAGCATTTGTTTCTAGCTTCTAAGGGAAAAATACTTGTTATTTATTTTTTTCAATAATTATTTATTGAGGAGCAGTTAATTTTGGTGAGTAAGAGCATAGGTTCTCTCACAGTCTGGTTCTGCAGTTCTGCAACTTTTTAGATATATAACCCTGGACAGGTTAATTAACCTCTCCATGACTCAGTCTTCTCATCTATAACCCTCCTAATGGGGTGGTTGTATTAAATGATCAGATTTTATAAACCACTTAGCACAATAAGGAAATGATTTTGTAAAGCACTCAGAAAAATGTGAATAATTATCATTTGTAAAATAAATCAGAAATGGTAGATGCATGTCTTCTCTCCCTCTTCTTCCCCCTTCCTTATTCCCTTCCTTTACTTTCTTTCTTGCCTACCTCTTCCTCACCTGATCCCTACAAAGCTTACAAAAACATCTCTGGAAGGAACTATTTTGAGATTGCACCAATAATCTCAAAGAAAGGGCAGAAAACTGGAACAATCAAAAAGTTTCCAGCACTTTTAGATGAGCAAAACTGCAAGCTGAGCCAGAGCACAATGACGCACTCACTTTCTCTCTTCTTTGCCCTATAAAATTTGAGGCATGCTTTGGCTCGGGAAATTACTTAGTCTTCAGCTGCTCCTTTAATTCATATCAGGTGAATAAAGCCTTTAACCTCAATTTGAGTCACATGAATTACATTTTTTCTTGCTACCCTCTACTAGAATTCAAGCTCATTGAAAGCATGAATACTGATAATTTTGTTCACCTTTGTATCTCTAGTGCTTAGCATACTGGCTGACACATGAAAGATACTCCATTTATACTTATTGAATAAAGGAATTAGTATCTACAATGTGCCAGGAACTGCAGTAGGCAGTGGTGATATCCCGACGAATGGGGCTGATAAAGCTTTCGCATCCATAGTCTTACTGTCTAGTAAGGAATACAGATAAGTAAACAGGCAATGGCAGGTTATGGTGGCAAGGACTATGATACAGACCATATGCCATCAGTGGCGTGTGCGTATGTGTATGTGTGACTGTGAAAGGTATTTACTGTCTAGGGATGCTGTCCAGTCCCCAAGATATGTGCCCAAGTGAGTTGAATAAACAAATTACTTTTTTTTAAGCTTAAGTAGGCATAATGTGAGCTTGTAAAGAGTTCTGGATGCATCAAACCCTAGAAGGTAAACAGATTTTTTTTTTTTTTGAGACGGTCTTGCTCTGTCACCAGGCTGGAGAGCAGTGGCACGATCTGCAACCTCTGCCTTCCAGGTTCAAGCAATTCTCCTGCCTCAGCCTCCCGAGTAGCTGGAATTACAGGCACCCGCCACTATGCCCGGCTGATCTGCCCACCTCGGCCTCCCAAAGGGCTGATATTACAGGTGTGAGCCACCGCACCCAGACAGATGAACAGTTTTTTAAAATGCACAAGAAAGTCTTACAGGAAGAAGCAATGTGAAGTACTTTAAGTAGTAATTAGTCAAAGAAGGAAGAGATGATAAACAGAGAGATTGTTCTAGGTGGATGAAATAATCACATAGCAAATAAAGCTCAGCAGCTATTTCTTACCACTTAGCAGAATTGTCTTGAAAAATTAGAGGTTGAAGAGCATGTTTGGTCAGTTTACAGTTGACCAATAGTTCACTTGACTTTTATACATTTGTATACTTCTTACCTTGCCAGTCTCATCTCTCATCTGTTCTAGATTATATATAATGAGGGGATGAGAGATGAGACTGTGAGATTGAAGAAGTAAGAAGTTTCTAGAACTTAAAAGGACATTATATACCATGTTAAATACTTTAGACTTAAACTTAAGGCCAGTGTAAAAAAAAATGCTGAGTATTCTTAAGCAGAGGGGTAATATTGTTTGATTTTTGCCTTTGAAAACTAATCAGGACCGCAGTACAAAAAATAGATAGCAAGTAGAAAGACCAGAAGTGGTAAGAACAATTAAGAAGTCTGTCAAAAATTTAGGAGGTCCTAAAATAGGAGAGTAGAAATGCAAATAAATGAAAGGAAATGGGTGGATTTAAGAGTTATTTAGGAGATACCATTGACGAAAGTCTGATAAATATTTTTTTGCCACAACCTAAAGTATTTAGAAAATGTATTTAATATCACTTCTCACTACATACACACATACACACACACACACACACACACACTTATAGGTGTATCTGTAAAAAGAAAGTTTCAGACAATATTATGTTATTCTAACATTTTCTATTGTATTTTTAAAATATTCACTATGATCCACTCAACTGATTTTACTACCTTTTATGTAATCATATTAAAAGACAAAAATCATTAATCTATGTGACTTTATGATTGATTGGATATGAGGAATCTATAAGCAGGAATATAAGATGGAAGAAACATTTTTTGTTCAGACAAATGTGTAAAGGTTAGAACTCAATTTATTTCAAAATGGATGCTTAGTTTTGGGGTTATATATATTTCTTTTACATCATTTGAAATTATTATTGGAAGTGTCTAGTACACAGCTACACATTGTTCTAGAATTTATAGAATAAGCTTGGGCTAGATAAGGATACGGAAGTTCTTAGTGATTAAGAGTACAGCCTGTGAATCCAAAATATCTATGTTTAATTTCTAACTACAGCACTTAACAGCTGTCAAACTATGGGAAAGCTAATTTTACTCTTTCCAAGCTTTCATTCCTATATGTCTATAATGGAGAAAATAAAATGAATGGTTGTCAGAATTAGATGGAAATAATGCATATGAAGTGTTTAGTGTGTAACTGGTATATAAGTGCTTGATAAATATTGGATATTATATTATTATTACTAATTCTACTATTCTTAAGAATCCCTGAATGCAGGGTAGATTCACAATTAGGAGGCTGCTTCAGTTCCTACTACCGAATATCAAGGGCCATATATGTTTGCAACATGTCTCTGCATGTGTAAGCTGATGACAACTGATTGTTACTTTCCTGCATGCAGTACTGTTAAAGGATGGAATCTCCTTACATAGGGAATTCCCAGTTTACACCAACTAATATGAGAAGAGCCAAATAATGATTCTTCAAAGCTGTAAATAATGCAACTCATGATTAATGGTGGCTTAAAGAAAGGAGTTTCTTTTTCTTACCCAAGAAGTTTATAGGTAGAGAGTTGGTTCAGTTGCTTAACAATGCAATTAAAGACACAGGCTTTTCCCATCTTCTGCTCTGCCGTTCTTAATGTGCTGACTTTCATCATTATCTTCATTGCCTGATGGTTTTAAAATGAACGCTTCAGTTCCAAACATATCTGGCTTGAAAGGACACAGAGAGACTAAAGGAAAAGACCATATGAGCAGTTTGCACTCCATTTTTAATCAAGAAAGCAACAGTTTTTTTAGAACATCACCCAGACGGCTATTTTACAGACTTTTTGGTCCAGATTGGTCACTCCTAGCTATTCAAAGTCTAGGAAGCTGGGGAATGATATCATCACACTTAATTTTGACAGTATTTCTTAAATTTAGCAGGCATTAGAATCATCCAAAGAGCTTTAAAAATACTGATTTATGGGTTCAGTTGTTTAAGCCTTGAGCTAGGTTTATTGCTGCCTTAAATAAAATAGGGATCATGTTCCAGGGTTACCTTGTTGCACATGAGGTGCCCTGGAGATGTGCATTATAGAAACTGCATAATCACTCAGAAGTCCCTACTGTTAGTAAGGAGAAAAGGGAAAAGAAGACTGTGTAAGCAATTAAATGTGTCTGCCACAAGTGGCTAATACAAAGCCTGGCAAACAGAATCTGATTAATCAGATGTCTGGACGAGATCCCAGAAATGGACAGGGACCAATTCCTGTGGCGGTTGTCTACTAGATTTGGCTGGGGAATGTCTGATCTTAAGATAGATTTAAAAAAAGTAAATAAGGGTATGCCCTTTTACCAAATAGCTTCCTAATAAATGTTTTTAGCACATGAGAAATTTAGGTTAGTTACATTTTTTAAAATCAATCAAGGTATGTTCATCTACATGGCAACATCTTATCCATGGACAGCAAAGAATAGCCTGTCAATCTATTGAGGCATTAAGTGGGCTTAAACAAAGTACTATGCCAAGTCAACATTTAGGGGATGAACAGAGAAAGAGATCCCTGAGAAGAGATTTGAGAGATGGGAGAGAAACAAAACAATCTCAAGGGAACGCAAAGTCAACAGTTTACCTACTGCTGGCAGATTAAAATGATCAAAGTTTTGGGTTTATCTAGCAATGAGAACATCACTCATCAGTGATTGATTTATCAGTGGGTGATTTATAGTAAAGCAATTACAATGAGATATTTATGGATAGAGTGTGACAGTGGTTGGGTGAATAAGAGTTAAGTGCAAGTTGCAAGGTTGAGGATTCTTTCAATATTTTTATGTGTAAAGATGAACATAGTAATAGCTCATGAAAAACATGAGTTGATGGAATTTTTAGTCTCATCTCCTAAGGTGTGAAAGACCTGAGATTGCTTGAATGCTGTTTGGAATACAAAAAGAGAGGAACAGAGTGTAGTAGCAGAGAAGTATAGGAAATAAAGAAGCTAATAGATAAAGGGCAAGCCTCCTGAGGAAAGAAAGGAAGACCACACATTCAGAAAAGGAAAGGCATGAAATGACAGTCCTACAAAGTTCTACAAAGTTTACAAGTTTGGCCCTCGGCTGGCATCAGGGAATATGGATATCAGGAGGGTTCCCACCATTCTCAGGAATAATCAGCTTGGCTCACAATGCCTAAGACCTTTGTTCAAACAATATGGTTTATGATGAAGACCTACTTTTCTTCTAGTAGTCTGAAATTTCGACACGTTAGGAAAGGAGTGCCTGTGTGTCACCAGCCCCCAACAAAAAATACTTAGCACTGAGTTCCTAATGAGTTTCTCTGGTACACAGACATTTCTCACATGTCATCAGAACTCATTGCTAGAGGAATTAAGGGTGTCTGGTGTAACTTCACTGAAAAGGGACTCTTAGAAGCTTGTGCCTGGTTTCCTCTGAACTTTACCCCCTTCCCTTTTTCTTTTGCTAATGTTCCTGTGTATCCTATCTTCTGTAGTAAATCATAACCATGAGTTTAATTATATACTGAGTCTTAGGAGCCCTTCTAGTGAATTGCTGAAACTTGATGTGGTCCTGAGGCTCCCGGAAACACTGTGAATGAAAAGCACAGGTTGCAGTAAAAGGTAAAGGATGCCCGTTCCACTGCAACTGGAAGGTAGGGGTCAGGTTAGCATAACAGATTTTACTGAAGGAAATTGAGTTTGAAAGGGCACCAGAAGATCTTAGGTAATTGAAAAAAAATGAAGGTTAAAAATAATGACTATAGATTAAGAGCATTAATTAGAAAAATATAAATGGATTGCCATAAAGCACTGATAGCGTGGTTGCATTGGAAATCATGAGTTCCTAAGAATGCAGTGGGGTGTGTATGTGCATGTGTATGTGTGTGTATGCACACACTTTAATTCAGCAGCTCTGAGAATCCTGTGTGCAGTCAGAACAGTTGGTTAAATTGTTTTAAGGTCAGAGATTTACTAAGTATTTGCAATATAATGATGAAAGAAACATTTATTGGAAAAGAATTTATGTGATGAGTCATAGAATTTTAGCTTGGTAGAAAAAAGATAAATGCTGTCTCAAAAAAAAAAAAAAAAGAATTACGCAGTTTCAAGCCAATGAATTCCTGGAGCCACTAGAATGTGGATGGGGCAAGAAAGGATTCTCTCCTTCAGACTTCAGAGGAGTGTAGCACTGCAATATCTTGATTTTGGATTTCTGACCTCTAGAACGGTGAGGATAAACTTTCTGTTGTTTTAAGCCAGAAAAACTGTGGTAATTTATTACAGCATCCCTAAGGAACTAATACAATAATTATGAGAAAATATGGCTAAATTAGAGTGATATGAAAATATTAAATATGAAGAAATCAAAGCCATGTGACAGAATGATATGGATTCTATTATACATGTGGAGTTTTGTGTCTCCCAGAATGAACAGGGAATCTGGAGAGTAGAAAAAAAGGCAATTAAGGGCCAGGAATGGTGGCTCACACCTATAATCCCAGCACTTTGGGAGGCTGAGGACTGCAGACCATCGGAACTCATCTGAGTTCAAAAGCAGACTGGGCAACAGGGTGAAACCCTGTCTCTACAAAAAAAACACACAAACACACACACACACTAGGTGTGGTGTGCACGCCTGTAGTCCCAGCTACTCAGGAGGCTGAGAAGGGAGGATCACTTATGCCTGGCAGGCAGAAGCTACAGTGAGCCGAGCACTCCAGCACAGGTGACAGAGCAAGAACAAGACCTTGTCTCAAAAAAAAAAAAAAAAATTAGGGATAATCCAAAAATCCAAAAGTAATCTATAGCACAATATATGAATGGATTTATAAATTATAAAATGTTATGCAAGTAAAATATTTATATTGGAAAATTTTTAATGTGATGAGAACATAATTATGTTTATTAAAAATAATTGCTATTGTTTTATTTCAAATATATTATTTCACTTCATTAATGACAAATATCTGAATGCATTAAGTTTTACTTTTAGATGCCTAAAAATGAAAGTCTGAGAATTCCAAAATTGGCATAACTGATTCCTAAAATAAAACAAACCAAACCCAACAAAAAGCCAAACCCAAAAAGCCACTTTCCATGCAGTATACAGTGCCACCACACTCAATTACAACCACTAAAATATTCCAATTTTTATATTGCAGTCCTGGGAGCTTTGAAAAAATATTTGTTGTGTGCCTGATATCATACATTAAATCTTCATCTCCACCTGTATATTCATTTTCAAATAACTTAATTGACCTCCAGGAAATTTTATAAGTCAATTCTGGGCAGTATACAATTTGGCCAAGTTTGTTGGACCTACAAGACTGTTCTCCTTCACATTCAATAGATCTTCTTGAGTCAAGAGAGGAATGTGCAAGGAATTTGATAATTTTTCTTCCCATAAAAATGAGATTTGCCCCTGGGTTTTGTGTAAAATGTCAAACAAGTGATTTAAATTATGAGGGGCTGCTTTTTTAAACCTAACAAATGCTTTATGGGGTCATTTTGTCTAATTGTTGTGGCATCTTTCAAATATCATATAAAATACCATATCATTTAACACTTTCTTAATCTATAAAATGGTGTGATACATTTTAACAGCTCTGCTTTATACTTGGCCTTTCAAAAGCATCATGCTTTATGGTCCATCAGCTACATAGTGGCAATAATCGCAGATGTTTTGTGCATGGTAGAAGCTGTGCTCAGAGCCTTTCATTTCACTTGCATAAGCTCTGGACAAAAAATAAGTAAAATCTAATGAATGCCAAGTCTAGGAAAATATAATATTAATGTGCAGTAGAAATAGATGAAGCCACATACATACACTTTTTAATTAAGACTGGCTAATTTTCTTCACTGTATCATAGTAATTATACCAACTTATTCTTATAACTATACAAATATCTACCTATTTGAAATACATATACCTACATTAGGAAACACAAAATTTTGCCCTAAAATAGCTATAGATTTTTATTATTACAATTGATGTCTGTTATTTACACCTGAAAGATAGTCATGTATATGGTGCTTTTCAAAAACTAAAACAATGTTGATGATCATTCGATGAATTAAAAATTATTTGGAAGACACAGTAGTATCTAGAATAACGTCATGGAAATGACAATGTCAATTACAATACTCTAAAATGACCAAGAATGTAGATTACAGACCTATGCAACTAGAAACTGTTCATATCTATATAACAATAGATAATTGTGATAGAAAAATAGATGACCATCAGTTCCACTATTTTCTTATACTTTTATTATATCTCATTATTTTAATATATGTAATCTACTATATGCAAATAGAAGAATAACCTACTTTTTCCTTTTTTATTCATTATATTGTTTGAATTGTCATAGGCAAATCAATCACATAATGTTATTTTCTTCCTTTCTCCCTTTCTTTCATTCATGATTTTGCACTAATTAATTTATTTGTGGTATCTAATATTTTTAAGGATGTTTCTAAACTAAATACAGTAAGTCCTTACTTAATGTTGTTGATATGTTCTTGGTAACTGTGACTTCAAGTGAAATGAAGTATAATAAAACCAGTTTCACCATATGCTAATGGATATTAACAAGAGTTAAGTTCTTATAGCATATTTCTGATCACAAAAACTCATCAAACTTCTAAATAAAATCTGAAATGCTTATAACATTAAACATTGAAATGAATGTAAGCTATGCATATATTTAGAAAAGATGAATAAAAACAACTCAGATGACTTTTTACCCAATTATTACAGTTCAGGGTCATGGGGGCCACAGTCTGTTCCCGCAGCTCATCTTTGGGATGTGGGAGGAAGCTAGAGGACCAGAAGAAAACCCAAACAGACATAGGAAGAGCATGCAAATGAGTTATTTGAAGACCTCCTATTGTCCCGTCCACAGCCCCAGCTGATGAAAGCAGAATAGTATATCCCATGAGAATGGGTGGCACTAGCCAGGCGTGGTGGCACATGTCTGTAGTCCCAGCTATTTGGGAGGCTGAGGCAGAAGAATCTCTTGAACCCAGGATGGGGAGGTTGCAGTGAGCAGAGATTTTGCCACTGCACTCCAGCCTAGGAGCCTGGGCAACAGAGCGAGACTCTGTCTCAAAAAAAAAAAAAAAAAAAAAAGGAGAGAGAGAGAGAGTGGGTGGCATATTCTGAACCATGTGACCAATCAAATCAAACTGAATGAACTGAGGACATACAACTGACCTCACAACAGCCAATTTACGTTTTTCCACCAACTTCCAAGATAGCTTGTTTTGAAATGTTCTAGTCAAATTAAGATATATTTAATTGGATAATCATGTTTTACTGAAGTCTACCAGAATGAAAAATCTTCAGAGGGTAAATAAAGAACAGACACAAATAAAGGAATCAGTAACCAAGACATAGATTGGAGTTCATATTTATGAAGTGCTACTGCCGTGGTCTGTACAGTTTATGTGAATCTGTAAATACCTGTCTTTGTCTGAGGCCAACTGTATTTCAATTCCTTTTTGTTTTTGCAGAGTGTTAATATGTTTGCCTAGCTATGTGCATAAGATTATTTTCCAAAATGCCAGATGTTTCCTTATAATCACCTCTTAATTATTTTATGCAACTATGAAGCATTTAAAAATATTAAGAAACCAT
This sequence comes from Homo sapiens, assembly GCF_000001405.40. Lineage (NCBI taxonomy): Eukaryota > Metazoa > Chordata > Mammalia > Primates > Hominidae > Homo > Homo sapiens. The sequence continues at coordinate 191,703,974 of NC_000001.11, read as the reverse complement.
TTATTATCTACTGTGTTGAGCACTATCATGGCACAGATGCCGTGCATGTGATACATAAAAAAATGGAGGAAATCGGCCGGGCGCGGTGGCTCACGCCTGTAATCCCAGCACTTTGGGAGGCCGAGGCGGGCGGATCACGAGGTCAGGAGATCGAGACCATCCCGGCTAAAACGGTGAAACCCCGTCTCTACTAAAAATACAAAAAATTAGCCGGGCGTAGTGGCGGGCGCCTGTAGTCCCAGCTACTTGGGAGGCTGAGGCAGGAGAATGGCGTGAACCCGGGAGGCGGAGCTTGCAGTGAGCCGAGATCCCGCCGCTGCATTCCAGCCTGGGCGACAGAGCGAGACTCCGTCTCAAAAAAAAAAAAAAAAAAAAAAAAAATGGAGGAAATCACGTGATGTAAGAATGCAAAGAGAATCATGTATCCAGCCTGTGTAAATCAAGCAATGATTCCCATAGAAGGTCACATGTAGCTGAACTTGAAGGAAAAAAAAGTTGCAGACTTAATTTTTTTAATCAGTTTTAATAAAGTATAATTCACATACAATAACATGTACACATTTTAAGTGTACAATTCAGTAGGTTTTGATGAATATATACACATGTATTTATGTATATCAATTACTTCTGTTATGACTACAACCACAGTCACATTATGGAACATCTGCGTTGTCCCAAAAGCTTTTCTCACGCCACTTCCCAGTCAATCACTACCTTTCTCACCCAGCCGCAGACAAAACTGATTTACTAGCTGCCACTATAAATTAGATTTCTCTTTTCTGAGTTTCTTATAAATGTAATTATATAGGATATACTCTTTTGTGTCTATATTCACTTTGCATACAGTCTTTGAACATTGGAAAGGCCAAGAGAAAACTTCCCCTTTGCCCTCTCAAGGTTCACTGAAAAATCAACTAATAAAAGGTGGATTAAAAGGAGAAAAAGCACACAAATTTATTAATGAGCATGGAGGAAAACTACAGGGCTACGAAACCAATGGAATACAGAGGCTTACATACCATCTTGAGGTTACAGAAAGAATAGAGGCTTGGAACTTGGCAAAACAGGCTATGAGAGCGGGGAAAAGAGGAGGCCTGGCTAGTAAAAGTGGTTTTGTTATGTAGGCGAAACCTAATAGGTAGCAGTGCTCAGAAATAACAGATGACAAATATGTTTTTTTTTTTTCCAGAACTTTTACAGTGTCAGACCCTCAGTTAATATTTTCTAGATCTGAACAAGGGAAGGTCTCAGGGAAAGCCTGGCTGCTTCACTGTAGATTTTTCTCTATAGACACAAACAAACTCCCCAACAAAAAGCGGATTTTCATCAATTACTGTATTTCCAGGCCTTCTAAACAGCAAATCTTAAAATATGTTAAATAAGTCTATTTTGGGGTGAAATATTTTGGTTTCCTTCAACAGCCGCTCCTATTGTTACATAATTAATATATAGTAGTGTTCAGTTGTATAAACAAACCATAATTTGTTTAGCAATTTGCTAGCTGATGGACATTTGAGTTATTTCTAGTTTCGAGTTTTTACTAGTTTGGAACTATTATACATTAAGCTGCTTTAAATTTTTGTGTAAAAGATTATGTGTAGAAATATGTTTCTATTTTACCTGTGTAAATAGCCAGGAGAGAAATTGCTGAGTCATATGGTAAATGTATCTTTAATCTTATAAACAATCAAAATACTTTGTGATGGTACACGTTGACATTCTTGCTTGCAATGCATTAGAGTTTTACTTACTCCAGTTATCTTTAAAGTTTGGAGTTTTCAATCTTTTTATTTTTTATTTTTTATTTTTTATTTTTCTGAGACCAGGTCTTGCTCTGTTGCCCAGGCTGAATTACGGTAGCGCAATCGCTACTCACTGCAGCCTCAACCTCCAGGATTAAGTGATCCTCCTGCCTCAGCCACCTGAAGCTGGGAACACAGGTGCAAGCCACCAGAGCCGGCTATTTTCATAAATTATTTGTGGAGACAGGGTCTCCCTATGTTGCTTAAGCTGGTCTGGAACACCTGGGCTCAAGCAATTTCTTCTTTCCTTGGCATCTCAAAGTGCTGAGATTGCAAGAGTGAGTCATCACACCTAGCCATTAGTCTTTTTAATGTTTGACAATCTAGTATATTTGCAGTGGTATCTTTTTGATTTTGATGTTGTTGGCATTTCCCTAATGACTGATGATTTTGAGCATTTTGTTTCATGTGTGCAGTAGGAATTTATTTATCTTTTCTGAACTCTGCTTAAATATTCTGTCCATGAGTTATTTTGTCTCATTATTATTTAGGTGCAAAGTTGTATATATATCCTATACAAAAATACTTTATCAGAAATGTATAGATTAGATAGATAGATGACAGTAAGAAAGAAGAAAAGAAGAAGGCAGGAAGAAAAGGAAGGAAGGAAAGAAGGAAGGAAGGAAAGAAGGAAGGAAAGAAGGGTGAAAGAAAGAAAGGTTGATTGATTTATTTTCAGTCTGTCAAACTAAAATAATCAAAAGGGTCAGAATCTAGTTTAAAGAGAGTTTATTCAAGTGCAAAGTTTGAGGACAGCTGTCTAGGAAGAACAGATCCAAAAAATGGAAGTCTGTGTGTTACCCCCAAAATACCAGCGTTCGTTAACCTACCAAGTAACAAAAGACTCTCCAAGATAGCATAGGTTATGATCAATAGGATTTTTATTACTTGGCAGGAGGGGAACACTGGGAAAATTCTTCAAAACAGTGTCTCCCCTTGGGAAAGGTAAAAGGAGGGCATTATAGGGCAAAGGAGAGGGAAGAGGGGCATCATCACAAGTAGAGGAGAGGTTTCAGTTGCGCAGACACAGTGAGTCATCATGTCAGCACATAAACTACGTGTTATGGTAACGAAGGTATACCTCCTCCTGAGGTGAAGACTGTAGCATGCTCAAGAGGAAAGCTCAGGTTTATCTGTAAATTGCTTGGGGTCTTCCAGGAGCTGGTTTAAACCAACAAGGTGACCATGGTTTAAACCATTCCATCCAGGATTTGGGGAAGAATAGGCTGCAGGGTAGAAGGCTGTATAACAGGCTGATTGCTCTAATTGACTAAATTCCTATAATCCCTCCCTGTCTGTTTACAAGTGCTCCAAAAAGTAGAAGTTTGGGATCGTTTATATAGACAAAGTTTAGGGAAGCCAAAGAGAATTTCAAAATTTGTCTGTATAAGGATTAACGCATAGTACAATGATTTGATTTGTTTAGGTGGTCTTTTTGTTTTAGGAAAGGTATATTTAACATTTCATACTAAAGATATAACAACCCTGGGGTCTTTTGTGCCATCTTGTCTAAGTTAGGTACAGGCCAATAAGGGAGGCAGTTAATCTATAACAAACATCAGAGTTTAGAATGGGAGTAGGTCTGGTTTCTAATCTTTTCCAGTCATTTACAGAATAAGAACAATGAAGGAGAAAGTTAATCTATAGCCTAAGAAGCAGAAATTTCAAACATGCTAGTGACTCAATCCCCTGGGCTTAACTTCCCTCTTGGCATAATAAATTTAGAGGGTTCTGAAATTTTATTTTCTTTTGCAAGTCTATAACTTGCCTTTTCATTTTCTTAATAGTGTGAAATTAACTTAAACTTAAAATAATTCAAACTTAAAGCTGTTGAAACTTTATATTATCTCAAGCCTTGAGAGGAATGTGGCTATGTGACCTAAGTCAGGTGGCTTTGCACAGAAGTCAGGTAACTTCTGCCTTATCTTTTCCTTTTGTCTCTAAAAAATTAAGACCAAATGGTACCAGAGATAGGACCCTGTCAGATCAGGACTCCTCCTCAAGGAGTAATAAAGTAATCCTCCTTGGAATACAACAATCAGTAACCAATTAAATAGCTGTGACACTGTGACATCTGCACCTGGTCTTGTATGGAAAATGTTGCAATCCTGCAGGAACATCTCTGTCTCTATCTTGAGAAAGGAAAATAAATCTTGGGGCCCCCAAATCACTAAGTTGAAGGGAAAAGTCAAGTAGGGAACTGCTTAGGGCTATCCTGCCTACCATTCTATTCAAAGTCATCCCTCTGCTCACTGACATAAATGTGTATCTGATTGCCTTTTTTGAAAAGGCTAATCAGAAACTCAAAAGAATGAAACAATTTGTGTCTTATCTACCTATGACCTGGAAGTCCCCTCCCCACTTTTGCTTCAAGTCCCCTCCCTACTTTTGTCCTGCTTTTCTGGACCAAACCAGTGTTCATCTTACATATGTTGATTGATATCTTATGTCTCCCTAAAATGTACAAAACCAATCTGTGCTCTGACCACCTTGGGCACCAGTCGTCAAGACCTCCTGAGGCTGTGTCAGGGGCACACATCCTTAACTTTGGCAAAATAAGCTTTCTACACTGACTGAGACCTGTCTTAGATTTTGGGAGTTTACAACCTATGTAATTGAAACTTTAACTTCTCCACTTTGGAAATGTTGACTCAATTTGTTTGAGTTGGTGCTTTCCCCAGTGGCCATACTCAAGCTTTAAGTTTCAATAAGTTCTGTACTTAATCATATACACACACACACACACACAGACATATATTTATTTATTTACTTTAGATGGAGCCTCCTTTGTTGCCCAGGCTAGAGTGCAGTGGTGCTATCTCAGCTCATTGCAACCTCTGCCTCCCTAGTTCAGGTGATTCTTGTACCTCAGCCTCCTGAGTAGCTGGGATTACAAGTGTGTACCACCACGCCTGGCTAATTTTTGTATTTTAAGTAGAGACAGGGTTTCACCACGTTGGCCAGGCTGGTCTGGAACTCCTGACCTCAAGTGATCTGCCTGCCTTGGGCTCCCAAAGTGCTGGGATTACAGGCATGAGCCACCAAGCCTGACTTTAATCATATTTTCTAAATCTCATTATTTAAGGTTGACAATGGTAAATTTATGAGAAGTCTTTAATTTTAATAAAAATTTTATTATATCATTGTTTTAATTTAATTTTTGTGTTTATTGTATAAGAAATCTTTGCTTATCCAAATTTTGCAAAAAAATTATCCTATATTTAATTTTTTCCTTTTATATATTTATAGTTTTGTTGCTTATATTTAGGTCCATGATAGATTGTTAATCAATGTTTGTATGTATGGTGTAAGATAAAGACTGAGCTTTATTTTTTCCTGTAGGAATATCTAGTTCTTCCAACCACATTTATTAAGTTTCATGTGATTCAGTATGATTCTTTTAGGTCTAGTTAATCAGTTTGTTTGTGTATGTGTAAGTCTAGAGTAACATCTACCCTGACAATTATTTAGCCCTACAACTAAAGGTCTTTCCTTTTTACTTTTCTATTAAATGCCATAAGTAATCAAAAAATTGTGTGACTATGGCTGTTAGGATCTTAAATACTTCCCAGTCCTATGTCTCACAATTCTTTCTTCCCCCTATGCTTAGCATTACAAATTTTGCCCATATATTTATGTATTAGTATTCAGCAGAGAGCAGCACCTCATTATGCTGATTTCTGGGCCGTTTTTTACTATTTATGTCCAGACTTTTCACAAGCTTGGAAATTTCTAGCCCCTTCAGACTTCCTGATCTTTGATGTCTGTCTCAACTCAGGCAGAAAAACTACCATCATCTTCTTGGGATTTATTTTTTACCCTGCTCCTTTATCTGCATCTGGAATGTGCCTGGAAGCAGAAAGTGTCACTAATTGTTTCCCTTTTAACATGGCAGCTAATTATTAGAAGTAGATGGAAAAAATTAAGGCAGAATAAAACATTATTCTAACTGTGGACCAGTAAAAGAGTGATTCAATTTTTAAATAAGTTCAGCTTATTATAACATAAAAATCTAAAATAAAAATTTTTGAACAAGAGAATGGTATATTTTTCTAACACAACAAATAAATTAGGAGGTAGGCAGTCCAAAACTGATATGGCAGTTCTATAGTATCATAAGCAAACTAGAGTTTTCATCTTTCTATTCCACCATCTTAGTATAATGCTTCCATCTTTAAGCATCTGCTTCATAGTTCAAGGAGATGATTCAAGAATTTCATTTATAGCATCTCCATTGCTATAAATGAAGCAGTAGCAGGAATGCAGACTGAGTTGGTTCACTTCAAGCAGGCTGGTCCATATTACACTGTTGCTTACATCTAATTCACTAAAATTGACTTACACTGCCAAGCTAGCTGAAAAAAAAGCCTAGGAAAATGTAAACTTTTACTGAGAACAAGAATGAGCTCTGCTTAAATCTGGGTTCTGGTTTTAAAGGGGATCAGGAGAATAGATGTTGGAATAGAAGACCAGAATGTTTTATATCAATGGCCATTTCATTTACAAAGAGAGTAGGTTTAGAAGGAAGATTATGAACTGAATGTGATTATGTTGAGTGTTTATGTGCTGTGAGGACATTCATGCAGTAATTTCAAGTGTGAAACTATAAATGTGGATATGAAGCAGGTTGTATATTAGAATTATATATTGGGAATATACATTTGGAAATCTAATTAGTTATTTTGCAGAAAGAGACTATAAGAAAAAAAACAAACCAGTTTTCCTCCACTCTCACACTGAAACCACCTTTGCAAAAATTATAACAGTGAGAAAATTATGGCAGTAGGGGAGGTCTGGTCCAGCCAATCCTCATCTTGCCTCTAGCCTTCAACCTGCCCTTAATTATTCCTGGGCTTGGGCCAAGCTAACTTTGAGAGACATTTAGTTTGTAGTTTAAGTGATAATAGCCCTTCTCCAAAACACAACCACCTTTGTAAAGATAATAAGAAACCATCAGGCTAGGGGGATGAGAGAGGCCTGAATTCTGCTAAGGTGTAGACATAAATAATTGCCAGCCATTATTCTGGAGGTCACAACATATGGAACTTCCCAATTACTCCTGCAGATAACATCACTATTGAAAAACCTAAGATTGGGCTTTTGACATATATATTCAGGTTTTTTTGTATGCATGTCTGACCTGGACCCAATGTCTCTACCTGGACCCATGAACCACTCCTGTGGCCCCACCTAGAAGCAGCTCAGTGCACTTGAGGACCATTTGCCACACCCCTGTGATTTCACCCCCAAACAATCAGCCACAAGCATCCATTGCCTAGCCACCCCCAACATCCCCCCAACTATCCTTGAAAAATCTTAGCATCTGAATTTTCCAAAAGGCTAATTTGAGGAATAATAAAACTCTGGTTTTCCATTTAACAGACTCTGTATGTGTAAAACTCTTTCTCTATTGCAAATTTTAACCACCCAGTGGTTTTACCTTGCCCACTTCATAAACAGAGTTGATTTACGAAGACAGGGGAATTGCAATAGATAGAGTAATTCCATGCAGAGCTGACTGTGTGGGAGACCGGAGTGTAAGTATTACTCAAATCAAAGTATTCGGGGAGCAGAGCTTTGAAGGACAGCTTGGTGGGTGGGAGTAAGCCAGTGAGCCAGGAATGCTGATTGGTTGGGTTGAAGATGAAATTGTAGGAAATTGAAGCTCTCTTCTTGTGCTGAGTCAGTTCCTGGGTGGGGGCCACAAGATCAGATGAGCCAGTTTATCAATCTGGGTGGTGCCAGCTGATCTCAAGTGCAGGGTCTGAAAAATGTCCCAAGCACTGATCTTAAGAGCAATTTAGGGAGGGTGAGAATCTTGTAGCATCCAGCTGCATGACTCCTAAACTATAATTTCTAGTCTTATGGCTAATTTGTTAGTCCTACAAAGGCAGTCTAGTCCCCAGACAAGAAGGTTTGTTTAGGGAAAGGTTTGCCAGTGTCTTTGTTTTAAACTATAAACTAAGTCTCTCCCACAGCTGGGTCAGCCCATGCTCGGGAATGAACAAGGATAGCTTGGAAGGTAGAAGCAAGATGGAGATGGTTAGGTCAGATCTCTTTCACTGTCTCAGTTATAGTTTTGCAATGGTGCTTTCAGTTTCTCTGCCTTGATAAATTGGCTCTCTATGGGCAGCAGGCAGGAAGCACTCATTGGGCGGTTACAGAACCACAACAATCAACACAGAAGACTTATTGTGACCAGATGTTTGAGGAGTATTTCTGTATGCACCAAGCAGGCAAGCAATTCTGCAGAGGACACCAGCTGGGTGTCCTCTAATGCAGTCCAATTCTGACACTATCTTCCTAGAAATGGCATCAGATCCCACAGGTTGAGGGCTCAAACTCAGTCCCACAAGACTGTCTCTTCTTCCTTAAATGCCAATCTCAAGCTCTTGGTTATTTTATCTGTGCTTCTTACTGAATGGTCACAAATGGAGGATCCCAAGACCCCTCTTTGGGTTGGGTTTATTTGCTAGTGCAGCTCACAGAACTCAGGAAAAACTTACTTATGTTTACTGGTTTATTATAAAAGATATGGCAAAAGATACAAATGAAGAAATGCATATGTCAAGGGGTGGGGTAGGGACAAAGAGCTTCCATGTTTCCTTTCTGGAAATACCACCCTCCAGGAACCTCTACAAGTTCAGCCATCTGGAAGCTCTCCAAACCGTGTCCTTTTTGGTTTTAATGGAGATTTTATTACAAAATCATGACTGATTAAATTATTGGCTATTGGTGATCAACTAAACCTTCATCCTGTCTTTTTTCCTCAGAGGTTGGGAGATAGGCACTTGGCTTTATAGGGAAAGCAGAGCATAAAAGTTCAGAAAATTTGCAGCCTGACAATGCAATAGAAAAGAGAATCTCATTTTCTGAGGAGAAATACAAGCAGGCTGCAGAAATTTGCATAAGTAGTAAGGAGCTGAATGTTAACCCCCAAGACAATGGGGAAAATGTACATGTCCCCAGGGCATGTCAGAGGTCTTCATGGAAGCTGTTCCCATCACAGGCCTAGAAACCTAGGAGGAAAAAATAGTTTTGTAGGCTGGGCCCATGGTCCCCATGCTGTGTGCAGTCTAGGGACTTGGTGCCCTGAATCCCAGCCACTCCAGCCATGCTTAAAAGGGGCCATGGTACAGCTCAGGTCATGGCTTCCGAGGGTGCAAGCTCCATGCCTGGGCTGCTTCCACATTGTGTTGAGCCTGCAGGTGCACAGGAGTCAAGAATTGAGGTTTGGGAACCTCCGCCTTGATTTCAGCAGATGTATGGAAATGCCTGCATGTCCAGGCAGAAGTTTGCTGCAGGGGCAGGGCTTTCATGAAGAACCTTTGCTAGAGCAGTGCAGAAGGGACATGTGGGGTCAGAGTTCCTACACAGAGACTCTACTGGGGCAATGCCTAGTGGAGCTGTGAGAAGAGGGCCACCATTTTCCAGAACCCAGAATGGTAGATCCACTGACAGCTTGCACTGTGTGCCTGGAAAAGCCACAGACACTCAATTCCAGTCAGTGAAAGCAGCTGGGAGGGAGGCTGTACCCTGCAAAGCCACAGAGGTGGAGCTGCCCAAGACCATGGGAACCCACTGCTTTGCATCAGCGTGACCTGGATGCAAGACATGGAGTAAAAGGATATCATTTTGGAGCTTTAAGATTTGACTGCCCTTTTGGATTTCAGACTTGCGTGTGGCCTGTAGCCGCTTCGTTTTGATCAATTTCCCCCATTTGAAATGGCTGTATTTACCCACTGCCTGTACCCCCATTGTATCTAGGAAGTAACTATCTGGCTTTTGATTTTATAGTCTCATAGGTGGAAGAGACTTGTCTTGTCTTGAAGGAGACTTTGGACTGTGGACTGTGGACTTTTGAGTTAATGCTGGAATGAGTTAAGACTTTGGAGGACTGTTGAGAAGGCATGATTGGTTTTGAAATGTGAGGACATGAGATTTGGGAGGGGCCAGGGGTGGAATGATATGGTTTGGCCGTGTTCCTACCCAAATCACATCTTGAAGTGTAACTCCTTCAATGCCCATGTGTCGTGGGAGGAACTTGGTGGGAGGTGATTTAATTATAGTGGCAGGTTCTTCCTGCACTGTTCTCATGATAGTGAATGAGTCTCACAAGATCTAATGGTTTTATAAACAGGAGTTTCCCTGCACAAGTTCTCTCTTCCTGCCGCCATCCATGTAAGACATGACTAGCTCCTCTTTGCTTTCCGCCATGATTGTGAGGCCTCCCCAGCCCTGTAAAACTATAAGTTCATTAAACCTCTTTTTCTTCCCAGTTTCAAGTATGTCTTTATCAGCAGCATGAAAATGGACTAATACACTAGTGAATAGAAGCAGTAATCAAACCATTAAAATACAGAGGGTCCCCCAAATTTATGTTCTAAAACAGCTGCCTGGAAAGGCTTCAGAATTTAAATGCAACAGAGTAGTTGATGACACAACCATCAGTTTTGCTTTCACATTAGGGAAAATGTCCCAGGATAATAATCAAATATGTTGTCTATTTTAGGAAGGGATGAGATGGCACTTACAGGCAGAGATATTTTTAAACATTTAATGCCATAAAATGAAAATGATTTTACACAATCAAAACTGTACCACAGTTGGAACATTTTAATTAGAAAGTTATACTAGACATTGAAATATCCTAAAAGCAAGCAAGTTAAGATTACATTCAAAGAAAAGACCTGAAGCAGATTGGCATTTTTATTCTCCTGATTTAAGCTAGAAAAATTTCAGCCCAGATTTCTGACCTTAACATAAACCTCAATATAGAATACAATTCAAATGCTGTCATTTCTTGAATATTTTCAATTATTTTTAGGTGAGGAGAGGTTAAAGGTTTTCTTCTTGTTACCCTGTACCCAAATAGCTCATACTCTTCCTCCCTTGAAAAGTAGGAAAGGAAATGTAACTTTTTAAAAGTAGAAGAGAGAAAAAAATAAATGGTTAAGGAGGAAACATATAAGAGTGAGAAAGGAAGGGAAGAAGATGGGAGAGAAGACATATGGAGATAATAGACACAGGATGAAATTACAGGTAGTAGGAAGAGAGACAGGTAAGTTCCCTTGACCCCTTCATGGGACTTGTGAGAGGGGTGTGGCTCATTTACTTGGCTGCAGTGCTCATACCCCTTGCAGGATGGGAAGCATGCAGGTCAGTGGGTGCCGTGGCCTGGTGAGCACTTTTGGGTTCCAGCCTCATGGCAGTGTCTAGGGGTGTGTTACAATTAATGCTTTGTTTAGCTTTGCTGTCTGTGGATGCCTAAGTGTTAAACAGCTCAGTGAAGAGTCAATGTGACAGGCTTTTTGGGTTCCCACACCCAGTGTGTCCCAAATTCTTGTCTGGCATCCAGGAAGAATCAGCTCACGTGAACAATCTGAAAAGTGATGAATGCAGAGGATTTTATTAAGCAGCAGAAGTGGCTCTCAGAAGAGGGGAGCTGGAAGGGGGATGGTGTGGGAAGAAGGTAACCTTTCCCTGAAGGCTGGCTGTCTCTGACAAGGCTCCTCTCCGAATTTGTGCCATCTGAAGTTAAGCTGTATCTATTCATAGACTCCAATGCTCAGCTGCTTCTTTTCCTCTCAACTTTCAGCTGCTTGTGCCTCTGCCAGCTGAGGTCTGGGGTTTATATGGGCACAGGATAGGAGGGCAGGGTAGACGAAAATGGTAACATTTGGGCAGGAAAACAGGGATAACTGTTCTCATTTAGGGCCATGGTTCCAGGCTTGAGGGCGAGGCCTTTGCCAGGGAACCACCTTCTTCTATCCAGTATTTCCCTGCCTCTTGTCTGTATCAAAATTTGGGTTAATACTGCATTTTTAATTTTCTTGGCTTGATAGTTGCATTGTTTTCCAATGGGTAGTTACGTCTTTTGGCCTACTGGACTCTTATTATCTTCTTAATTTACAACAATTGTTTGTTAGTAAATGCTTTATGAAGGAAAAAATATGCTTTCATATCGAGTTGGAGGTGTGACAACAAACCTTATTTATCACTCATCACTGAAACATACATGACTAAGGTAGTCAGGACTAGACACTCCTAAGTTGCCTATAATTATTAAAAATTCAAATGGAAAGGCTATGCCAATAAATTAATGTGCTTCATTTTACCAGCGGCCTGTGAGGTTTGCCTGGTGGGCTAGTTTGATTCATAAATAAGTTAACTTTCCTGATTACTTAAACACAAGCAGGCCTAAAATACCTAAAATACCTATCCCAGATAACATGTTTTGGGCCCACCTGATATATAGTTGTTTTTAAAGGTAATGGAAGAGCTGCTTTCTTCCATAAGGAGTGCTGGGCCCTCTCCAATCTTTTTGACAGTTTGAGAGATTCAAAGGAAAGAAGAAAAAACCCACATAGAAAAATTAAACTAAGAGATGCCCTCCCTCCAAAGACCTGCAAAGGCAGCTTGAGAGAAATCCACTACAAGAAGCATTCATTTCAATTCTTTCATCTAGCACGTGGTCCAGGGAATCTGATTAACACTGCCCCTCATCTTGAAGAAACAGAAGAAAGGAGAGATTTGAGCTCCTCTGGAGTTCACACATTTTGTAATTGGTCTTAGTTAATAGTTTTTTTTTTAAGCCATGGTTACTATCAACTTGACTTTAATAGACAGGTAAGTTCTATCTACATAAATTAAAACAAATGAAATCTTGACCTCTAGATTTATAGCCACAACAAAGATGTTCACTGAAAATACATGAACTATCATTCTGAATTGATAACTATATATATCTAACCTGTAATGTAAATTGAGAAGAAATATGAGTGTATTCTCCATTTATTTATTTATTCAACATGTTTTTATTGAATGCTTTCTCTGTGGAAAACACTGTCTACATAAAAGGGTATTTAGACATAGTAAATATATTAGGGAGATATATAGATATAGATATATAGACAGATAGATAGATTATAGTGGTTATCTATCCAATATGTGTAGAATTTGTAACCTCCCTAGAAACTTTAAGCCAAGCATCAGCAGGGTCATAAAATCCAAGTGGCAGTCTTGTGAATCCTCTAGCCTGGACTAACAAGTAAAACTTGTTTTGCTTTGTACCTCAATCAAAGCAGGCAGTGTGTGAGTTGAGTTCCCCTGGTTGTGGGTTGAAGCAGAAACCCAAATGTCATATATATTTTCTCCAAAGTCTAGAGATCTGATAATTAAAATTCATTTGATTTGTAGAGGTAAAAGGGAAAATAACTTTCTCTTTCTCTTGGAGCAAATATCCTGACATTCTTTAGATCACTATAACTGACACATTAATTAAATGGACCTTTTATTTTCTCAAAACTTAATTTATATTCTATCCAAATATGTATATTATAAAGCAATCTGAGATATTTACACTTCCTACACTATACACAAATATGAAATAATCATTGTAATAAATAAAAAAATGTGCCATAGACACTTCAGTCTGAATGTTGTCCATTACAGCAGAATTGAAGTTTTTGACAGGACCCCCAAAATATGCTATTCTTCTTGCCACATAAAAGCAAACATTTATTTTCAGGTATAAGAAATACTTATCCAGATAACTATCCTACATATGAGGTAAAAGTACCACATGAAATTGCTCCAGAAAAAAGATCATATATGGAACAATGTATATGATCACAGACATCAAGACACTGAGCTCAAGAAATTCCTCTTTTTTTCCCCCAAGAAGTATCTGAGTTCCATGAATCCAATCAGAGATCTAGGAATTAAGGTTAGAATCATTGTTCAATAATATATAAATTATTTGAATTTTTACCCTGTGAGTTTACTGTTATCTTTTTAACAATTTTTAATTAATATTTTAATTGAGAAATCATAATTGTATACATTTATGGGGTACAAATGTGAGGTTTTGTTATATGTATGCAATGGGAAGTGATGAAATCAGGCTAGTTAACATATTTATCACCTTGCCTTTATTGTTTCTTATGTAAGACATTTGAAATTTACTCAGTTATTTTTAAATATATAAACTTTATTATTAACCATAGTTACTCCTGGCAATATATCTCAAAATGTATTCTTAATGTCTATCTGACACTTTGCACATTTTGTTCAACAACTCCCCATTACTTCTCTCCCTCTCCTACCACCCCAGCCTCTGGTAACTGCCTTTCTACTCTCTACTGTGAGTTCAACTCTTTTAGATTTCACATATAAATGAGATCAGGCAATATTTGTCTTTCTGTGACTGGCTTTTTTCACTAAGCATAATGTCCTCCTGGTTCATCCATGTTGTTGCAAATGAGAGTATTTCTTTCTGTTATCAGAATAATAGTATTCCATTGCATGCGTGCATATCTCTTGATTTACAGCCACAACAAAGATGTTCACTGAGAATAAATGAACTATCGTTCGGAATTGATAACTATATATATCTAACCTGTAATGTAAATTGAGAAGAAATATGAATGTATTCTCCATTTATTTATTTATTCAACATGTTTTTATTGAATGCTTTCTCTGTGGAAAACTATCTACATACAAAGAGTATATAGACATAGTAAATATATTAGGGAGATATACAGATATAGATATGTAGATAGATTATAGTGATTATGGTAATATAGTTTCTTTATACTCATTCACTTTATGATGGAAACTTAGGTTGATTCTCTATCTTGGATATTGTAAATAATGCTGTAATAAACATAGAAGTGTAGATATTCCTTTGACACATTGATTTCAATATGTGATATGTACCCAGAAGAGGTATTACTGAATCATGATAGTTATATTTTTTAGTTTTTTGAGGATATTTCATACTGTTTTCCATAATGTCTACACTAACTTACATTTCCATCAACAATCTGCTAATGACAAACAATGGGAAAAGGACAGTCTCTTTAACATATGATGTGGAGAAAATTGGTTATCCACATGCAGAAGTATGAAATTGAATCTCGCACCATCTACAAAAGTCAACTCGAAATGGTTTAAAGTCTTAAATATAGACCTGAAACTGTAAAACAACTTGGAAAAAAAAATAAGATAAAAGCTCCATGACATTGGTCTGGGCAATGATTTTCTGGCTATGACTCCAAAAGCACAGACATCAAAGCAAAAATAGATGACAGCAAACTAAAAAGCTTCTGCACATCAAAGGAAACAAAGTGAAGAAAGGACCCACAAAATAGAAGAAAATATTTGCAAACCATACATCAAATAAGGAGTTAATATCAAAAATATGTAAATAACTCAAACAACTCAATAGCAAGAAATCAAACAATGCGATTAAAAAATGGGCAAAGGGCCTCAACAGACATTTCTCAAAAGAAGATATACAAATAGCCGACATAAACATGAATAAATGCTCAGTATCAGTAATCATTAGGGAAATGCAAAATGAATCCACAATTAGATATTACATCATACCTGTTAGAATGGCTTTAATTTTAAAAAATGCCCATGAAGATACAGAGAAAATAAAACTATGGTACTGTTTTCTTCGTAAATGGTGTGATGTCTCTTAATAGAAGGCCAGGAGTGAGATTCACAGAGGCTACTCGTCAAATAACTATAAATTTATTCATAAAGAATGCTCAACCTCCATGTTATTACAGGGGATCAGGGTGTGTGAACTGACTTGGAAACTGGATTTGGATGAGGAATTCTAACTATTATATTTTCTCCAATCGTGATCCTGTTCTATTGTACCTGAATGTTTTCCTCCTTACATGACTCTAATGGAAACTTACTAGGCTGCCTCTTGATTTTTTGTTCTAGAAATACTATGGTCAGTTATTTACAACCAGGAGAAGCAAAGTGTCTGCTTTTACTTACGTTTTTTTTTACTAAAAAATGTATATGTGTAACTTCATATTCAAAACTATCTTCACTGTTTAAATATGTTTATATTCTTTCAGGGGCATATTTCCACCACTGCCATATCTATGACATTTACCTTTACTACATCTGGAAGGAACGATCACTTTCCCATTAGAAATATCCAGATAACAAAGAATTCCCCATGGAATTCTTTAATGTTTAGAAACATTAAATATTCTACTCTGATTGCAGGTACTTAGGGTACGTTCTGTTTTGACCATTTTATGTCAGAAATTGTGATAGTTTTATGTTGTCTTGGTGAAAGTCTCATAAAATCCTAATTTTTTATAAAACTCACATCCAGCAGAAAGCCAAGTTATAGGGAAACTCCATAGAAGTTACATTACTTCTTTTGTTCTCTGCTGAGCTAGCATGGGTTCCCTAGTGACAGAATTTATTATTTAGCACGTGGGAGTTACCGGCTTAATTGCTCTGAACTCCCTCGATCCACCTGCAATAATCTTTACTCCCTTTCCTTCATACTTCTGATATTTTGCATTTTTTATCTTATTCTTCCTTATACCACTGTTAAAGTAGCTAGCATCTTATTTGTATTAGTGTTGCCCAAAATTTGCCTAGTAATCTTGTTTGTGAAAATGCAATGAGTTCTCTTCAAAGATATAAGTTGGAGGCATAAAGGTATGCAATGGTAGAGAAAGGTGCTTTAGACATTTAATTAATAGTCTAAACTCAGGTTCCAGCTTTACTTTCTGTTAGTGTTATCTCATATGCATAATTTAATCACTGTGATTCTCAGTTTTCTCATTCATAAATATGAATAGCAGTGTCTCTTTTACTGGAATTTTATAAGAAATAAAAATGAGGCCCTATTTATGAATGTGCTGTGTAAATTATAAATCAGTGTAAAAACATTAATATTTTGTTAGCACAGATTGATTTTTTTGGGGGGAGTGCTTCAGAGTTTATTCGGAAAGTTTATTTTCCACAAAATAACTATTTAATAATAACTTACCTTTGCTACTAACGCAACAAACAAACTTACTTGGCAGAGAAATTACCAAAACATCTCAGATAAAAACACAATTTAATGTATGTTATTGATCTAATCTTTATACTGTTTGGCTTTTGGATTTTTAACACTTTTATTTTCAGATAAAGTATAAAAAGAATCCTATCATTACTGTTTGAGAGAGAAAAATGTAGAAATAAAAGAAAAATAGTAAACCTTAATTTACTTGTATTAATTTATATGCAATAAATAATCAAACTTTTGCAATAATCAGTCATCCAAAGCAAGCACATGTCTTGCTTTGTTGCCACTTTCTTCTCAATGTTAGTTCATTGCCAAATTTACATTGATAATGTGTTAACTATTTACACCAAACTGGAGAATGTATTTGTTCAAATTAGATATTTTGTGTGAAAAAAAGATGTTTGTATGTTACTAAAATGAATTTTGAATATTAATCATCTATGTGATAAAACCACATACGATTAAATTCTTTTTCTACGTTTAGTAAATATCATTTTTCTTTGATGGTAACCTCAGAAAGAAATAACAAGCATCAATTGTGTTCAAAGTAGCATTGTTTTTAACAACCCAGACACATAATAATCTTTGATAAGTTTTAAGTATGTGTTTAAAAACCCAAATACACATGCCCTAATGTATACTTTTAAGTATTTAGATGTAAGTAAAGAGTCACAGGTGCTGTAAACATTGTTTTACCTCTTTAATAACATCCTCAACTTCTCCCATTGGTTTAAAATAAAGGAATTACCTTAGAACCATCAGGGATCAGAATTCAGGTGCAAAGTTTGTCACTCATGATTGTAAGCCAATCTCCCTTTTAAGCCCTTTGTTGATAAACCAGGCCTAAGCCAATTATCGCTTTATATGGCTCCTGGAAACAAGGACTGAAATGTGACTCAATTCAAATCAATGAAACCTTACAAAAATATTGGCTAATATATTTTATCTTGAATAATTACATCCAATAACACTAATGCACATTACTTTTCAGAATTCTACATTTTTTTTTCAGTTGATTCTCCTTATTGTTTAAAGCTACTTAATGTGGGATTTCTCTAACTTCAACCAAATGTTTCCAAAGTGATGTAATTTGCAAGTGCATTGAAATGCTATAAGAAAGCAGAAATACTTTTAAGGGTTGATTAAAACAAATATAGACTCAAGAATAACTGTAAGAAATGATTTCAACTGAGACCAATTTGACATTTAAATGCAATGAATGTACCTAGTTTTAACTTTGTATAACTAAAAAGGGCATTGAAGAGGATAGGAAAGAGTCTTGAATTACCAATGCCACCCCTGCCCCATACCCCAGCAGTGGCCATGTGGCACAGAGACAGAAATGAGCACTTGGGAGAGGGTGAATATAGACTTATGAGTCGTTGCATTGCCCTCAGTGCTGCCTTGCCATAGCAGAAAGCAAAACTAGGCTGAACTCAGCAGATGATTGCCCATTGAGGGAGTATTTAAACCAGCCCTAGACAGAGGGGAATCACCTATTTCAGCAGCAGAAACTTGAATTCACTGTCACTGCAAGAAAAAGTGCTCTGGGGCTCCAAAATAAACTTGAAAGGCAGTGTAGGCCACTAAGATTGCAATTCCTAGGTGAGCCCTAGAGCTGAACTGCACTCAGAGCCAGTGGACTGGGGGAGGGCATGTGACCTACTGAAATACCTGCCATGGTGGCTAAGGGAGTACTTGTGCCTCCTGTCTCCCAACCTCAGGCTGCACAGATGGAGGCTCCAACCGAGACTCCTTCCTTCTGCTTGAGAAGAGGAGATAAAAGAATAAAGAAGACATTGTCTTGCATCTTGGATACCAGCTCAGCCACAGTGGGATAGGGCACCAGTCAGTTGTGAGGCCCCCTTCCAGGACCTAGCTCCCAGACAACATTTCTAGACATGCTGTGGGCCAGAAGGAACCCCATTGCTTTGAAGGAAAGGACTGAGTCCTGGAAGGACTCATTACCTTCTGACTAAAGAGGACTTGGGTCCTGAATAACCAGGAGCAATATTCAGGTAGTATACCGTAAACCTTAGGTGAGATTCTGAGACTTGCTGGCTTCACGTTAGTCTCAGAACATTCTCAGTTGTGGTGGCTATTGGGAGAGACTCCTTCTGCTTGAGAAAAGAAAAGGGGTCTTTGTCTTGCACCTAGGTACCAGCTCAGCCACAGGGGATAGGGCTCTAAGTAGACTCTTAGAGTCCCTGATTCCAGACATTTGCTCTTGGATGGTATTTGTGAATCTGCCCTGGGCCAGAGGGGAGCCCACTGCCCGGAAGGAAGAGTTCCAGGCTAGGCAGCATTCACTACAAGCTGACTGAAGAGCCCCTGGGCCTTAAGGAAACATAGGTGGTAGCTTAGCCGTACTCCCTGTGGGCCTGTGGGGGTGATGGCCATGAGATAAGGCACCTCTGCCCGTAGAAACGGGACAGAAGAGTGGGAAGGACTGCATCTCATGGTTTGAGTGCCAACTCAGCTGCAGAGCAATAGAGTACCAAATAGACTTTCAAGATTTCTGACTCCAGTCCATGACTCCAGGATGGTACCTCTAGACCTGCTTACGGACTGGGTGAACTCACATCCCTGAAGGGAAGGACACAAGCCTGGTTGCCTTTATCATTTGCCGATTGTAGAGCCCCAGAACCTTGAGCGAACATAGGCAGTAGCCAGGTAGTGTTTATAGCAGGCCTTAGGCAAAACCCAGTGCAGTTCTGGTTTCAGGTCTGACCCAGTGTATTCCCAGTGATGGTGGCCACAGGGGTGTTTGTGTCACCCCACCCCCAGTCCAGGTTGCTCAGCACAGAGAAACACTATTTATTTAGGAGAAGGTAAGGGAAGAGAACAAGAGCCTCTACCTGGTAATCTAGAGAATTCGTCCAGATCTTATCCAAGACCACCAAGACATTATCTCTACAAGTCTGTAAGAACCAGAGTGTTACTGGGCTTGGGGTTCCCCCCAGTCCAGACAGAGCTGCAGTGATCACAAATTTTGATCACCTCACCCAAGTCTTTTCAAATACCTAGAAAGCCTTTCCAAGAAGAATGGGGAAAAACAAGCACAGAGTGTGAAGACTAGAGCAAATGCCTAACTCTTTAATGCTCAGACATAGAAGAACATCCGTAAGCATCAAGATTACCCCAAGAAAATATGACCTCACCAAATGAACTAAATAAGTCACCAGGTCTCAATTCTGGAGACATAGAGATATGTGACCTTTCAGACAGATAATTCAGAATAGCTGTTTGAGAAAAACTCAAATAAATTAAATAGAAGGAATTCAGAATTCTATCTGATAAATGTAATGAAGAGAGATTGAAATAATTATTAAAAAGCATGAATTCTGGAGTTGAAAAAATGGAATTGACATTCTGAAGAATATATCAGAGTCTTTTAATATAATTGATCAAGCAGAAGGATGGATTCGCGAGCTTGAAGACAGGCTATTTGAAAACACACAGTTAAAGGAGACAAAAGAAAAAAAATAAAAAAGAATGAAGCACATATACAAGATACAGAAAACAGCCTCAAAAGGGCAAATCTAAGAGTTGTGGGCCTTAAAGATGAGAAAAAGAAAGATAAAACGGTAGGAAGTTTATTCAAAGGGATAATAACGAGAACTTCCCAAACCCAGATAAAGTTATCAATATCCAAACACAAGAAGGTTACAGAACACTAAGCAGATTTAACCCAAAGAAGCCTAATATGTCTGACAGCAGATTTTT
This sequence comes from Homo sapiens, assembly GCF_000001405.40. Taxonomy (NCBI): domain Eukaryota; kingdom Metazoa; phylum Chordata; class Mammalia; order Primates; family Hominidae; genus Homo; species Homo sapiens. The sequence continues at coordinate 191,683,607 of NC_000001.11, read as the reverse complement.
CAGTGGAAACCTTACAGACCAGGAGTGTCAAGACATAGTTAAAGTACTGAAAGAAAAAAAACAAAACACTTTTATCCTAGAATAGTACATCTGGTGAAACTATCCTTCAAGAATGAAGAGGAAATAAAGTGTTATTTCCAGACAAACAAAAGCTGAGGGATTTCATCAACCCCAGACCTATCCTACAAGAAATGCTAAAGGGAGCATTATGGCCATTTTCATGATATTGATTCTTTCTATCCATGAGGATGGAATGTTTTTCCATTTGTCTGTGTCCTCTCTTGTTTCTTTGAGCAGTGGTTTGTAGTTCTCTTTGAAGAGGTCCTTCACGTCCCTTGTTAGCTATATTCCTAGGTATTTTGTTTCCTTTGTAGCAATTGTGAATGGGAGTTCATGATTTGACTCTCTGCTTGCCTATTGTTAGTGTAAAGGAATGCTTGTGATTTTTGCACATTGATTTTGTATCCTGAGACTTTGCTGAAGTTGTCTCTCAGTTCAAGAAATTTTGGAACCGAGATGATGGGGTTTTCTAAATATGAAATCATGTCGTCTGCAAATAGAGATAACTTGACTTCCTCTCTTCCTATTTGAATACACTTTATTTCTTTCTCTTGCCTGATTGCCCTGGCCAGAACTTCCAATACTATGTCAAACAGGAGTGGTAAGAGAGAGCATCCTTGTCTTGTACTGATTTTCAAAGGGAATGCTTGTAACTTTTCCCCATTCAATGTGATATTGGCTGTGGGTTTCTTATAAATAGCTCTTATTATTTTGAGCTATGTTCCATCAATACCTAGTTTATTGAGAGTTTTTAGCATGAAGGGATTTTGAATTTTATCAAAGGCCTTTCCTGCATCTATTGAGATAATCATGTGGTTTTTCTCTTTGATTCTGTTTATGTGATGAATTATGTATATTGATTGCCATATGTTGAACCAGCTTTGCATCTCAGGGATGCAGAAAACTTGATTGTTGTGGATAAGTTTTTTGATGTGCTGCTGGATTTGGTTTGACAGTATTTTATTGAGGATTTTTGCATCGATGTTTATCAGGGATATTGGCCTGAAGTTTTCTTTTTTTGTTGTGTTTATTCCCGGTTTTGGTATCAGGATGATGCTGGCTACATAAAATGAGTTAGGGAGGAGTCCCTCTTTTTCAATTGTTTGGAATAGTTTCAGAAGGATTGGTACCAGCTCTTCCTTGTATTTCTGGTAGAATTCAGCTGTAAATCCTTTTGGTCCTGGGCTATTCCCATCAAACTTTCATTGACATTCTTCATAGAATTAGAAACAACTATTTTAAATTTCATATGGAATCAAAGAAGACCCCATATAGCCAAGGCAGTCCTACATAAAAAGAACAAACCTGGAAGCATCATGCTACCTTACTTAAAACTATACCACAAGACTACAGTAACCAAAACAGCATGGTACTGGCACCAAAACAGACATATAGACCAATGTAGCAGAACAGAGACCTCAAAAATAACACCACACATCTACAACCATCTGATCTTCGACAAACCTGTCAAAAACAAGCAATGGGAAAAGGATCTCCTATTCAGTAAATGGTGCTAGAAAAAACTGGCTAGCCATATGCAGGAAACTGAAACTGGACTCCTTCCTTACACCTTATACAAAAATTAACTTAAGATGGATTAAAAACGTAAATGTAAAACCCAAAACTATGAATATCCTAGAAGGAAACCTAGGCAATACCATTCAGGACATAGGCATGGGCAGACTTCATGACTAAAATGCCAAAAGCAATTGCAACAGTAGCCAAAATTGACAAATGGGATCTAATTAAACTAAAGAGCTTCTGCACAGCAAAGGAAACTATTATCAGAGTGAACAGGCAACCTAAAGAATGGGAGGAAATTTCTGCAATCTACCCATCTGACAAAGGTCTGATATCCACAACTTACAAGGAACCTAAACATATTTACAATTAAAAAAAAAAAACCCATCAACAAGTGGGGAAAGGATATGAACAGACACTTCTCAAAAGGACATTTACACGTCCAACAAACATATCAGAAAAAGCTCAACATCACTGATCATCAGAGAAATGCAAATCAAATCCACAATGAGATACCATCTCATGCCAGTCAGAATGGCAATTATTAAAAAGTCAGGAAACAATAGATGCTGACGTGGCTGTGGAGCAATAAGAATACTTTTACATTGTGGGGGAATGTAAATTAGTTCAACCATTGTGGAAGACAGTGTGGTGATGCCTCAAGGATCTAGAATCAGAAATACCATTTGACCCAACAATCCCATTACTGGGTACATACCCAAAGGAATAGAAATCATTTTATTATAAAGACACATGCACATGTATGTTTATTACAGCACTGTTTCCAATACCAAAGACATGGAACCAACCTAAATGCCCATCAATAATAGAATGGATAAAGAAAATGTGGTAAGGAATGAGATTATGTCCTTTGCAGGGACATGGATGAACATGGATGCCATCATCCTCAGCAAACTAACACAAGAACAGAAAACCAAACACTGCATGTTCTCACTCATAAGTGGGAGTTGAACACTGAGAACACATGGACACATAGAGGGGAACAACACACACCAGGGCCTGTTGGGGGTCAGCAAACCACCATGGCACGCTTATACCTATGTAACAAACCTGCACATTCTGCCCATGTATCCCATTTTTTTTTCTTAGAATAAATACAGAAAAAAAAAAGAAATGCTAAAGTGGGTACTTCAATTAGAAAGAAAAGGATGTAAATGAGTAATAAATCATTTATAGGTACAAAACTCGTCATGGTAGTTACAAAGAAAAACACAGATTATTGTAATACTGTAACTGTGATTTGTAAATCCCTCAGCTTTTGTTTGTCTGGGAAAATGCTTATTTCCTCTTCATTCTTGAAGGATATTTTTACCAGATATACTATTCTAAGGTAAAAGTTATTTTTTTCTTTCAGCCCTTGAAATATGCCATGCCACTCTCACTTAGCCTGTTGAAAAACTAAACAATGAACTAATCAAAAATAGTAACTACAACAACTTTTCAAGACATAGACAGTACAATAAAATATAAATAGAAACAACCAAAAGTTTAAAAGCTAGGGGACAAAGTTAAGGTGTAGAGTTTTGAGTTTTCCTTTTGCGAGTTTGTGTGTTTATGCCAACAGTGTTAAGATGTTATCAGCTTCAGCTTAAATAATTGGGTTATAATACAGAATTTGCAAGCCTCATGGTAACCTCAAATCAAAAAATCATATAACAAAACATGCATACACAAAAGCAGAAAAATACATCTTTCCACAAGAGAAAATCACCTTCAATAAAAGACAGGAAGGAAGCATAAAAGGAGCAGCAAACAACAATAAAACCAGAAAACAAATACCAAAATAGCAGGAGTAAGTCCTTACTCATGAATAATAACATGGAATGTAAATGAACTGAAATTACCAATTGAAAGACATAGAGTGGCTGAAAGGATAAAACAATAAAACCCAATAAATGATCTGTTGCCTATAAGAAAAACACTTCCACTAGAAAGGTACACATAATCTAAAAACAAAAAGATGAAAAAAGATATTTTATGCCAATGGAAATCAAAAAAGAGCAGAGCTAGATGTAACAAAAAGCATCCTAGTAAAGGAAACTTGGGACACAATGGCTTTGATGCTGAATTCTATCAAACATTTAAAGAAAAACTAATACCACTCCTGCTCAAACTATTTTGAAAAGTAGAGGAGGAAAGAATGTTTACAAACTCATTCTACGAGGTGAGTGTTACCCTGACATGAAAATCAGACAAAGACACTTCGAAAAAAGAAAACTATAGACAAATATTAATGATAAATATTGGTGCAAAAATCCTCAGCAACATTCTAGCAAACTGAATTCAACAACACATTAAAAAGATCATCAAGACCAAGCAGAATTTATCCCAGGGATGCAAGGATGGTTCAACATAAGCAAATCAATTAATATGATACATCATATTTACAAAATGAAGGATAAAGACCATATGATCATTTTAATTGATGCTGAAAAAGCATTTGATAAAGTTCAAAACCCATTAATAATAATAACTCAAAAAACTGGGGATCAAAGGGACATACATCAACAAAATAAAAGCCATATATTACAGACTCATAGCCAGTATCATACTGAATGGGGAAAAACTGAAAGCTTTTCCTCTAAGATCTGGAACTCCTGAAGGATACCCACTGTCACTGCTGTTATACAACGTATTATTGGAAGTCTTAGCTAGAGCAATCAGACAAGAGAAAGAAGTAAAGGGCACCCAAATAGGAAGAGAAGAAGAAGCCACATTTTCCTTGTTTGTAGATATAATCTTATATTTGGAAAAAGCTAAAGACTCCACCAAAAAGCTATTAGAAATGATCAACAAATTCAATAAAGTTGCAGGATACAAAATCAACATACAAAAATCAGTAGCATTTTTATATGCCAACATTGTACAATCTAAAAAAAAATCGAAGAAGCAATTCCATCTATAATAGCTACAAATAAAATAAAATTCCTAGGAATTAACCAAAATGGTGAAAGATATCTATAATTCAAACCATAAAACATTGATGCAAGAAATTAAAGACATACACAATAAATGGAATGATATTTCATTTTCATGAATTGGAAGAATTAATATTGTTAAAGTGTTTATAATACCCAAAGCAATCTACAGATTTAATGCATTCTCTGTCAAAATTCAAATGACGTTCTTCATAGAAATGTTTTAAAAAATCTAAAATTTATATGGAACCACAAAAGACCCAGAATACCCAAAGCTACCCTAAGCTAAAAGAACAAAAGTGGAGGAATCACATTACCTGACTTTAAATTATACTACAGAGTTGTAGTAACCAAACTGGCTTGATACTGACATACAAACAGATGCATAGCTCAGTGGAGCATAATAGAGTATGCAGGGATAAATCCATGCATCTACAGTGAACTCACTTTTGACAAAGGTACAAAGAACATGCATTGGGAGAAAAAAACTTTTTAATAGATGGTGTTGGAAAAACTGGATATCTATATGAAAAAAATGAAACTAGATGTTTATCTCTCACAATATACAAAAATAAAATCAAAATGGATTAAAGTCTTAAATCTAGGACCTATGAAACTACTATAACAAAACATTGGGAAAACTCTTCAGAACATTGAACTGGCCACAGATTTCTTGAGTAATATCTCACAAGCACAGGCAACCAAAGCAAAAATGGACAAATTGGATCACAAGTTAAAAAGCTTCTGCACAGCAAAAGAAACAATAAAAGTGAAGAGACAACCCACAGAATGGGAGAAAATATTTGAAAACTATTCATCTTATAAGGGATTAATAACCAGAATATATAAGAATCTCATACAACTCTATAAAAAATCTATATTCCAATTTTAAAAATGAGCAAAAGATCTGAGTAGACTTTTCTCAAAAAAAGACATACAGATGGTAAACAGGTGTATAAAAGGATGCTCAACATCATAGATTATCAAAGAAATACAAATCAAAACTACAATGAGATATCATCTCACCTCAGTTAAAATGGCTTGTATTCAAAATACAGGCAAAATACAAACGCTGGTGAGTATATGGAGAAAAAGGAATCTTCATACACTGTTGATGGGAATGTAAATTAGCACAACCACTTTAGAAAACAGTTTGGAGATTCCTCAGAAAACAGAAATTAAAGCTACCTTACAATTCAGCAATTCCACTCCTAGGTATATACCCAAAGTAAAGGAAATCAGTATATGGAAGATATTTCTGCACTCCCATGTTTATTGCATCACTATTCACAATAGCCAATATTTGGAAACAACCTAAGTGTCAATTAACAGATGAATGTATAAAGAAAATGTGGCACATATACATAATGGAGTACTCTTCAGCCATAAAAAACAAAGAGATTTTGTCATTTGCAACAACATGGATGGAACCGGAGGTCATTAGGTCAAGTTTAATAAACCAGGCAGAGAAAGACAAACTTCACATATTCTCACTAATTTGTGGGAGCTAAAAATTAAAACAACTAAAGTCATGGAGATAGAGAGTAGAAAGGTTACCAGAGGCTAGGAAGGATAGTGGGATGTGAGGGGAAGTGGGGAAGGTTAATGGGTACAAAAAAATTAGAAAGAATGAATAAGTCCTAGTATTTGCCAGCACAGTAGGGTAACTGTAATCAGAAATAATTCAATTGTATATTTTAAAATAACTGAAAGTGTATAATTAGATTGTTTGTGACACAAAGGATAAATGCTTGAGGTGAAGAACACCCCATCTACCCTGATGTGATTATGTATTGCATACCTGTATCAGAATATTTCATGTAACTCATAAATATATACACCTATTATGTACCCACAAAAATTAAAATTAAGAAAAAGGAAGTGTATAATGATAAGCATTTTGTAATGAGAGTGAGATATATGTAGTTAGGAGATTATCACTGTTGTCCAGGCAATAATTAGTGACTTTGTTAACTAGGACAATACCACAGAGTCCTGGAAGCTATTCATAATTCACACAAATTGCAGTCATAGCTTACCACAGCCTTGAACTTCTGGGCTCCAGTGATCTCCCACCTGAGCTTCCTGAGTAGCTGGAAATACAGGTGCATGCCACCATGCTTGGCTATGTTTTAAAATAATTTTTATTTGTAGCCACAGAGTCTCACTTTGTGGCTCACGCTGGTGTCAAACTCCTAACTGTAAGCAATCCTCCCACCTCAGACTCCCAAAGTGCTGGGATTACAGGTGTAAGCCACCACACCCAGCCCACACAAACTCTGGAAGTAAAAAAACAAGGTATTAGAAAAGATAAGAATGTGCTCTATAATCATGCAGATAAATGGCAGGTGTGTTACAATATGACATTAAAAGGCAATACCCAAGTTACTAATGTGGTATCTTTCCTTTCTTAACTTTAGACCCTACCATGTCACCAGTTCATGGACTCTTCTCTCTGATTTTCTGTTCTATATTTTTTTCTGTCATTTTACTTTTTGCTGCAACAGCAATAAATTATTTGAAAGTAGCAATTATCTAGTACTCCTAGATATTGGCAATGTGAGGTTTTCATGTTATAACATCCTGGAATGATATATTGCTACAACACCCTCTCCAGTTATTCTCCAAATCATTGCAATCTGTGGAGGTTTCACAACTCCAGTGAAACTGCTTTAATCAAGGTCAGTGATGAATTCTCCTTTACTCAAGCCTGTTTTAAGGTTCTTGTATTTGACTCAGTAGCGGCATTTTACAGGATTGGCAGTACCCTCACTCTTAGACATTTGTTCCTGCCGTTTGAAGAGGTTTCCTTTCCAGGTATCACTGTTTCACTGATCACCTTTCTTCGTCTTTTCTAGCATCTTTCTTCTCTGAATGACTCAGATACTCAGAACATTTCTTCCTCTGTTATAACCTAAGAATGATCTTACTCACTTAAATACTGTCCATACACTTTCACATGTAGTGCTCCAGGCACTATATTTTCACTGAGCTGTTGTTATTTCCACTTGGATAGCTCATAGATTTCTAAACTTAGCGCATCCAAAACTGAATGCTTTATTTTTTTTTCCCTTAAGAGCCAATCTTTCTCCCTGTCTCAAGAACTGGAATAATTATTTCTCTAGTTATGAAATCCAGAAACCTTGGAAATATCTTAAGTGTTGCCCTTCCTTTATCCCAAATATCCAATTGATGGTTCTTGGCTAAAAAACATATATCAAAGCTATCTGTTCTTAACTATCTTCATTCTAATCACCTGGACTGCCCAATTGACCTAGCACCTCTTCTTACTTACATATTTGCTCTTTTCCCATCCATTTTACATATAGGTCATACTATGAAAATTTGAAAAAAAAAATAAGTGATCTCTTCACTTCTTTCCCTCAGTGGTTTCCAAAGCATTCATAATAAAACACAAACTTTTTCAATGACAAAGATGGTACTTCATTGTATGCACCCCGTTTAACTATCCAGCTATACTATGCTTTATTTCTGTCTGTGTTCAAAGCTCAAGATCATGTGTCATTCCTAGCATACCCAAGCCTCTTTCTTACTTTTTGTATTTTTCATTTTATGTTTCTATGCCTGGAAAAATATGTATCTGCCTACTTATATGATTTTTCTCCTTCTTAATGTTTCAACTCATGCATCACGTTTCTGATCAATCCAACACTGAAGAGAACTGCTTTTACTCTTCACCATAGTACCCTGCTATTTTCATGATTAGCATCACTTACCACTTGTAGTTATGGCATTATATATCTGTTTATTTGATTAATGCCCATTTATTCCACTGCCATACAACAAAGAGCAACAAAACCAGACATTTATTAAAGATGGCAAGACAGATTTTATTTTGACTGCTTCAGGAGAGGAGAGAGACTTCCATATAAACTCCCATATAAAGCTCAACTCCACAAAAACAAAGGCCAGAAAGCTTTGTAAACATTAAGGTGTGTGAAAGTTAAGGTATTGAAAGACATTAGGGAGGAGGGAGATTGATCAGTCTGATTAGGCCATCTGTGTTTGCTAATTGTTCCTTACTGAAGACTGGCCTCTAGAGTCTCACAGAGACTAGAAGACAGGAGGGGCCTAACCTTCTTGATGATTACATTTCAAAGGGGTGACTTCCAGGTCCTTGAGAAAGACATTTCTGGACTGTAGAAGATTTACATCTCAAAGGGGAAAAGAAAAGATTTATAATTGCAAGTTCTTTAAAGTAAATGCTGTAAGAAAAGAGAGGTCGTGGCCTGCAGTCAAGTTTTGGCTGGAGCAAACAAATTATTTTGGCAACATTGAGCTTTCCCAGACAGGAATTTTAAGAGAAGAGCTGAGGTTATTTTAGGGACACAGCCCACATATCTATGCTAGAGATTGGTCTTTTAGTGTTTGCCTGTATGTGTGTGGTGGGTGAGTAGGGATGAGGGAGTTGGACAGAGTTTTTTGTACTCAGAGTTTGCAGCTCTCAAATGTAAGCTTCATGATAAGGGACAAATTGTGTCTAATTTCCCTTGGTAATCCCAAGGAGTGATTCTTATATTATTGTGTGAATGAAAGATAAAACTCACTAAGCCTAGAAGCCCCAGGAGCCTTAAAAAGTGCCAGAGCAAATTGGCAAGCATAAGTGAAATATATAATTGTTTAGTTTGAAGGAAGTTTACTTTTACTATAAAATAATGATTATCAACATGGATGTAGCTGGAGGCCATTATCCTAAATGAATTAACACAGATATAGAAGACCAAATATTTCATGTTCTCACTTATAAGTGGGAGTTAAACATTGGGTACATATGGACATGAAGATGGGAACAATAAACACTGGGGACTATTAGAGCAGGGAGGGAGGAAGGAGACAAGGACTGAAAACCTACCTACTGGGTACTAATCTTATTCTAAACCTCAGCATTATGGAATACATCTTTGTAACAAACCTGCACATGTACCCCTAATTCTAAAATAAAAGTTGAAAAAAATACAATATGATAAAATAAAATAAATAAAATGGGCATAACGCTCAAAAAAGTTTTAAAAATAAAATTGTTCCAAAACATTTAACAAATTGCCTAATGCATTTCTATTTTACATTTTCTTCTTTAAAATTAAATTATAACAATGGAAAATATAATAGATTCACTCATAAAACTCATTATCCTTTCATTCCAGTTAACCTGTTCCTAACATGAGATGAACTTTACTAAGTTGAGTAGTTCAATTCAAGAGTAACATAGTATCTATCTATAATCAGTTGGATCTACATTAAATATCTAAGAACAAAATTTATAGCCTGGCAGTTTTTAATTTTGGCATTGTTTTCAGCTTTAATAAAATATCTTAAGGTACATTTATTCATTTTATATTGTTTTGTGTTTTTTAGACCTATACTTTAACTGATTCGATTAATGTTATTTCTAAAAAAGCAAATTTGCTTAGCATCAACTATGATATATAGTATATCCTACAATTTGTAGAAATCATCAGAAATATTCAAAAAGTCAAGAAGACAATTTTACTTATTCCTCAATATATGGCAATTAAAATGACTTCACAAGTAATAGTTCAATTCAATTTTATTCTATTTGACAGATATTTACTGGGTAACTCTTAAAAGATAGTGGCACCTGCTCCAGTATTTTTCTTTCTTCTGCACAAAGATCCAAGATCAACATCAATGCACTTGCATCTTTTTCACCTTGGGCTCCACAATTCAAAAGAGATTTATTTTTGTTGAACCAAGAACCCTCAAGGAACACACAAGGGCTTTTTTTCTTATAAAATCCCTGATGAGTGACAAATGCTGACAAGAATTTATCAGCACAGTGTTAAATTGTCTGTTGAAATCTACTAGCTTAAATCTGGTGTTCTTATTGTCTATCAATTGTCCTTTTTACTTCACTTTTCCTAATATGTCATAGATTTCTCCAAAGATAAAAGATTATAGAAGATACCTTGAGAAGTCTTTAGAAATTCTTTTATCCACAGAGACTTACAAATATTTCAGGTCATTTAAATTTATCATGGGTTTTTAAGTACTGAAGAGAAAGATGTCCTAACATTTCAGTTCAATATTTAACAAATTTATTGAGGGTAAATTTTTCAGGCTGCAATTGAATTTTCTTATTTTATTTTTCTAACGTCTGGGAAAGGGAAGAGGAGATTACTCTCCTTTTATTCATGTACAAAGATACACAAGAATCAAATAGCAATGTAAAATTGAGGATGGCGATAAACTTTTTTTCATTATGATATGACAAATCTATTAATATTTGATGTGATTCAGTCAAAACAAAACAGCAACAACAACAAAATGAAAGTAGGATGTATCTTCAAAGTATATCTTTGATTTTTCTTTGGTCTACAAATATGTAGCTTTTATGAATTTACTTGATTCCAAGAAAATACTGTTTATATAATTTCTCAAATTCCAAACTAAATGATTCTGGTCTATCAGTCATTACACATTATTTTTACTTTTCTAATTCTTTTCTTTCCTATTGTATTCTTGGCACAGAAGGACAATGAATGGATTCTCCAAGATCAGAATTTACTAAGAGTGGAGCAACAGATCAGCCCTTGAGACATTACTTTTCATACTATAAAAACTAATGTATTTGAATTAGACACACAACCACATGCTCACATACACACCAGGTGGTGGGGTTGGGGGTAGAAGGAATAGTCAGAAAAATAAAAAAACAAAAAGAGAGGACAAAGCAGGTGAAAAAATAGCACCTTCCGTATAGAAGTATCTGATTAACATTTTTGGAGAAATATGGTTGATGAAAAAATTAAAAATTAATGGTTATGCATAGCTTCTCAAATCAAAGTTAAATTGTCCCCTGCTCAAGTAGATACATCTATTTATATAAAGCCAGTACCGAAATCACAAAGTGTCAGTTAAAAGAGTTAATTCTGGAGGTATTTCATGTAGATAATATATTGAATAGTAAAGTGTTTGAGTATTTACACTGGTATGAAAGCCAAGGCCAAAACCTTTAGACTAGTGTTTTTCCCAAGATGACAACTGATGGCCAATCTCAGAATTATGTAAGCTTCTCTTTTTTGTGAGAAGAGTCTTTTTTCTCTACCACAGAAAAAAAAATGTTAATTATAAACATCAAAACATTACAGAAAGTTAAACTCACCCATAATCCACATTCCAGATAATTTATAAATTTTGTGTTGTTTTCTTGAGATGTATAGTAAAGAATTTAACCTTGCCTAAAGAAAGTTCTAACCTTTGCCCTAGGCTTCTGGGAAGTAATATCTAAGCCTTTGTAATTTCATGCCCTATGGGAGTGTCTTTGTCTGGGAACCTTGGGACAGCCAGTGAGGTAACAGTGAGATTTATGGTGGGATTTTTGGATCTTGTGGCACCAGTTAGCTCTCCTGAGGTGCCGGAAATTGAGAGCAGCCAGGTGGGCAGTCAGTTGGGCCTATGAGATGGAGTCCTAATAAGTACCCTGGGTACCCAGACTCATGTGAGCTTCCCTGGTTGTTATAATTCCATGGGTATTGTCATACATTGCTGCTTGAAAGTAACACAGTCATGACTTTTCAGAGAAAGAATAATGAAAGCATGGCATTGGTATTTTTCTTGAGTTCTGCCCTATATGCTTTTTGCCTTGGCTAATTTTAATATAACAGCTTTCAGTGAGTTTTGTGAGTTTGGCTGGTGAATCATCAAGCCTAAGAGGTTTTGTGAACCTCTTGAATTTGTGGTTGATGACAGAAGTGAGAGTCGCGTTGTGTATTTCTAATTAAACAAGTAGAAATACATCTTGCAGATGTCTATTTAGAAAATAGAGGAAAAAAACAACAAAAACTATTAAAAATTTCTTAAATCTAAAAAAAGTATAACATAGTAAAAACTGATTTACTATTAAATAATGTTGAATCCTCTAACTACTTTTTCCAACCTCATTTCACTTCTACTTTGATTTTATGTTTATAATTCTAGTTCACTACATTGTTGTCATAATTAACCAATATAAGGTCTCTTGCATAAATCTAAGTTCAAAAAAGATATCATACTATATTTATTCTCTTTAGAACTGTGCTTTGTACTCAAAATTCTGCTTCTGAGAATTATCCAGTTTCCTGTTTTCCCTAAAACCAAGATGGCATCTTTTCCTTCCCTTGTTATTAACTAGGCAATAACCAAGAAACAAGTCCTAAATATCTCATATTTTTAATTCTTTGGATTTAACAATATAAATATCATTCTGATTTTATCAAAAGTTGCTGCTTTTTATAAGTACAATTATAACATTTATGTAAACTGAGGTATAACAAGGATATCAGCAAATTTTTAAAGCATCTTAATAGTAAAAATATAAAAGTCATCCTTACTCCTCATAAAGCAAGCTATGAAAATCTTTATTGCACACAAAGCAAGTTTTTGTATCAATTATGATAGATAAAATTTAGTAGATTTTTTCATAGTTAAATAAATGGCTTTTATTGGAGAAAACTAGTTTGCACTGGACTAAATCATACATTTAAAGCAATATCATCTTGGGCTACAATTGTGCAATAAAGTACATTTCTTAATTTCAGAATTATACCAAGAAATCTGGTTAAGTAATAGAAATAAAATCCATACGACTAAGAAGCTCTGCCCATATATTTTAAAATTCATCAAGACCATTGACTGCTAGAGTTGTCCCTTTTGTAATAGTCAGCTTTAATTATTACTGGAGCTTGAAGACAAAAAAAAAGAAGAAATAAAGTTTGACTATTTTGTTAATTTATATGGAGTTATTTATTCTAGTAAAGATTTTGTTCTCTAGTGCCCAAACCATTGTCCCATTAATTATGCTGAATAAATTAACCCTCGAGATTTTAAGTAGCAGATTAGTGATTTAATCTCTACTTTGAGACTTTTGCTTCATCATTTTGCCCTGTTCTATCTCTCTTTTTTACTGAGGTGTATCCAAAGCTTTCATTCACACTACTAGTAGCCAACTTCAGTACACTCTTAAATGCAAGGTGATTTCGTGTTCAGTATAATTAAGTTTCACTATTTCTGGGGAGTATGATACAGAATCTCTTTGTTTCACTTTAAGCTTTGGCTGTTTTATGGAAATGATATTTTTTTTAATTGGCAAATGTTTTCTAATAGCAAATTTAGTCTTGAAGATAAAACACATTATGAGACAAATAATATAGCTTGTTATTAGTGAAGCCACTGCAAAAAAGCGAATCAAATAACAATGTTATTACTAAGAGAGTAGAATATGAGTCAGTTTATTTTCTCAAGCCTCAAGCTAACCATTCTATTGATATACCCGGTTGTAATTATCACATTAAAAAAAAACATGACTTGGGCTGAATATTCTTAAGAATGTGTCTGCTTAATGCTTTCTGCCAATCTGTTGAGGAAGATTAAATTGGAGTCTATTTGAAATTAGAAGAAAATGGGGAAGAGATTTTTTAAATTGCTTAGTCTCAAGAATAATTTATTTCCAGTATAAAAAAATAGTATTCCATATGTGATACATCTTTAGATTTTGTGAAAATAAAAGAATAATATTGAGAATACAAAAACAAATCTGGGTTAAAAATAAAGCAAGTTATTGGCTCAGTTTATCTGATTGTAAGTCAAATTTTAATATTGATTTTGATTATATACATTCAATAGGATATTTAGTTGGTATTCATGAAGAACTTTGTCAAACTGCTGCTTATTCACGAATTTGATGGTAATAGAATTATTTTAATACTAATTTAAAAATCTGAAATCATAAAGAATTCAAAATCATACTCTGGAATATTAAGACTGTCTTTTGCTTTCTCCCTTTTATCTCACTTCTTTTGGAAAAAAAGCAAACAAACAAACATGAGCTAGGTTTGGTGACTCATGGAATTAATTGATCTCTGACTGCTCCATCTACTTTGTATAAGGCAAAATGTCACTTTTGATTTTTGGAAAAGGAAATTTAGTTTTTTCTAACAGTCTAAAGAATGTCTTATCTTTTTTACTGTAATATTTACTAGTGTGGTGGCCGTGTAATATGTCAATTTGACTGGGTTGAACTACATTTCACTGAATTCCCTTCCATGTATGTTTCTAAGTACAGTGAACTACAGAAGATTTTTGTGTGAGACTTTAAAGGGAGAAGCAAGACAGCAACCATTTTGTGGCTCACAACTTGTGGCTTATCTGCTGGGTCACCTCATTTTGGTATGGGGCATTGGTCAAGGCTATAACTGCTCCATATTCTATATTCTACTGAATTTCCCGTCAGCCTTCCTGACTCCTGCACAAGGTGTGCCTTTTGCCGCCTAATGAAAGGTGCCAGGCTTTCTGTTTTGTTTTCAAACTCACATGTTTCAATATTGGAGATAGTACTGACACAGGTTTCAGTCTAACTTCGTAGGTTCTAACTCATACTCGTAGGTTTCAGATTGTCCTTGTGCTATTTTACATTCATCTCCTCTTAACAACTGCCTGCCCACTGGGTGCCAAGCTCCAGCATAAGACTCAGGACAACAGCATTATGGAGGTTGCTTATCCAGTTCCCACAAGTGCTGGAAGGCAAACCCGTATGAAGAATTTCTGTGTGTGCCTGTTAACATACACACTTTGGTTTGGTTTACACAATTTAATTCTGATAAAAGTACCTTGCATTTTGTCACATCTTTTCTCTGAAGTTTTTAAATTTTTTTGCATAAGAGTTAAACTATATACTAAAAATAATTGATACACATATATGTATGTGTATAAATGTAGATGTAATTGATACAAATAGGTGTAATTTTTAAAACCACCACCACCACCACAATAATCATCAAAGCAAAAACCAATATTAATTATACTCTCACAATGTGCCAACATTCTACTGGGACCGTCTTTTACAATCCTTATAACTACCAAATTGGGGGAGGTAGTATTATTTCCACTTTGCTGATATGATCACAGCTTTATTGAACTTCAAAACCCTGAATAGTATTTTACAGTCTTGAATTTTGTCTATTACAATACAATATCTCTCACTCTAATATTAACCTTAGTGGGTAGTATCACAGGAGCATTAAAGAGAGTAATCATTTCTTACCTTTAAATAATACTTGTGTAACTTTAGGAATTATTTTTATAATGAAATGACTAAAAAAAATTGAGCATATGTTATACACATTATCACATATAATACTGACAGTTATATCAAAATATAATAAATCATAATTACATATATCACATGTAATATTAACATTTATCACTGAAAAATGTAATTAAATCTATTATCTACATCATTACTGCAACTGATTGTGAAGTAGGAGACCCAGTAAATTTTTCATGATAAGTAGTCAAAAATATTAAAGACACAACCACAGATTTGTTTAATTTTTTAAAGAAATATATAAAGGAAGACAATGTTTAATATTTCAAGGGTTGGAGAATATAGTAGGTGAAGAAATATGGCTAACCCACCTTGTCTGAAACCTAGAAGTTTTCCAACTGTAAGATACTCCAGAGTAAATTTTAATTTTATGCTATAATCCCATTTCTCCTCTTCAATATGCTAATGATTGACTCATAAAAATCGTTTATATAAGCTTTCAATGCTCTTCAGTTTTTAGTTTCAATTTTCTTCTGCAAAACGAAGGTACTAAGAACATATTACACAAGATTATTTCAATAATAAAATATAATATGTAAAAGTGCTTTGCTAGTTTAATTTTATTTCTTTTAATTGCAAAGTAGATTGGGTATGAAGTTCTTTAGAATTTGTAAGGTGTGATACAAATATAAACAGGTATTTCTGCTGTTTTTCTGAGTGCTAGTTTTCTGGTATTACCAACGGTTTGATTAAAAGTAGTGAGAAGTCAGTCAAGTGTCGGATTAGTAGGAATAAAATAAGAGTTATTCTGTGATTATGCTAACCTGATAAGACTAATAAAAGGCATTATTGTACTTCCATTGATTGTAGTCTAGAAAGAAATTACCTTTAAAAAAAGCAGGAAAGATTAAATTTAAGAAATAATGCCTAGATCTAAAGGTGTTTTTTTTCTAGACAATGTATTATAGCATATTTACTTATAGAAATAATACTAAATAAAGGTAGATTTCTGGAGAAGCCTTCTATTTGATATAATTCAGATTTAGAGCTTAATTATTTTGGAAAAATTCCGTGATCGTATGAGTATGTATATATGTGTGAGTATGTATGTGCGTACACTCCATTTTTTTTTTCTACGGCTGTCAGCTGGGAATTAACTCCCAGAGGCTGATGTCTGATCCTTGCATGGAGCCTTGTAGGTAAACAGCCTGTTTTATGGCAAGATTGATGCTAACTTGAAGCAAAACTGCTATACTAACCCACGTTTGACTCCGTATGCCAAGGTGTTTCTATAGCATAGACAACCCCTCATAAAGAAATACTGCTAGTAGCGTAGATAACCCCTCATAAAGATTCTTATCTAACCTCTACAGTGGTCAGGATTTTGCAAGAAAGTCTGAGACTAGCTTCACATGTTTTATCAGCTCCACAGGTTTTACCCCAAAAACTTGCTAAAGGACATTTTCTGGAGGGTGGGTGCTGGGATCCACCATCTTACAGCTACCTGAAACATGGCTTCTGCCTGTAATTTCCTATCAATTTTTTCTGCTGAGGAACTGGATTTGTCAGCCTCTTTCTTTGGCATCTCAGCCCCCTTGGCGTTTGGGAGTAGGTCTGCCTATACCTGCTCACCGCAGAACAGTCCCCCTCCAAATTCAAGACAACAAGGGCCTCTGAAATTCTTCTGGTGCTTAAAATTTCTCTAACATCTCTTTCTGCCACTAACTAAAGAAAAATTTTGGCTTTTTATGTGCTCCTGTGAAGAGGTTGTGACAACCCAGATAATCTCTTTTTTTGACATAGAGAGTAACATAATGATAGAAGAAATATTTCTCAGTATTCACAGATTTTTCACCTGCACTCAAAGGGGACAGCAAAGATTATGAGCAATGCTCAAGGCTTATGAGCATTGTTAGAATTCTGCATTTTTCTGAAAGAATTTTAGTTTTAAGCAGATATTTCCATGAAAAGAAGTCATTATGTAAGCTTTATGAAGCCCTGGCTTGAAAGGAAATGACTAGTTTGCCAGTCTTAAGATTTATTCAAAAGATCATCAGACTTAATTTTCATTGACAAACGTGTTCTTTTAAACAAGATATGATTATATTTCAAAATAGTACTTTATTTCTGCCAATCTTATCACTCTCTTCTAAGAAAAACATGACCTGTTATTTTCATAAATTTTCAGTATAAAGCTGTCTTTCAGTTCTTGAAAATGGTTTGGGGCAACCTATAGCTATTGTAATAAATGGTAGAACTTAATAGGTTGTAAGTATAAATAATAATAATTTAAAAATCCTAGCAAAGCATAACTTGAAAGACTCTCTACCATTATTCAAGTATTCTAGTTTCTATGCTTCCTTTTTTTCCTCTCTTTCTCCTTGTCTTTCCCTCCATGACATAAGTAGGGGAAAAAGCTCCCTGCTTATCAGAAAATGCTGCTTCTCAGGGACTGTTCAAACTTAATGCTGGACTTTGCTGTTTACCTGTAATATTTATTGTATGTTAAATTTACAGTAATTGTAAGAGTGTACTGGTGATATTAGGTTATTATTCTGATATGGAATGAAGAAAACACCAAAAATCCTTCTCCTTAACAATATTAACATATACGAGCTTTACATTAATGGGTTACCAGAGTATTGCATAACCATTCTGCTCAAATCTTTTTCAACTTTCTCCTTCATTTAGCATGCAATTCTTTATTCTCTGCTTTTTTTCCCTCTTTTTAATACTCGATTCTTTCATTCAAATGTCAGAATTGTCATGTATACAATTCACAACATACTTCTTCAAGAACTGGAATTAACAACAGTGGACAATAAATGCATAGCTCCTATTTTTATAAAACTTAACTGTTTATGGTCCAGGAAAATTGTTTTCCTTGTAGACAAATTTTCTAATATGCCAGGGTATATCCAAAGATTAGCATTGGTACTCTTTTCCAAAGAGAATAATGATATATGAGCAACATATAGTTTAAAAAATCCCATGGATTACAATTGTGGTGGCAACTATATGGAGAGACTGGTGGAAGTGGCTAAATGATTTTTCCATAATCCCCCTTAATTGTTTATGTTCTGTGCTGAAATGAGGGCATACTATTGGGAGATGGTGCAGAGATTCTAGGTGTTATGTAGAATATAGGATACTAAAATTCTAGTTTGAAGTTTGAGCTCTGGATCAACACTTTCTGGATATATTTCTTTGGGGAAATAAAGCAATCGTGCTAAGCTTTATTTTCTTCAATTATTGTAACACAATGCCCTTCTCTTCTTTTCTTGTATCATTTTACACACTTCAAATTAACTGTGATTATTTCTTTATTGCATTATTTACCAGCTATACCATAAACTCCATGAAGTCAGAGACTAAATCTGTTTTGTTTGTCAATGAATGTCCAGGACCTAGCACATAACCAGGCAGATATGTTCAATAAATACATGTTGGCTGACAAACTGTTTAAATTGTAAAAATACTTACTCCAGAACAACACAATAAATATCAAAAAGTACAATGCTGTGACAGAATTTGATAAAACATATATGATTTAATTTTATGACTGATATAGATTACATATTATACCTAATAAATTGTTTATGATAACCTGAGGTCCCATAAAAAGTAGAATGTGTGAAGACAAGGATTCTCCACAACTTAATGTTTTTGTTTACTTAGTTGTTTTTCAGATTATATTTTAATGTCTAGGGAGATGCAAAATCTAGTTGATAATCTATCCATGAAGAGCTTATAACTGAAGGAACTGAAGAATACCTTTATGTTTTCTCTGTACATTCCCCACTGAGTTAGTAAAT
Organism: Homo sapiens; assembly: GCF_000001405.40. Lineage (NCBI taxonomy): Eukaryota > Metazoa > Chordata > Mammalia > Primates > Hominidae > Homo > Homo sapiens. Next base: position 191,664,210 of record NC_000001.11, on the reverse strand, counting down.
TCCAAACTGAAAGAGTTTGTCTTGGTGTTTTACCATGAAATGTTTATTTCCCAGAGACTTTTGTAAAATATGTTTAGAAGGCTGGCATTAGCTCAAATTTTAGCATCGTGACAATTTTACTTTATACTATTTCAAAATTGTTCAGCAGATGTTGCTGAGAGGCCAAAATTGTTAACCTCAACTAGCTACTTCAAGTAAAGACGACTTATCCTTTTAGGTTGCTTTTCTTAGAATTTTCTGCAATCTTAGATTCAAATTTCTATTATATCATCTATAGGACCTCCTGATGGTAATTACTATCCAGCTGCAAATTAAAGAACAGTTTTGATCAAAGTAATTATAATTTGGAGCACAGCCCTATGATAAAACAGTTCAAAGGATAATTTCTTACTAAGTATGTGGCAGAGGTTTACAAAGATGATTAAGAAATTGTCAGAACCTGTTTTCTAGCCATGAATAAAACCTTTGCAATTATAATTATTGATATTATGTACCCTAATAAAATTAACTAATGTACTTTTTAAAATTGTCTCCTAAAATACTGAAATATAACAGAAATAAAATACAATTTATGTTAAGAGAATATAACAATCTTGCATATCTAGGTATTTACAAAAGGTGGTTAAATTATATATGTATGACATTGTTTATCTAAGTTGTACAACTATAAAAAATCATGTTGTATCTGAGAGTCTATTCCAATTTTGTGTTCTTACTATACTTTAATCCCATTTCAGTGTGGCTAAAGCAATTGTAAAGGTGAGCTAGTCCATTATTAAAAGTATTTACACTGGGTGCACTGGTTCACACCTGTAATTCCAGCACTTTGGGAGGCTGAGGCAGGTGGTTCACTTGAGATCAGGAGTTCGAGACCAGCCTATCCAGCATGGTGAGATGTCCCCGACCCCTGTCTCTACTAAATATACAAAAATTAGCCAGGCAAGGTGGTGGGTGCCTGTAATCCCCGCTGCTCATGAGGTTGAGGAAGGAGAATCGCTTGAACCCGGGAAATGGAGGTTGAAGTGAGCCAAGATCGCGACACTGCACTCCACCCTGGGCAACAGAGTGAGACCCCGTCTCAAAAAAACAAAACAAAACAAAACAAAAGAAAGTACTTCAATTGATCATAAATCAAGGGCATTTCTGCTATCCAACATCTCTGTTTCTCAGCCCTTTGCTACCCTCTCTCACAATCAAAATCATTGTATACAATCAGCTTTATATTCTGCTGAACAAGGAGATGCTTATTTGTGTTTCAGGCAAAGTTCTATTGGATTGATATTTAAATGCAGTGCAGTGAATGGAAAACTTGTTAGTTGTGGTCATGCTTGTGATTGTGGTTTGCCATTATGTCATAAATCCATAATTCTAATTTTGTTCTGCTCAAAGGAGTCAGTTAACAAATAAATTTCAAAAGAATACAGACTAGATGGGCAAAATAAAATTATAAAGTACTAGTTCTAATTAAGTTGATTATTCCTTAGCATTTGTTATTTAGATGTTAGTATTTGTTAACATTTCATTATTTTTGAAGTATTCAACTTAATCCCCATAACTCTATGAAGCAATTCAATTACTTTTTGAATCAAAGTCATTAATGTTCTCCCATCACTGTATATTTAAGAAGAAGAAAAGTAGCATTAGTACAAAGTATTCACGTAAAGCCAAGCCCATAGCATTTACTTAGGGTATTTCCGAATAATAATAATATTGCTACCACTAATGATAATTTATTACTTTTTATCATAAACATTATGAATTAGAACTTTGCACATTTTTTCTTACATAATGACCATATGTAATGGAAGGAAATTAAGTAATGAATATATATATAATGGCTGATCAACAGGGAAAAAGCATTATAATAAAGAAATCTATTAAACTGCAGGAAATTATCTCTCTAGGGAAGTTACACTAGCCTTACTGCTTAAGTCATGTAAAACTGGCCCAGAAACAAAGAAGCACTAGAAACTATACCAGAGGGAGCAATCCTATTTTACCGAGAAAAGAAAGGAAGCAACATAATGATTGCTCTTCTGCTCCTCTGCTAGAAATACTTTCAATCTGCATCTCAGAGATACATACAATCTGTACCTTTCTATACATTTTGGGTTTTGGTACAAGGGATGCAAGGGTCTTTATCTCTTCTTTAAAATTTTTAACAATTTGGACTTATGAAAATGTATGTAGCAATGCAATGATAATTATACAATATATTAATATATGATTTATTCTTTCCTATAATACATATTCTTTAAATGAACCAAAAACATTAAAATATGTTATTCAGGATATCACGTATAAGAATATAGATAATATGTTATATTATTTAGTTCACGTAACTTAGATTAACAATCAAAATAAAAATAATTTAATATCTCATTTACTACAAAAAGGAGGCTAACAGCCTAATAGGGGAGTCATATATGAATTCCTATAGCTAAAATTTGGAGATGGGTTAGGAAAAACAAAACAAAGCTATGTTATTGAAGCATTAAAATCAGGCACACTTAATTTAGAATTAAGGCATAGTAAACATAGAATTTTTGTTTCTGGTCCTTCAGAGCTTAATATCCTGGGAATTTTATAAGGAAATTAATAATCTTTTTGGTGAATTAACCTGTACAGAACCAGTAAGAAACAAACAAACAAAAAAGCTGTGAGTTGTGGACAGAACTTTAAAGTACAGAAAGAGCCAACAACCTTATTCTTAATCTAATATGCTTGGATACTGTTCTTCTCCAATACCTGTTTTCGAGCATTTACTCTGTGCCAGGCGCTGCACATTGTCCTTGAGGTCATGGGGCACTATGGTACTGTAACTGCCCAATGGGTACACCTTGCTCACTGCCTAGACAGAGTAGATATATCAAGACAGGGGATTGCAATAGAGAAAGAGTAATTCAGGCAGAGATGGCTGTGCAGGAGACCGGTTTTTTTATTATTCAAATCAGTCTCCCTGAGCATTTGACCTCAAGTGATCTGCCCATTTAGGCCTCTCAAAGTGCTGGGATTACTGGCATGAGCCACAGCACTCGGCTGTAAATTGTAATTTCTAATCTTCTAGCTAGTTTGTTAGTCCTGCAAAGGCAGACCGGAGCCCAGGAAAGAAGGGGGTCTTTTCGGGAAACGGTTGTTATCAATTTTGCTTCAGAATCAAACCATGAACTGAATTCCTTCCCATAGTTAGTTCAGCCTGCCCAGGAATGAACAAGGACATCTTAAAGTTTAGAAGCAAGATGAAGTTGGTTAGCTCTGATTTCTTTCACTGTCATAATTTCCTCAGTTATAATTTTGCAAAGGCCAGTTTCAGTACCCCAAAATCAACACTGTCCCTTTTTATGGTCTTGAAGTCTACTGAGAAAGAACATAAACTAAAACATTTACTGACTGTACCATGATAGCCTCCTATACATGGCCTGAGAAAGTAACACAAACCCATAATAGCATTAAACAAAGTTGCTTGAGGCAAACTTCTGAGGGGTCAAGATGAATGGTAAGGGGCTGTAATCCCAGCACTTTGGGAGGCCAAGGTGGGCGGATCACAAGGTCAGGAGTTCAAGACCAGCCTGGCCAACATGGTGAAACCCCGTCTTTACTAAAAATACAAAAAATTAGGTGTGGTGGTGTGAGCCTGTAGTCCCAGCTACTAGGGAGGCTGAGGCAGGAGAATTGCTTGATCCCAGGAGACAGAGGTAGCAGTGAGCAGAGATTGTGCCATTGCACTCCAGCCTGGGCAACAGAGCAAGATTCCATCTCAAAAAAAAAAAAAAAAAAAAAAATGGGAGTAAAAGGTTTATCCAGATAGCCAGCAAAATAAGAAGCAAAATAAGAAGACGGTCGGCTAGTATCCTAAAGTACCATCTTTAGTCAGTACAAATTCCAGGCTCTTTTTATATTAACGGCAGGTAGAAGAGGAGAGGGTTGGGACCAAGAGAGGACAGGTGACTACAGACATCTAGGTGCCAGCGAGGGTTCAAGGAGGTTGGGAACTTATTTGTCCTTGGTCAGGTCACAATGCTCCTATAAATCTTTAACAAAACACAGTTGTTTACTCTAAAATTTTCCTAGCCTACACACAGGAATGGATAAAGACCCCTTAAACAGAAATGGAGTTAGTTATGTTAGCTGCTTTGCTATTTCACTGTCTTAGAAGTTGCAACTACTCCTGAGTAAAGGAAGCTGTAATGGTTAATTTTATGTGTCCATATGACTATGCCATGGGATGCTCAGATAGGTGGTAAAACATTCTTTCTGGTAGGTCTGTGAGAGTGTTTTCAGAAGAAATTAGGGTTTGAATCAGTAGACTTAGTATAGAAAGAAGATCCACTAGCCAGGCATGGTGGCTTATGCCTGTAATCCCAGAACTTTGGGAGCCTGAGGCAGGTGGATCACAAGGTCAAGAGATCAAGACCATCCTGGCCAACATGGTGAAACCTCATCTCTACTAAAAACATAAAAATTAGCTGGGTGTGGTGGCACGCACCTGTAGTTCCAGATACTTGGGAGGCTGAGGCAGGAGAATCACTTGAACCTGGTAGGCAGAGGTTGCGGTGAGTCAAGATCACACCACTGCACTCCAGCCTGGTGAAAGAATGAGTGTGTCTCAAAAAAAAAAAAAAAAAAAAAAAGAAAAGGAAAAAGATCCACCCTCCCAAGTGAAGGTAGGTGTCCTACAATCTCTTGAGGACCTAAATAGAATGAGGGAGGAAAGACAAATTTATTTCTTCTTGATATCTATCTTCTCCTGCCCTCGGACATCAAAGTTTCTGATTCTTGGGCCTTTGGACTCCAGGACTTATTATACTAGCAACTCTCCTGACTTGGGTCTTCAACCACAGACTGAATTATGCCACCAATTTTCTTGATTCTCTAGTTAGTAGACAGCCGATGGTGGGACTTCTTGGCCTCCAAAATCACATGAGCTAATTCCTATATCAAATCTCCTTTTATAGATCTCCGTATATCCTATTCATTCTGGTTTTCTGTAGAACACTGACTAATATGACTAATACTGAAGCCAGTTGTCCCCTAGTATTTGGACATTGCTCTTCCCTCTGGGATATAGAGGAAGCAAACAAAGCCTCTCAAAATAAATTACATGGGTTTAAATCCCAGCTCCAAGCTTATAGCCTGTGTAATTTGGAACATGTTGCTTAATCTGACTGAATCTTCATTTCCTCACCTATGAAATGGGAACTAATGATAATACTTATATAGAGTTACGGGAGATTTAGTAATTAACATAGGAAAAACATTAAAATACTGCATATAACATAGAATTATTATTACTTCAGTGCTAGCAATTACCATCCCCTTTGGTATATAACCTTTGTATGTAAGTACTTTATAAATTAGAGAGGATAAACTTGTTGGATGCTGGCAGTGTAGTGATGGGATTCTTTTATTCTCACAGAATCATTCTTTCACCAGTGACTTTAGGGTGTATGTTAATATTGCTGGCATTGCGTCCAATTTTTAATGAAATTCTTATTTGGTTTTTACAATTAGTCACTGAATCTAAGATGAGATATGCCCTCAGCTTATGCTTGAAAGTTGTAAATATTTACTTACTATTTACTTCAATTGAAGGATGTCAAACATTAGAACAAATCTTAATGTAAAAAATAAAAACATTTAACAGTATAAGTTGGGCATTTTAATTTTTGATTTAAGGACTTAGCTATAGTCCTACAATATATTAATTTCAGCTCATGATTTACTATTTTCAGGAATAAGTAATCAATTATATGATACAATATGACATTTTGTATTGACGATATGCTAAATATGATTCTATTTTTATGAAAAGCTAAAATTGTTAATATAAACCAATTTTTATTACCTTTGTTGCTGTAACATCCAGTATTATATTTGACTGCATATGGTCTATAGTACTGCTTTGTTACTACAGATAATTTTGAAAATTACCAATGACACTATTTATAAGATAACATAAAAATGATAAACAAAAACAATTCTGTTTCAGTAGCCAAATTCAGAAGGTAGATTTGTTTTGAATTATGTTTAAAATACCAAATGGAGCTCACTGTTCAGACTCGTTGCAAAATCTGGCTAAAATTTAAGTTTAGGAGAGGCAAAAAAATTGCTCTATGTTGTGGGAGCAAGTATAAAGGTTAAAATAATTCCAAGCTTAAAACCGATCAAGAACTTTTCAAAAGCAGAGTTAGAGCTTTGGTTTCAGCCTGGCAAGCTCTAAAATCTGCTGTGAGGTATGAAGTTAAGGCTAACAGAAGCCTTGGAAAGCACATTTGATCCAGAGCAAACACAACATATTGCTGACTCTCAGAACATTTAGAGAATTCAGAGCCCACCGGAGGCTAGGAGGTCCTATATTTACATGAATAGTGTTACCTACCATTTCCCACTAAATACATAAATACATAAATCATGATTTTAAGTTCAAATGCCAAAAGGAAGAGGAGAGCCAGATACACCTCTAATTAATCCATGTTAGACAAAGAATATAAAAAGGCACTTCTATGATTATTGTTTCTATATTATCATTTTATTTCATTTTTTGTTTGTATTTTTTCCTTTAACCTAATTAGAATCTAGAATCAATTCTTGAAATTCCCAGTGTCTCTATAATGACAGATGATTACCTGAAAGCAATCTCTAAACTGTGGTAACATTACTTATATTGCATTGAGGCCTGGCTGTTTTTGTATTGTGCTTCAGTTAGTGGTGAGTGCTAGTGATAGTAGGTAGTACCGTGCATCCTGGAATACTTGTAAAAGACTGGAAATTATGACTATTGTTCCATGGGACTATGAATAAGGAATGATTACCGCTATAGTTAAATGATTATAGCACTTGGATGTGAGAACCCATAAAAATATTAAATACAAGTTAGATCTAAGCCAGTAGAAGTTAATGTATTAAGATTTACAGAGTAGAAGAAGCATTTGTCTATGCTTGGTCCATTCATTCAATAACGTTTATTAAGCATCTACTAGGGAAAAGACACTATGTCATTGGAGGCACAGATAAGTCAGATAAAAATTTTGTCTTTTAGGGGCTCCAATGAGATACAGACAGGCAAAGTTTAATACAGAATCAAAGTTATAACATAAGATGAAAAAGTGATACAGGTCATGTATATAGAATAAATTAAAATGCTAAGGTAGTTTAGAGGAAGGAGGCATTACTTTAAGCAGAGAAAGAATACAGCTTACGAAGCATGTGGAATTTGTGGTGAGAACTCAGGAATACATAGGATTTAACTATGAGGGGAAGGAATAATAGAGATTCCGGTATAAAGATGGGCCAAATTCTGAACATGGAGAAGGCTAGGATAAGGATGGTGAGCATGGAGTAGTTCAGTTTGGCATCACGGGAAGCACTACGGTATTTTTCTGTAAGAAATAAGTTTGGGAAGGTTGTTTTCAATACATAACATAACAGTTAAGCACAAGATCTTGAAAGTAAGATAAACCTTGTTTAATGCCCAGCACTTGCACATACTGCTGCCACAAAGTTGAAGTCAAGTGGCTTCTAAGACACAGTTTCCTCATTGTAAAAGAAGAGTGCTAAAAGTATTTATTTTATAATTCTGACAAAATCGATAAACTAAAACATACATGACAAATATCAAGCATATGGTACACATTTAATACATACTAGAGTTAAATATTTTAATTCAGTTTGAGCATTCCTAATTTGAAAACCAAAATTGAAAATGCTCCAAAATCCAAAAACTTTTGAGTGCTAACATGATACCACCATTGAAAAATTCCACATCTGATACCTTTGATTTTTTATTGTTTAATATACACAAACTGTTTCATGTCCACAATCATAAAAAAACCACATAAAATTACCTTCAGGCTATGTGTATAAGGTGTATATGAAACATAGATGAGTTTGTATTTAGACCTGGGTCCCATCCCAACATCTCATTGTGTATATGCAAATATTCCAGAATAAAAAGAACCTGAAATAACACTTCTGGTACCAAGCATTTCAGATAAGAGTCTCAACTTGTATAGCAAATAAAGAAAAGGCTGAACAGATGATGGTAATATCAAAGCTGTGCTTCTGAATGAATAGGCCAACTTTTAAATAAATCATTTAGATGATGAAATATGGAATACTGAGAGAAAAAAAACTGGAACTAGAGTAATAAGTAATAAGGTTATTGCTTGTTTCTAGGCAAGGGTCTGAGCTACAATAGTGGTATGTGAAATAAATTATAAGGGACACTTGTGAGATATTCAGCAGCTACATCATAGATAGGACTTAAAATAATTGGTATTAGATTCCTGATAACCTACTGGGCCAGAGATGGAAGCATTTTGTGTGTAGTAATTCCTGAGTCATTTTTCATGAAAGAAAACTCTAAAGGGATTGTTTATTTAAAAATATATTTGGTCATTTTAGTTTGAATACTGTTTAGATTTATCAATTAAATATTTACCTTTTTTTGGAACCACTTAAAAAGCAAATTAGAACTTTTTAATACATAAATATGAGATTGGGTGATCAAAATATAATAAAAATGGGCACTTAGAAATCTTCCCCAAATTTAGCCTACAAAAAACTCTAAGCCACAGTTCTCTTTAGGCTAAACAACGAAGATTCTTAGTTTATCCAAATCACAGAGGTTTTTTTTTTTTTTTTTTTTTTTTTTTTTTTTTTTTTGTGTGTGTGTGTCTGTGTGAAAGGTAGTATTTGGAAGACAGCATATTTATAGTCAGAAATGGAATAACTGTGAAGCTAAGGATGTTTAGGCTTCAGGGCCGCTCACTTACACTAGGCTCTTCTAAGGTCCTGTTATTTTGTGTTTGTAATTTTGAATTATTTAAGATTGATTCCTAATATTGTATAATATTTGGGAACCCACAAGACTTCAGTTAATCTCTGGTAATGATCCATAAGTTCTTAACCTTTATTCACTGTATAAGATTCAGATGGCTGAAATGTTTTTTGAAGTTGTAAGCAACAGTTTGTGTCCATGAGCAAGGTCTGTAGAAGAGTTTTGTAGAATTCATCAGGTTTTCCAAAAGTCCTTAAATCAACAGTAAATTTAAGAACTTCCAAAAAACATCTGGAAGTAGTCATGAGGACAAAGATGCTCATCAGGAGGAATGGAGCCAAGACATTAGAGCAAGGTACCTTTAAAAGCTCCCAGGTAGTTCTAATGTGGACCTAGGCTTGATGTAGCTACTACTTGCCATTCTTGAACTGTGTTGGAACGGTTAAAAAGGAAAGAGTCAAGGTTTTTGGTTTATCCAGATTTTGTATTGGTATACTGATTTTCATAATAGAGAAATTGAAGCTCAGAGGGATTAAATATCTTACTTTAATTTCCTTATTAGGAAAATCAGCATACTAAGAAGTTGAACAGTGTTATCTAGGGTAGGCAAAATAATAAGTGAAGGGGGATAATTGAGAGTAAAAAAATGGTAGTGTCAATAGGTAACAGGTCATGGTAGGGTGAATTATTGTTAGATTCAGAAAATCAAACAGTGTGAATGCAGGTGAATTTGAGGAAGAGAAGAAAAGGATTGGAGCTGTTATTTAGAGAGAAGAATACCTGAGGTAGAGATTACAGTGGGTGTGCAGCTATTGGTGATGACAAGATCTAAGGCATAACCATAATAGTAGATGGCTGAATTTACATACGGGAGAAGATTTTTGAAGATATGAAGAAATGGAACTATTTGGTCAGGGGATTGGGAAGGTATTCCAAGTGGTTATTAAAATTGTTAAGAAATTGTCAAAGAAGGAAGAAGGGTGATCCCAATATTTGTACAAGGAGAGATACTTCCATTTATTATTTCCATATCAAGAATATTCTTTAGAAATTCCCATTTTGGAAGTTTAATGATAACCCATAAATAAAGTTTTACCTCAAGTTGTTATAATAAGAAACATAAAAAATTTAACATTATCATCATGCAAAGAAATATAAATCAATGCTTTATATTGGTTCCTTATTTCACTTTCTCCTTCTTAAACATGAAGTAGATAATTAAGAGGTCATCTTAACCTTACCATTAATCAATCAAGCTAAGTTTTTAGGAATATTATTGAATAAGGGAGAAATCATTTGTCAGTTGGTACAGTGTTGTATTCCATGTAATACTTTTCCAAACACAGCTGAAACTAAAATTCAGCCTAGTATTTGAATTGTCTCTATCTGCTTAGGTGGTTAAAAAAAAAAAAATCTTGTTCCATCAGGATTTGTAGGTTGTAGAAAAAAGAACCCTTATTTGTCTTTCCATTTCTTAGGCCTTTTAATAATGTTTTGTTGATTGGCATTTCACAAAAGAAACTAAAACAAAGCGGAATTCCCTCAGGTTTCCAATGCTTCTTGCTGGCACAGCTGGTTTCTGAGATTTTTCTGATAGAGCCTATTTCACAAATATTTGAGTATTTACTGATTGCTAACCCCCTTCCTCTTCTCCAACTACGTGACTGCTTAAGCTGCTAACATGAGGCCGCTTCCAGAGCTTTTCATTTCTTAAGCTACACTTCGCTTAATTCAAGGGAGAATTCACCAATTCTTTCTTTCCTCTAGTAGTTCCGTTTATATCTCCACGATCACCCCCACTCTGAGCCAAGTAAATATTTTTAAAAATAATATTACCTGTTTTTTTTTTACACTGTTTAAATTCTCAAGGAGCCACATATCAAATCTTTTCTGCTATGCTACTTGGGACATTTTAATTCTTTAACTGTCCAACTCTGCCTGGCATGCTTACTCACCTCAGCCAAGAAACTGACCCAGTGGAAAAACAATTGTGTATTGAACTCTGTCACATTTGACAGGTAAAAAATGAGATCTTTAAAAGGGAATGACCGACGTTTCTTTCTTTGCTGAACATTGTACAAACAAATAAAGCTTTACATGCTCTGAGTCAAGTTTCGCATTTTTCAGGTGACTGTGAGAATGCAGAATTTTCCTCTTACAAAAATTGCACATTTTCTCAAAACATAGTTAAGTAGATTATTTTGGCGAAAAACTCATTTCCAATAATGTATTTGCTTATACATTTTGCTATGTGACAAAATCTCATTTTCATAAATGGATCCACTGAATTTTATGTAAAAATGACTTTTCATTTATATGAAATACTTAGCATTTTTTAACTAAAGCACATACATTACCTTGGTTTATTTGATCTCAAAAAATACTAAACAGACCAAATGTTATTATATTTCTACTTTGTACGCATGACAAAATTAAGATTTAGAGATTTCAAATGACTTGACTCTCACAGTACATACAGGGTTGAAATAAAGTTATTCTTGACTTTTAGTCATTTGCTTATTGTACTTCATAATACATCATGTTAAAAACTCTATAGTCATTTAAAAAGTCATACTTTTATTCATGTATATGATGCTTCCATATTCCAGAAATTTGTATATACTAATTGGTTAAAAACATCAGACTTCAAATTTGCAGGTTTGCTCTTTATTTAAATGAATTCTGAAATGAAATCTGGCAAAGTTAAAAATCTTTTGAAAATGTGACTCACCTATTCTTAATAAGTAAGTGTCAGGCAAATTGAAAAGAGCATCATACATAGCTTACTAATGCAATGTTACCAAGTGCAGTAGATATTTTTTTTAATCTTCTGTAAACAAAACAAAATAATTTGTACATATTACAATTTGTATTTTCTCTGGCATAAAAGAGGATTACATTTTACATTTTATCCACTCCTTATTTCTAAGAGAAGGAATTACTTCTCAGGTACTCTTCTAACCTCTCTCCAACTTCTTTACTCCCTACACCTCTCTAGACACTTAAATAACATGCAAAACTGACCCTTGTACATTTTGTCTTGTTTCAAATATTTATTAATCCTTTCAGAAACATGTACTTTTGAAATGTCAGGAGTTGTTCCAGGAATTGAGGATGGAGAATTCAATAAAACAAAGTAGGGACTATCTGCTTTTTACAGTATTAAGAAAGATCTCCCTGTCACTGATATTTTAATAGATATTTAAGTAAATTGGGAGAGTAAGAGAGTGTCATGCAACAATCTGAAAGAAGAGTGTTTATGCAGAAGAAAGTAAGTATAAAGACCCTGAGGTGGGAGCAAATGTGGGTATTTAAGGCCCATTGTGGAAGTTAGCATGGCTATGGCAGCTTGATCAAAGATGAATATTGTTAGAAAAGGAAAGTTCCAAAGGGTATCCAGGAATCGGAATACATACATTTGATAAGGACTTTGAATTTTATTCTAAATGTGTTTAGGAAACATTGAGGGGGCCTGGTGCAATGGCTTATGCCTGTAATCCCAGCACTTTGGGAGGCTGAGATGGAAGGATCATTTGAGCTCAGGAGTTTAAAATCAGCCTGGGCGACATGGGGAAACCCCATGTCTACAGATAATGAAAAAAATAGCCGAGTGTGGTGGCACACACCTGTAGTCCCAGCTACTCAGGAGGCTGAGGCAAGAGGATCACTGGAGGTTGGGAGGTGGAGGTTGCAGTGAACTGAGATTATGCCATTGCACTACAGCCTGGGCAACAAAGCAAAACCTTGTCTCAAAAATAAAAAAAAATAAAAATAAAAATAAAAATAAAAAATTAAGCATTGAGGGGAACAGAGATGTAAAATAAATGAATTTGTAGTATTACACATTGTTAGTACCAAATAGAGAGCTCTCTGCTCCTAGCACTTTGGGAGGCCAAGGCGGGCGGATCATGAGGTGAGGAGATCGAGACCATCCTGGCTAACATGGTGAAACCGCGTTTCTACTAAAAATACAAAAAAATTAGCCAGGCATGGTGGCAGGCACCTGTAGTCCCAGCTACTCGGGAGGCTGAAGCAGGAGAATGGCGTGAACCCGGGAGGCGGAACTTGCAGTGAGCCGAGATAGTGCCACTGCACTCCAGCCTGGGCGACAGAGCAAGACTCTGTCTCAAAAAAAAAAAAAAAAAAAAAGTAAAATCAAAGGGTCCACTTAGAGGCATGGCAGTGTTCCAGAAGACAGACAGTGGTATCTTTGACTAGGGTAGCACAGGGATATTGGCTTAATACAAGTTGATTTATTTTTTTCACTTGACAGGAAGTACAGTGCTTCAGTGGCTCAGTGATGCCAGGGTGGTGCGAGGGATAGTGGGATGTGATTAGTTTTAGATTTTAAGTGTAAATGGTATCAACAACACTGAATAATGAACTGAATGTGAGATGTGAAAAGCAGCCAAGAATGTCCCTTGGGTTGTGAAAAGCAGCCAAGAATGTCCCTTGGGTTTTAAGCCTGAATAGTTTTGCCCTTCACTGGGTTGGTTAGACTGGATAAGGAGCTAGTTTGCTTGGGGCACAGCAGTAGAAATCAAGAGTTGGATTTTGGGCATGCTGTGTTTATGATACATATTTTATGATACATATTAGACATCCATGCAGACATGCTAAGGCGGCAGTTAGCATCATGAATCTGAAGCTTCAGTGGAAAATCTCAGCATTAGCTCGTGGGTAGTGTTTAAAGTCCTGAGACCAAGGGAGAAGAGAACACTTCCAAGGACTGAGCTCTAGAATGCTACATTTAGGGGCCAAACAGAGAGTAAAGAGAGAATATAAAGTTAGAAAAGGAACAAGTTTGGCAGGGAGAAAAACATGGTTTTCTGGAAGCCAAGTAAATGAATTTGTTCAAGAAATAAAAGGATATAAATTGTTTTGAATGGTGCTGAGATTTCAATGAATCAAAACTGATAGCCTTTGGATCTCACAATATTGGGAGAATTGTGGTTTAAAGAGTGGTTTATTTGGAGTATAGGCCATCTGGAAATCTTTCAGTAGAAAGTTAGAAAAAAAAAAGTTGATGTGAGGTGCGAGGGATGAAGAATTTGATTGCAATAACAAATTCCCTGAAGAAACAGGTAATAAAATATGTTTCTCTTGAGAACCCTATTTTCCTTAGACAGTAGCAGAGAATTTTTATTAATTTTTAGTTGAAGAAGGCAGAGTACAGGGTAGAGAGGTCTTAGATTTAGAATGGGGTCATTATGAAATTTTCTAATTGCTTATCTCAGTCAACTAAGCAAGTTCATTAGGCCAAAAAGAAGAGAGAGGATAATGTATCAAAGAAAATAGATGTTCTAAAAATGTACACACTTAAAATATAAATTCCATGCAAAATTCCTTCTAAATAGATATTAAATTCCTAAAATCAAGTTACTATTTGATGTAGTCTCAGCCTGTCTCTCAGTCTTCAACTGTAACTCATTCATTTCTCCACTCCCTACTCCAACTCGGTATCACCAAATCAAATCTAGCAGCGCTAAAAAGAAAGGCCCAACACACACAAGTGAATTATGTCTATGAATGCTTTAAACTTCAGAAATGTATTAATATAGTTCACCATATTAATAGGTCAAGGACAAAAATATAATATAATCTTTAGATATTAACGTAGTCTTTGGCTAAATGCAACTTTCATTGTAGGCTGAAACTTTCTTAGATATAGTTGGAAAGTTCCGTATATAATATGATATAATAATTACTCCATGATGAAATAATTTAAAAATTATTAAAGTCAAGGAAAAATACAGAGGTACACTTTCATTACTATTCCTCATTATTAAAATTGATCTGGGAATTATATGTAATTAGATTGATTATACTAACAATTACAAACAAGCAGCAATATTAACAGATCTGTAGTAAAAGAATAAAGACAACCATTATCGTGTAAATGAATAATCTTGTAGAATAACTACTGTCTCATTAAAACCTTATAACCATATGAGGTAGGTACTGTTTTTTATTTTTTTCAGAATTTAATAGATAATTGTAGCTTAAGAAGGTTATCCTGCTAAACATGACACAGATGATGATTAGCTGAAGGTGATTTGATTTAAATTTAGGTAGATTGAATCCAATTTAGGGTACTCAAGTTGTGAACTTGTGAGAAAGATTAGATTTTATAACCCTAAAATTGAAAGCTATGACCTTGTTTAGAAGTAAATGTGTGAGTCAAATTTTCCTAAGGCACACCAGTTTATGGGCACACGCAACTCAACTTATTTAATATTATAAATATTATTTATATTTATTTAATATTAATACTAATTAATATTTAATTAATACTAATTAAATATTTAATATTAATATTACTATAAATAATATATTATTTAATATTAATATTACTATAAATAATATATTATTTAATATTAATATTACTATAAATAATATATTATTTAATATTAATAATTAAAATTGTACTGGCTGTTTGACCCATTGTATTATGCAGTCACAGCCCCTAAAAGGGAGGCTCGTTATCAATGCTTTTACAGTCTTCTTGGCATCACCTGTAGATCATCTCTCATACTTTTCTTCTGAATCGCAAATATAGCTTTTTTATTATACAGTAACAAAATGAGGGGAAAAAAGATGGTAAGTTTTTGAGATAGATGAAAATAGAGTAGATTTTAACAATAAGATGGAACTTTATTAAATAAATGTAAATAAATAAAACATACATAGAAATTTTGGCACATAGAAAAATGAACATTCAAATAGCAATGCATTTCACCAAAGCTAAACATAGGCTAGAAGTAAAAATTAAAAAGCCTCTGTCAAATTTTTATGTTTCCTCTCCAAAAGTAATAGTCTATGAATATTAGAGAGAATATTGAGTTTTAAATGAATCATAAATGTCCCGTAATTTTATACTATTTTAATTCAATTTGTTTAATTTATTATTTTGATCTGACTTTAGAAATGCTACCTTAGGATTAAATTTATAATAATTTCTCTTCTCTCTGATTGACAAATACCGCTATAAGTAAGACATATTTGGGAAACATTACCAACTAGTGGTTAAGAGCCTGGATTTGGAGACAGAGTGTCTGGTTTTAATTTCTGCCACTTGTACAGAAACCTTGTGCAAGCTACTAACTGTCCTGTTCCTCATTTTTCTAATCTTAAACAAGAATAATAAAATTTTCTACCTTATAGGATGGCCTGAAGATTAAACATGATAATGTATGTAAAGCAATTAAATCAATCTATAGATTGCAACAATATTTTTGTATGTGTTTAGTGCCATCTCCCCTGGTACTGATTCCTTTGATCTACATTCTTGGGAAAAGCAAACCTATCAATTTCAATTATTCTAACAGATATAGTAAGTTAATGCATACAGAAGCATAATACATTCTTCATTCTTTTTATTTTCTCACACCCTATATTCAGTTCACTAGCCAGTCCTGTTGGCACCACTTATACATAAAATATACCTAAAACTAACCACTTCTTAGAACCCCCAGTGCTGTCACACTAGTGAAAGCTACCATCACATCTCCCCTGGCACATCATCTGAGAAGAGCCCACAGCCTTTGAAGTGGATCCCTTGTTTGTGTCTTGCTCCCTCTCCATGCAGGGGGGTCTCATAAAATGGTACTCAGAAAATGAATGTGTAGAGACCATCCTGAGTATCTTTATGGTTCTTTATAAAAATAAATTTATCTATAAAAATACAATATTTCTAAAAAGAAAATAATACCACTTGTAATTCTGCTGTCTTAGTCAATTAATTGGTAAATTCCAAATTTATACTCCAGAGATTAAAAAATGGGAGCTAATAGTCACATGCAGAAAGCAATACATTCACTAAAAATCTGACATTCACCTGTAATACCATTTAAGCATTAAGTTGAAATAATTGATGAAGCTGAGCAGGACATGTGATTGATTCAAGAACATCCTGCTTGATTAGAGGGTCAAGCTTTTCTTTAATGCGTTTTCTATAAGGAAATTCACAAGTTTATGCACAGGAAATGCCTTATCTTGATTCCTGAGTGAAAAGAAAAATATTCCTGAATTTTGAAAGGATATTTAAATTACAATCTACTTTTTAAAGATATATTTAAATAAAAGTAATCAATAAAAATGACAATTTATTCCAAAATCAATTTAGATCCTTCTATAAAAGGTGATTTTATGTATGCTATAACTTAAATGAAATATAAACTTTAGCACCCTTTTAAATCAATTTTTACAAATATGCAGAAAATAAATAAATTTATTTGGCATTACTTTAGATTATTGTATAAATGTATGGGATGTTAGTTGAGAAACAAAACAAAACATATTACTCTAATCCAGTCTTTCTTCAGCCATTTATGATAGGGTTAAATGAACTTTAAATGAGCTAAAATGCACAAGTTGACTAATGATAATCCTTCTTAACTCCCTTCTTTAACATTTTAGTTATAATATTATACCTAATTTATACAACTTTTTTTTTCTTAATCAGAAAAGTTGTGCTTGTGAGACTGACCCAGTTAAATACTGGGTGGAGAAAAACCCAGTGTCTCTACAATTCTGTATGTCTGGAACACAGAATTTTAAAACTCTCTTTCTCCTTTCTTAGTATTCTGTGGCATCCTCTATATAGCAAATAACCAATGCTGTGTGGCTTTTAAAAAGTGATCCAATTTTTTTCAAGTCATTTCCGTCAGAGTACCTTTAAATAGCAATTCCACTTTCAGGTTCCACTGATAGACCTATGGACTACACTAACCTAAAGACCCCAATTATTGTGGCAGAAAATAAACTTTTTCAGTCCCATAGGTGCCCCTTTATCATGTGTGACATAGTGGAAACAAATGTATTCATATTAAATTACATAGTTGTAACATCAGCTGCATGACTTTGTGTCTTAGGGCAAGTTAACAGCTCTGATATTCAGTTCTCTCCTTTGCAAAATTGGAGATTATCAGATGTGACATGAACATTTCTCTGTGGACTAGGGGTGATATCATGAAGACTCTTTACATCTTTCTTGAAAATAGTGAATTCCCAACCACAACAAAGGTTTTATTTTATAGGATAGGTTTTATTATTATAGGACTTCTAGTATGACACAATAAATATGATACTTGTACCCTTTTATTTTTAGTAAGACACAACAGAGTCTCATTTTATTTCTTAATGTATAATTCTAGTACCCAATTACATGGATTTACCCATGTAAATTACCCAATTTAGAATGTCTAAAGTCTCAGCCACTTAGGGAACAGTCCATATTTTATTCCTTTTTATTGCTGTCATCGATTACTGTTGAAATAAAATTGAATGAAGTGAGGTCATATGCAGTAGCAATTGCTCACCCTTATAAGAGATGTCCTCCGTAGAAAATGCCTTTAGAGATTAGTTGATGAATTTCTTCAATGACAGAACAGAGTAGTGGAAAAGCAAGGAATTTGAGAACAAGTAATTCCTAATAAGTTGGGTACACTTGATTTAAATTCTCATTTTTTAAACTTAATAGTTCTGTGAGTTGAAAAATTTATTTTCCCCTGTACCTATTTTATGTAAAAGGATGCTGGTAATATTTATCTCATTAGGTGGCTGTTTTGGCTCAGATAATATATGGAAAGTTGCATGGAATGAAGCCTGGCACATAGTAAACAAAGAATATGTGCTTGTTAAATGACTTCTTAACTATTCACAAAAGTAGCTAACAATTGGTAGTGTAAATGTTGTCCAAAGGACCAAGAAGGATGACTAGATATTATAAAAGAGAGTTTTATTGGCAATATCAGTTTGCAAACTGGAGAGTCTCCGGCATGAATCAAAAGTGTTCTCTCTGAAGAACAAAGATAAGGCTAGAGGTTCTATAAAAAGCAGAAATGTAATGTATTTCTATTTGAGAAATTTCACTGGTGCTAGTAGGGTTTTGAGCTAAAGACTAGTTTTGCCAACCTGTGTCACCAAGCTCTGATTGGTGACATATGTTGGCAAAACTAGTCTGAGAACTGCATCAGGTTGTGTCAGTGGTCATTAGGTAAAACTCATTCCAGGTTACCACAGTTTCAGCTGCCAAGCTTGCAGAGAGTTACATTTTTGGAGCAATGTTTTGTGCCTTAGTGCTTTTATCTCCTGGCTTTTCAACTCTGTTTTAGTTGGGTATGACAAGAATAACCCAATTCATATGATCAACTTTCACAATAGGTACAGAATTAGTGGTAGCTTTCTTCATTCTTTCCTTGTGGTTGGTATGTTCTGGTGGTAAGACATCTGTGGCAGTAATTTATATAGCTTTAAACCATTTTTTACCAGTCTTTTTTTTTAATACTGTTATCGGGTCATAATGAAAGAAAACTTCTCAGTAAATGTCATATTGTGCATTCACATCAAATTTCCTAGAAACATAAACCATGTTTTCATTTAAATTATAAAACTTCAATCAGCCTCAACAAACAGTAAGGTTAATTGTGGGAAAATATTGGGATTATTGATCTACCATTAAAAAGTTGACTTCCTTTTTTTTACTCATGACCATATGATGTTTAATATTTGGCAAATATTTATTAAGCCTTTACTATGTTACAGGAAGCATACCAGGCTCAGGAGATACACGGTTTGAATAAGACCAGCTTGCTTCCTAACTTCATGGGATTTATTTCAATTATAGAACCTCTACATATTTTTGAAAAATATATACTATTATTTTCTAGCTGAATTCTTCTGAATTATTCTTTTCTTTATGGCCGGTACTGTAAAGCCAATAAAAACTGTGAATTAGAAGATATGATTTTTACCACAAGGAATAAATTCTGGCTAACTCTATTTATGATCAACCAGCAACTCTCCAAATATCAAATGAAAAATTATTTTTACTTTAAAGAGATATATCTATTAGATTAGACATATGCTGCAGTGATAAGTGACATCAGAATTGCACTTTTTACACATCCTTTCTCAAGTTGCACATCCCTTGAGTGTTCATAGAGAAGGAACTTTTTCCTGACCTGTGATGTCCTCACAGCAGGATCCAAGCTAATGAACACTCCACTAACTATTTTTAAAAAGCACTAATTTTACAAGAGATGGGAGAGGGACATGAAAGGAAAACTACCAGCTTTTAATTTTTTTCTCCACGAAATGGTGTATATTACTTTTGCTTGACTTTTGCTGATAAGTCAAGTTTCATGACCTTACCTAATTTAATTGCATGGGGAACAGAGAATGTATTTTTACAGTGTGTTCAAAAAAAGAACCAGAAATATTGGAAGAGAGTCTTAATGAATACCACTGATTATATAATATATACTCTTCACAGACTAAAAATTATTTTCTGCACAGAAGTAAATAGAAAAGGCCAAATATTGCAAACATTTACAACTATAACCTTAATAATAATCTTTAATATTCTTACTTCATAAAAGATGTGACTTTTGATTGCATCAATTTGGAATGTGCAAAGCTTTGGAAGCATTTATTATTTATATTTTTGTAAAAATTTTTTTGATAGATGCCTTAATAGTCTGGTTAGTTATTTCCCAATTAACAATAGACATCAAGTTTAGAGCTGCTTGGTATTATCTTAATGACTCAGGCCTTATCAATTTGGTTTATTTCTAAGTAAAAACCATCTCACCATCTTTCTGGGGAAATTATAATTTTTTTTCTGGAAAAATAGAAAATCCGTATTTTTTTTTTACCAAGACTTAAATCACCTACCCATAAATTATGTTAAACAGTATTAGATGCCTGGTTAAGACTTACACAAGTATTATGACAAAAACTTGCAAAAATTTTACTCTCGGGCTTAAGCACTATTATTTTCCTATGACTATCTGAGAGGCCCATTGTGAATTATAATAACTGGGATTCCTAAAATTTTTTTAAAGTCACTATGTAACTTGCATAGTGATATCTAAAAATAACTGTTAGCAAAATGCAAGTGCTTTAAACAGAGGTGAACTACAAATTTTTGTTATTGTGATCTCCCCAAAAGGTTACTAATTATTTGAAAGTGATAGGGATATCATGAAGATTTATTTAATATAATTCTGAATGATATTTCTTAATAATTCTTGGAAATTAACTTACAAAACATTCTAATAAATGCTCAGAATTATATTTACAAGAATAATGAGTATAGTGCTGTATTTTATGGCACATATTGGAAAAAACACAAAGGCCCATTAACAGGAAAACGTATATTCACCTAATGGGGTGTTGTGCAATTCTTTAAAAAAAAAATTCCTTTATCTTTTATATACAGAAATGGAAGGGTATACCAAATAGTAAGCTTAAAAAATCACTGCCAATATTATATCAGTTTGAAAAAAATATGTTATGGAGAAGCAAAATTTATTATTGTTGTCATACTCTATTGTTAATTTATACATACAAAAATTAAAAAATGGGAAAATATGTAATGTAATTCTTTGTCCTTGTTCTTGGGGCTGGAATTGCAGAACCACTTTCTATTTTACCTACTTCTGATTTGATTTCTTTTAATAACAAATATTTTTGTAATCAGAAAAAAACAAAAATGTGAAACAAAAGAAGTAATGTGCCTAGATTATATATACATATATATATATAATTTTTTACAGAAATACCTGAAAAATGTATAGTTTAATAATTTTTTCTTTAAATGATATAAAAATTTTCAATTCGAAGTATCTTGAAAGAATTTTGGTATATTTCAAAAATTGTGTTTGATAATATAACTGTTGTCTTTTTATAATATAAATTTTGTTAGTTTTTTAATTTCAAGTCAGAATTTTTCATTTGCTTTAATAAACTTGCATTTCTGTATTATTGAATAAGAATAATAGTGTCATGTTCTTGAAGCAGAAAGTTAAATGTAACAGGTGAGTAATAAACTCATTCTTTACGGTAGTAATAATAATACTTTTTACTTGTATATATTTTACTGTTTTAAGATTGTCTACACAAACATTACTTTGTCTAAATCTTACAACAGTCTTGACAAAATAGAGAAAAATTAAATAAATTCTCAAGGTCTAAGACACTCGTAAATCATTTCAGAAAACAACAGAAGTTTACAGATTAATTATCCAGGTATTTTTTTAAATCAAAGACTTTACTATATCTGAAGCCATTTCTATAATTGATTTCATAAAATCAGTGTGTGATTTTATGGTTTTATGATATAATTATCTATATTCGTGTGCTTTGAAAGTATAAGTGGCTTTAAAAATAACTGCTAGTGGGAATTCTTACATACTATTTACTTTAAAAATACTGCAATCTTCCTGTCATATGCCCAACATAATTCAAATATGAAAGAGCTGCTGACGGGTATTACATGGAATTTATTCTTTTATCAAACCCTGTGTTAGAAACACTCCTAAAATACCATACATTGACCTAAATGCAAGTCATATGGAACTATAAAAGGATATCCTCGGCAACCATGAAATGTTTCATTGTAAAGCTCATGTTTCCTCTAGAGGAAAGATCATATTCATCATCCTTAAATTTAGAGACATTGCAATCTGACAAAGCTGTAAATAAACTTATTTGTTGAGTATCTAGAGGAAGTAATTCCATCATTTTGCTGAAATGCAAACATTCTTCTTGAATATGTACCCACCCAACGTGTTCATTTTGCCTGCTATCCAGATTGAGTCTGTTTATCAAGACAGAAGAATTGCAGTAAAGAAAGAGTTGAATTCATGCAGAGCTGGCTGAACTGGAGACCAGCGTTTATTAATCAAATCAGTCTCCCTGAAAATTCGGAGACTGGTGTTTTTTTTAGAATAATTTGGTGGGTACAGGTCCACGGAGTAAAGAGAGCTGATTGGTCAGGTTGGAGATGAAATCATAGGGAGTCTATGCTGTCTCACTGAGCTGAGTCAGTTCGTAGGTGGGGACCATGAGACCAAATGAGTCAGTTTATCCATTGGGTGGCCCAGCTGAGTCATCAAATACAAGGTCTTAAAAATATCTCTAGCGCGAATCTTAGATTTACAATAGGGATGTTATCTCTTATAACATCATGCAGTTAGGTACCACAAGATTCTAAACCTCCCCAAAACTACCCAAACATTGACCTATTTGATGCATTGTAAAGCTCTCATGTTAAATATGAGATAGGTTCACAGAATATATGTTACATTAGTTCACTGCTGATCTGTAGTATATGATAAATGAATTTATATTTGATTTTTTGTATTCTGTCCTTTATTTTTCCTTTCTCTCTCCCACTCGCCCTCTCTCTATCTCTCTCTCTCCCACAGACAGAAGAAAGGAAAAATATATCAGTATTTTAACGATGCTTTATTGTTAAAAAATTATGCTCTGGGAAATCATGGAAATACATAAATATAGAAAGCTACATAAATATAGGAAGCTACATTTTTCAGGACAAAAACACTAAACAGACTTGTTCAATTGAATTTGTATCAGAAGGTTAAAAAAAGCTTAAAAACTGAACTTTTGTAAGCTACAGAGAAAACACTTCTTGTGGTTTTTTTCTACAGTTTTCTTTTTAGAGTTGTTCTGAACACATAAGTTTTCAAGGTTGTATGTGAATGAAAGGAAAGGTAATGAAAGGAAAATTAATAGAACATTTATAGACCTCAATAAGGATTTTATTTCCAGGAGGGTCAATTGGCTAAGTTAATTTGCTCAGCCCTAGTAATAATGTGTTAGTGATTTAGCATTCGGTGTCTTTTACTTACTGAAAAAATGTGTCAAGCCCAAATAAAATATATTCGGTTCAAATATTCTACTTTCTTACGATCTTTCTATAACACTTTTTTGTAATCTATTAAGGTAATTTTTGAATTTTTTTAAAAAATACACTGTACAAAATGTAATCATTAAATATGTATCTTAAGATTTTATAAAATACAAAACTAATATAAATCATATTAGGACCTTAAACAAGTGAAAATGGTTCTCTGTGGTGTTTAAATATTCTGTTGGTACCTTAGGTACCTTTGCCTGAGAGCTAAAAATCAAAACTGACCAGAAGAAATTAAAGTGAAACTGCCTACTCTGTATTCATTGTCTAAACTCTACTGTGAATATTTTGTAAGTTTCCAATCAGTTCTTTTTGAAAGAAAAAATTGTTTTGGTCTCTGAATAATTGAGAGCTCTTTCTATAAAGCTAACTTCTTACAAATAGATTAAATTAGTATATCATTAAGAATTAATATTCTGTTGGTACCTTAGGTACCTTTGCCTGAGAGCTAAAAATCAAAACTGACCAGAAGAAATTAAAGTGAAACTGCCTACTCTGTATTCATTGTCTAAACTCTACTGTGAATATTTTGTAAGTTTCCAATCAGTTCTTTTTGAAAGAAAAAATTGTTTTGGTCTCTGAATAATTGAGAGCTCTTTCTATAAAGCTAACTTCTTACAAATAGATTAAATTAGTATATCATTAAGAATTATTCTGATACAATTTATTTTCATACATTTTTAGACTTCAGCTACATATTTTGTGATATGAAAGTTCTATCATGTCAAGTTATTATGGGGTGGTGTTGGTAAATATTTATTTGTTAATAATGTTGGTAATAAAATATGATAATGAACTTAGCATTAGTGAATAACAAATTACTTGGGAAACATATTAGCTTACTCAGAATAAATATAATAAGTTAATATCACATGGCAATCAAAAAAGATGTTACATTGTGTATCTTCATGAGAATTGTGGAACTTTGAAAATTGTTTTTTTGTTTCTTACAATATTGATGAATATACTACAACATATTATAATTATTTGTCATACAGGGGATGCAGGAACAAGTAAATCATGTTTTGCCCTAGGGGATTTAGCAACTTTTCAAAGTTTCTGACAATTGAATTATAACTGTGACTACTACATTAACTGATATATATTATATTTTTTGACAAATCATTGGTGATACAATTTTCCTCTTCATTGTGTTTTGGGGCAACCTATTTATTTACCTTTTAGTTTTTTTTTAATTCTAGTTCTATTGGTTTTTAACCTGACAAGGAAAATTTCTGGATGGGTATTTTAGTAAGAAAACTTTTGGCTGCAAGTTAAGAAGAAAACAAGTTAAAGTAGCTTTAATGATATGTAACTTTTATTTCTCACCCAAAAAGTTATCCACAGATTGGTCCCTGAATAGGTTCATATGCTGAATAAATGGCATCAGAGAAGACCGCTTTTTTCCACCTTTCCACTTTGTCCTTGCTATTAGGTTTTCTTAAGTCTTGCATCACTAATGGCCACAAAACACATACCAGTTCATACAAATAGGACAATTTTTTAAAAAAATGAAACTATATGTCCCTTGAGAGTAAGAGAACTTTTTCCCAATGGACTGTCAACTGACTTAGCATCTTAACAAAATTAAAATATCCACCAATATAAAAAACAGTCATTAGTTGTCACGGATGACAGTGTTTCATTCTGTTTTATGGCTGAATAGTATTCTATTGTGTGTGTGTGTGTGTGTGTGTGTGTATATACACACACCATATATATATGTAGATATATATGTATTTTATTCATTCAACTGTAGATGGGCATAGGTGTTGTGGTAACAAGTATGAACGTGGAGGACATCATGTTAAGTGAAATAAGCTAGGCACAGAAAGAAGATATCACATTATCTTATGCATATGTGGAATCTACAAAAGATAATTTCATAAAAGTAGAGAGTAGAATAGTTGTTACCAGAGGCTGAAGAGGGGTACCAGACGATGCTGGTCAATGGGTACACAGTTACAGTTAGACAAGAATATGAAGTTTGGGTGTTTATGACACAGTTGGGTGACTATAGCAAATAACAATGCAGTATATATTTCAAGATAGCTGGAAAAGAACCTTTTGAATGCTATCATGACAAAGAAATGATAAATATTTAAAGTGGCTATGGTAATTTCCTTGATTTAACCATTATGCAATGCATGCATGCATTGAAATCTCAAACTGTGCCCCATAAATATGGATAATTATGATATATCATTTTAAGTAAACATTAATTAATAATGAAGAATATTTTTAAGTCACTGGAAAAGAAATACAGTAAATTGTAATTGGCTTAATACACTGTCTTCTAGTCTTTCAAGTGACACTGCTGTAAACCAGAATGTGCTACCAAAAAATAATAAAAAAAATGGATTTTAGAAGAGCAAAGGAAAGGGATATTGGAGAGGGAACTAAAAGGATATACTGGAATTAATGTAAAAAAGAAATCAGAAAATACCCATTTTTAAAATAGAAACAAAATTAATAGATAGTGGAATTTATGGATTATAATTATATAATTTCATGAGTTTGGACAGAAAGTTCCTTCATGTAAAAAATATAACATATGTCTTAACCAACACAGAATATTTTCATCACTTTAGAATGGTCCCTTATGCCTCTTTCCAGTCCATTCTCATACAATATGAAAAATTATTATTCTGATTTATATTATCATATATTGTTTGGCATGTTCTTGAACTTCATAAAAAGGGATCATACATTTTGTGTTATTTTATATATGGCTTCTTTTTCTCCTTAACGTCTTTTTGTTGACTGCATAAATGTTCTTTCTTCCTTTGCTTAGTTTCCACTTGTATGAGTATTTCACAATTTGTTTATACATTGTCCTATTAATTGACTTTTGGGTTCCTTCAAGTTGTGGGTGTTATGTTTTAAATTGCCAGGAATATTCTTGTAGAAGTGTTGCTGTGGACATATATTATTGGTCTTGAGCAAACGTCTAGGTGTAGAAATTTGGAGTCAGAGTATAGATATACATGAACCTTTACGAAGAAACTGTTAAACATTTTTCCAAAGTGGTTTTTATTACTGTAGGTACTCACCAGCAATGTAGTTCCAACTGCTCTACAACTTAGTTCACATTTGCTGCAGTCTTTTAAATTGTAATCATTCTAGTGAGTGTGATGCAGAAGAAATCTCATCGTTGCTTTAATTTGCAACTTCTTGAGAGTAATGATGTTGACTATATATACGTCTTTCTTTTTTTTCTTTTCTTTTTTCCTAAAATGGCTGTTTCAACATTTTGCCCATTTTTTTTTTTGACTAGGTAGTTTGTATTTTTATTGTTAACTGGCAGAGTTTTTGATATGCACTGGGTAAGATCCATTTTAACAGATTTATATTATGAATATATTCTTCTAGTTTGTGCCTGGTCTTTTAATATTCATAACAGTATCTTTTGAAAAGCAGAAATTTTAAATTTTTGAAATAGTCTAATTTATTAAATGTTCTCTTAATGGGTTTTTGTTGTTGTTCTTCAAGTAAATTCTTTGTACAATTCAAAGTTAAAATACATATACTGATGTTTTCCTTTTTTATAAAAAGATTTATAGCAGTATTTGTTTTACATTTAGATCTGCTATTCACATTGAATTAATTTTTGCATGTTATATGAAGTTTTTGATTATTTATTTAAGTTTATACAATTGTTTCAGCATCACTTTAAAAATATTTTATTTTATTTTTAATTGACGATCAATAATTATACATATTTATAGGATATTATGTGATGTTTCCATACATGTTTACCTTTTGGAATAATTCAATCAAGGTAATTAAAATATCCATTACCTCACATACTTAAAATTTTTGTGCTGAGAACATTCAAAATCTAGTCTTTCAGCAACTTAAAAATATACAATGCACTATAAACTTGAGGACATTATGCTAAGTGAAACAACCCAGGCATAGAAAAACAAATACTTTGTGATCTTACTGTATGTGGAATGTAAATAAATTGAACTCCTGAGAGTGGTAAGAATGATGGTTATCAGAGGCTGAGGCTGGGTGGTGAGGATGGTTAAAGAAGATGTGCATCAGAGGGTACACAGTTGCAGCTAGACAGGAGGAGTAAGCTTTAGCAATCTATTGCACTGAATCCACCATTACTTTTTGAAGACTTTCATTTTTTTGACACCATTGTCAAAACAATTATGTGTATGTGTGTGCATGCATCTGTTATGTGTGCATGTCTGTTTTTCTAGGCTTCCTTTCAGCTCCATTGATTTATTTATTTATCCTCAAGTAAATACTTCATTAGAGCTTTATAGGAAGGATAGAAGTAATATGGTTTGTACTTTCCAAATTTTTTTCTAGTTTTTTTTTTGGGTTTGCATAGATATATTTTAGGGAAAAAAACATCAATTTTTGCAAAAAGAGACACTAAGCATGTTTATTGGTATGGCTTTTAATTTATAGGTTAGTTTAGAAAAAGTGATATCTTTACAACACTGATTATAAAATCCATAAAAATTCCATATTAATTTACTGAGGTGTGCTTTATTTTATCTCAGTCTTGTTTATGCATTTCAATATAAAGGGTTTTCTTCACATCTTTCTAAAAGTATGTCACTCAAAATTTTATAGTTTTTGATACTATTTTAGATGGTGTGTATAAAAGGTATTTTTCTAATCTTTTCCTAATATAAACAGTCTTGACAGGAGTTAATCAATTTTGTTCATCTTTTCAAATAAAACTTTCTCCTTTGTTAATTTTATTTCAACTTCTTATTCTAGCTAATGGATTTTTTTCTTCCTTCCACTTACTTGTTTTAATTTGCTTTGTGTTTTAGCTTTCAAACAGTTGAAATTTAAATAATTTAAAATATTTTAAAATATGAAATGTAGTAATATAGCTTTCTCTCTCTGTTTTCAATTAGCCATATTCTGAAAACTTTGATATGTGCTATATTTTTATTGATATTTACTTCGACATATTTTCATATTTTCTTAGTGATTTCTTGACACATGGATTATTTCAGTTTATTATAAAATTTTCATTTATCTGGAGATTTTCTAGATTATTACTAACTTCTTATTTAGTTCTTTGTATTCAGATAATATAGTTAATAATATGTCTGTAATTTGAACTGTATAAAAATGTATTTTGTTGCCTACTGTATGATATATCTTAAGTGTACACACCTGACAAATATGTGTGTTATAAGTTAGATCTATGTCAATAAACTCAAAGTGTTTTATAATATTTTTCAAATATTCTATATTCTTAATAATCATTTTTGGGTAAAAAGATAACTACTGAAAGAGTAGTGTAAAAAATCTGACCATGATTGTGGATTTGTTCATTTACCCCATCTGGTTTATCTGCATTTGTTTCATGTGGATTTAAAGCTATCTTACTGCATACATACAAACCAAATTCTTGGCTGACTGCAGTGACTCATGACTGTAATCTCAGTATGTTGGGAGGACAAGGTGGGTGACAGCTTGAGCCTGAGATTTGGAGAACAGCCTGTGCAACAAAGTGGAACCCTGTTTCTATAAAACATAGAAATAAAAATAATGTTTAGCTGGGTATGGTGGCATGTGCCTGTCGTTCCAGCTACTCAGGAGGCTGAGGTGAGAGGTTTACTTGAGCCCAGGAGGTCGAGGCTGCAGTGAGCCATGCAGCCTGGGAGACAGTGTGAGATCCTGTCTCAAAAATAAGTAAATAAATAAATAAATAAATAAATAAATAAATAAATAAAAGAAGTAATAAAAAATAAAATTCTTTATGACTACTTATTTATTTATTTACTTATTTATTTAGAGGCAGAGCCTCCTGCCTCAGCCTCCCAAGTAGCTGGCATTACAGGCACCTGCCACCATGCCCGGCTAAGTTTTGTATTTTTAGTACACCATGTTGGCCAGGCTGATCTCAAACTCCTGACCTTGTGAACCACCCACCTCAGCCTCCCAAAGTGCTGGGATTACAAGCGTGAGCCACCGTTCCAGACGGACTTTATTATTTTAATAGAATGTCTCTCTTATTTACAGTGATAATTCTTGTCTTAAAGTCTACTTTATCAGACATTAATATAGACCTGCACATTTTTTATTGTTTGGTTTATTCTCCTGACATAACTTTTCCAAACTCTGTCTTTTATCTATCTGCATTTATGTATTTAATGATTATTTCAGTTTTTATTTCATTTGTATGTGTAGATAGTAGGTGTATATATTTGTGGGGTTCATGAGATATTTTGGTAGAGGCATGCAATGCATAATAATCACATCATGGAAAACTGAGTATCTGTCCCCTTGAGTATTTGTCCTTTGTGTTACAAACAGTCCAATTATACATTTTTAGTTATTTTGAATTATGAAATTAAATTATTATTTACTATAGTCCCCCTGTTGTGCTATCAAATACTAGATCTTATTCATACTGTCTAATGTTTTTGTACCCATTAACCATTCTCACCTCCCTCCAGCACCCCGCTACTGCCCTTCTCAGTCTCTAGTAACTATCCTTCTATTTTCTATCTCAATGAGTTCAATTGTTTTGATTTTTAGATCCCACAAATGAGAACATGCAATCTTTGCTTTCTGTGCCTGGCTTATTTCAGTTAACATAATAACCTCTAGTTCCATCCATGTTTTTGCAAATGACAGAATGTCATTCTTTTTATCCCTGAATAGTACTCTATTGAGTATACCACATACTCTTTATCCTTTCGTCTACTGATGGACACTTAAGCTGCTTTCAAATTTTGGCTACCATGAGCAGTGCTGCAACAAATATGGGAGTGCAGATATATCTCTTTGATATACTGATTTCCTTTCTTTTGGATATATGCCCAGCAATGGGATTGCTGGATTGTATGGGATCTCTATTTTTAGTTTTCTGAGGAACCTCCATACTGTTCTTCACAGTGGTTGTATTAATTTACATTCCCACCAATATTGTATAAGTGTTCCCTTTTCTCAACATCCTCACCAGCATTTGCTATTGTCTGGCTTTTGAATAAAAGCCGTTTTAACTGCAGTGGGATGATATCTCATTGTAGTTTTGATTTGCATCTCTCTGATAATCAGTGAGGATGAGCATCTTTTCATATGACTGTTTTCCGATTTATGTCTTTTTTTGAGAAATGTCAATTAAAAGCTTTTCTGATTGGGTTATTAGATTTTTTCCCATAGAGTTGTTTGAGCTTCTTATATGTTCTAGTTATTGACTGTCAGAAAGGTAGCTTGCAATATTTTCTCCCATTTTGTGAATGTTCTCTTTAATTTCCTGATTGTTTCTTTTGCTGTGTAGGAGCTCGTTAACTTAATGTGATCCCATTTACCCATTTTTCCTTTGGTTGCCTGAGCTTGTGGGGTATTAGTCAAGAAATTTTTACCCAGACCAATGTCCTGGAGGTTTTCCCCAATGTTTTCTTTAGTAGTTTCATAGTTTGAGATCTTTGATTTAAGTCTTTAATCCATTTTGATTTGATTTTTGTATAAGGTGAGAGATAGGGATCAAGTTTCATTGTTCTGCATACAGATAACCAGTTTTCCCTGCACCATCGATTAAAAAGACTGTCTTTTACCTAATTATGTTTTTGGCACGTTTGTCAAAAATGAGTTCACTGATCACGTGTGGGTTGTTTCTGTGTTCTCTACTCATGTGTTCCATTATGTTCCATCAGTCTATGTGTCTGCATTTATGTCAATATCATGCTGTTTTGGTTCCTCTAGATCTGTGGTATAATCTGAAGTCAGCTAATGTAATTCCTCCAGTTTTGTTCCTTTTGCTCAGGATACTTTTGGCTATTCTAGGTCTTTCATGTTTCCATATAAATTTTAAGATTGTTTTTCTATGTCTATAAAGAGTAGCATTGATATTAAAGGTAATGGCAAGGACTGCAATTCTTTTTGCACCAACCTAATATTTTCATAGAGATTGCACTGAATCTGTAGATTGCTTTGGGTAGTATGGACTTTTTAACAATACTGATTCATCCAATTCATAAACATGGAATATATTTCTATTTTATACTGTCCTCCAATTTCTTTCATCAGTGTTTCATAGTTTTCATTATAGAGATCTTTCACTTCTTCGTTTAATTCCTAAGTACTTAATTTTATTTGTGATTATTCTAAATGGAGTTACTTTTTCATTTCTTTTTGAGAGTGTTTATTGTTGGCATATAGAAATAATTCTGATTTTTAATATGCCGATTTTGTATCCTACAGCTTTACTGAATTCATCAGTTCTAATAGTTTTCTGGTGGAGTCGTTAGCATTTTCCAAATATAAGATCATGTCATCTGCAAACAAGAATAATTTGACCTCTTCCATTCCAATTTTATGTCCTTTACTTTTTTCTCTTGTCTGATTGCTCTAGCTAAGACTTTCAGTACTATGTTGAATAACAGTGGTAAAAGTGGGGATCCTTATTGAGTTCCAGATCTTAGAAGAAAGACATTCATTTTTCCCCATTCAGTATGATGCTATCTGTGGGTCTGTTGTATATGGCTTTTATTATGTTGCGGTATGTTCCTTCTATTCCCAGGTTTTTTAGGGTTTTTATTATTAAGGGATGTTGAACTTTATCCAATGCTTTTTCAACATCAATTGAAATGATTATATAGATTTTGTACATTATTCTATTTACATGATGCATCACATTGTTTGATTTGGATATATTGAATCATTCTTGCATCCCTGAGATAAATCTCACTTGGTCTTGGTGAATATTTTTAATGTGTTGTTAAATTTGGTTTTCTAGTGTTTTGTTGAGGATTTCCACATCAATATTCATCTGAGACATTGGCCTGTAGTTTTGTTTTGTTTTGTTCTTTTTCTATTGTTGTTGTTTTGGTGTTTCTTTGTCTGGTTTTGTTATCAGGATAATACTGGTTTATCCATAGTGAAGATTAAGTCCAATGTTTCTTTGTTGACTTTTTGTCTAGGAGATCTATCTAATACTGAAAGTACAGTGTTGAAGACTCCCATTATTGTTGTATTGGTGTCTATCTTTCTCTTAAGTTCTACTACTGTTTGCTTTATATATCTGAGTCCTCCAGTGTTTGATGCATATATCTTCTGCCTCCTGTAACCCATTATTTTAAACCGATGACAGCTTAACACTGATTGCATAAACAAAGACACAAAAGGAAAACTAATAAAAACTCTACACTTTAATGGCATCTCCACAACTTTTAATGTTTTGTTGTTTTGCTTTTTCTTATTGTACTATGTCTTCAAAAGTTGTTGTATTTTTTTTTATGGGTTCATCATATAGTCTTTCTACCTGTAAAAAGAAGTTTACACATCACAATTAGTGTTATACTAATCTGTGTTTTCCTGTGTGCTATTACCAGTGAGTTTGTGCCCTTTCACATAATTTCTTCTTGCTGACTAACATCCTTTTCTTTCAGATTGATTAACTCCCTTTAGCATTTCTTGTAGGACAAGTCTGGTGTTGATGAAATCCCTCAGGTTTTGTTTTTCTGGAAAGGTCTTTATTTCTCCTTCATGCTTAAAAGATATTTTTGCCAGATATACTATTCTACCACAGAAAGTTCTGTGGTAGAAGTTTCTTGTTTTTTCTTGTTGTTGTTGTTTTGTTTGTTTTTCTTCAGCACTTTAGGTGTGTCATATTTCTCTCCTGGCCTGTAAGGTTTCCACCAAAAAGTCTGCTGCCAGATGTATTGGAGCTCCATTGTATGTTATTTGTTTCTTTTCTCTTGCTTGCTTTTAGGATCCTTTCTGTATCCTTGATCTTTGGCTGTTTGATTATTAAATGCCTTGAGGTAGCCTTCTTTGGGTTGCACTTCCTTGGTCTTCTATAAGCTTTTTGTACTTAGATATTGATATCTTTCTCTGGGTTTGGCAAGTTCTCTGTTTTTATCCCTTTAAATAAACTTTCTACCCCCATCTCTTTCTCTACCTCCGCTTTAAGACCAATAACTCTTAGATTTGCTCTTTTGAGGCTATTTTCTAGATCCTGTAGATGTGCTTCATTGTTTTATATTATTTTGTCTCCTTGGATTATGTATTTTCAAACAGCCTGTCTTCAAGCTCACTAATTCTTTCTTTTGTTTGAGCTATTAAAGAACTCTAATGCATTCGTCATTATGCCAATTGCATTTTTCAGCTCCAGAATTTCTGCTTGATTGCTTTTAATTATTTCAATCTCTTTGTTAAATTTATCTGATACAATTCTGAATTTATTTGTGTTCTCTTAAATTTATTTGAGTTTTTCAAAAAACAGCCATTTTGAATTCTCTATCTGAAATATTGTATATCTCCATTTCTCTAGAACTGGTCCCTGTTACCTTCTTTAGTTCATTTGGTGAGGTTGTGTTTTCTGGATGCTGTTGATGCTTGTACATGTTCTTCAGTTTCTGGGCATTAAAGAGTTAGATATTTATTGTAGTCTTCACAGTCTGAGCTTGTTTGTGCCTATCAAACAAGCCTTGGGCAGGCTTTGCAGGTATTTGAAGGGATGTGGGCTCAAAGCCAAATAATGCTACAGGTTTTGTAGACTCATATAAGTATTGCCTTGATGGTCTTGGGTAGGATCTGGAAGAATTCTCTGGATTAACAGGCAGAGACCTTTGTTCTTTTCCCTTACTCTCTCCCAAACATGTGGATTGTCTCTCTCTGTCCTGAGCCACCTGGAACTGAGGGTGTGTTGATGCAAGCACCTCTGTGACCACCACTAGGAGGACTGCAGTGCATCAGATCTGAAGCCAGTACAGCACTTGCCTTGCCAAAGGCCCTTCCCTTCATGGTGGTGAGTTCCCCCACACTCTGGGAATGTCCAGAAATGCTTAAAACCTTAGCCATGTACCTGATGTTCTATTCTACTGTGGCTAAGCTGGCAATGAAACCATGATATGAAGTTACAGTGAGGTACTGTGATTGTTCACCTTAATTTTTGTTTTTGTAATGCTGTTTTTCTGTGTGTAGGTAGTTGTTAAAATTTGTTGTTCTAGTAAGAGGGAAAAGCATAGGCTTCTATTCTGCCATCTTGCTCCACCCCCTGGTTATGTCTTATAAACAGCACATATCTTAGACTTTTAAAAAATCAAATCTGGCCATCTCTGTTTTAAATGGAATTTTTAGTCTGTTTACAATATATTGTGTTTTAAGCCTATCATCTTCCTACTTATCTTTTATTTGTGCAGTCTTCTGTTTCTTCCTTTTTTCCTCCTTTTCTGAATTCTTTGTTGAATCAAATATTTCTTAGCATTTTGTTTGGCTTTGTTAATTTGATTTTTAGTGTACTTTAAACTTATTTTTTATTATTTTCTCAAGAATTTAAAAAATACACACTAAATTTACAATGATCTTTTAAGAATTATTATTTTATGATTCATTTGAAATTAATAAATTTTAAAACAATTGAAGAGTATTTGGTCTCATTTTTTGAGTTTGTGTTGTCATATTTCAAAATCTAGATGCATATAATCCCTATATCAAAACATTTATATTTTGTATTTCATACAGCTAGTTGTCAAATAAAAGCCTGAAATGCTCAGTAAAATTTTTCCAGTATTTCTGGCCATAATGCTAATGTCTTGATACATGAGAAGATTACAGTTTTAGTTCTAAATTTATCACTAGAATTGTGCACACTAGAGGCCACCTTATAAAATATATTTGAATTTCATAAAAAACACAAAAAATCGAGGAGAACCACATGCAATAACATTTTGGATTAAAATGTTTACTGTGGGCCAGGCCCAGTGGCTCACGCCTATAATCTCAGCAATTTGGGAGGCTGAGCAGGGAGAATCCCTTGAGCTCAGGAGTTCTAGTTCAGCCTGGGAAACATAGCAAGACTTTGTCTCTATTAAAAATCAACACAATTAGTTGGGCATTGTGGCACATGCTTGTAGTCCCAGCTACTCAAGAGGTTGAGGTGGGAGAACAACTTGAGCACAGCAGGTAGAGGTTGCAGTGAGCTGTGTTCACACCATTACACTCCAGCCTGGGCAACAGAGCAAGAACCTGTCCCAAAAAATAAGTAAATAAATAAAAATATTCACTTTGCTATTGCTTTTTGATATTCAGTAATAGAGATAAAATAATTAAAATTAATTACAAACCGTTTCCTCAGATTATGACCTAATGTAAAATTTTAAAACACATGGCTTGAGTCAGTTATATTAAATATTACATATTACTGTAGAGAGATATATGGTATATATGCTGCATGTATATATTAATTATACATAAATTAATTATATTAAATATAATTATAACATAATTATAATTGTATAACATAATATAATAAATATTATGATATAGCATTATCCAATATAATTAATTATATTAAATATTAGGTATTAAATATTAGGTATCAGTATTAAATATTAAATATTAGGTATTAAATATGCATTATTATATACATATAGTGTCTATATATACCTTATTTGTATGTGTATATGTTTGTGTACTGTGTGTGTGTATATTAACTATAATACTAAAAATTATATATATTCTAGTTGTGTTAATGAAAGAGTTAATATTATATGTTTGTTATAGTATGAAGGGAAAACTAACTTCACAGTTGAGAAAACAGAGATCACTGCAACCTCCATCTTCCAGGCTTAAGTGGTCCTCCCACCTAAGGCTCTCAGGCAGCTGGGAGTACAAGTATTTTTCACCATGGCCAGCAAATTTTTTGGATTTTCAGTAGAGACAGAGTCTCACTATGATGCCCAGGGTGGTCTATAACTCCCTAGCTCAAGGGATTTGAAGTTAGCATCTATTTAATGCTCATTGATTTAATGCTCATCAATGTAATGCTAAATCAATGTCTGAAAAAAATGCATACACATTTAATATGTACTCTTTTAAAAAATATGTTGTCAGCCATTAAAATTCCTCAGAGAAGCTTATAATGGACAGAATTAGTAAAATAGATATATATATAGAAATATTGAATTCAAACAAAATATTATTTGCTTTCATACTCATTGTTTAATGTAATTTATTTAGTAATTTTACTTTGTCAACATTTTTTTAAAATTTTATGCTGTTTTTCCCTTTTTGCCCTTGCAGTATTACAAACAAGAGCTCTTTAATGAATTGCATCTTTCTCTTGAATTATTTTCAGGAATTATAGAGTTTTCATTAACATTCTGATATAAATTTAGAAGAACTATATAGTTTTAGAAAACTTAAGAGAGAAAAAAGCAGAAAGAAGAATATTGTCTCTATAATAGTTAATTTAATCAGATTCCATAATTCACAAATTTAATTATAACTTTATTTTAAAGTAAGATTGCATTATTGTTATGTTTGTAACAATTAATGTTTGTTAGATAATTGATAATTAATGTTATAATATTGGTAATTATCAATAATGTAACAAATATTGTTGGTTAATAATATTTTATATTTAATGTCATATTACTAATAATAATTGTTAAACATTCCAGTGCAATAATTAATAATTTAAATAATTACATAATTGGTTAAATTATGTAAATTTACATAAGGCCAGACAATATTCTAGTGAATGAAAAATGAACTCCACTTCTTGATAGGGGATACTGCAAAGTATTTGTTGCAAACAAGGAATGAGTTAGTCTCCCAATTCACTTCCTGTCCTTAGAAGATTGGATACAAAAGGAATATTTTAACTATCAAACATTCAAAGCTTTTTCCCTACGTTGGTGAATCTTGACTTCATATTTCTTTATTTTCAGACTTATCCTTTTGTTAATAGACAAACTAAAATTACTATCAAGAATTTGTTTCAAGACATGTTTTCCTCTCCAGTCTCTCTACAAAGATTCTCAACCACCCTTGGAAAAGTCTCACCTTTTAGCTTTTCTTCCTAAGCCATTTTGGTCAACTGATGCAATTTACTGAGTGCAATTTCAATTCATTCACTGGTTTTAAACAGTGGATATTACAATAATCCTTGACAAGAACTTGAATTTTAATCTTTCCATTTATCTTCTTAGTCTTTTTTTTATGTTTTATGTTGATGTTGAGAAACAACTGAAGCTTTCAATTCTGAAAGTCCCCAAATTTCTGAAATATCTTTCTTCTCTTTAATTCCTGCTTGCAAACCAGTTAATACTTTACTGGGCTTATAACATTTTTATAGTAGCTTTTGAAATGCTACCAATAATAACTAACTCATGCTACTAACATGAGGTTTCTTCACTTGTTTTCCCAAGCAAGAAACTCATTAGGTGACAACAATCTAATTTATGATTTGTAATAGTTTCATCATGTTTCACCATATATTATATTGATTGACTTTGCTCAGCTTCCAAAAACAGTTTTCTTGCTTTCTATCACTTAAGAAGTCAGTGGCACATATTTGAGCATTTTTGTTATGGTACACCTTATTTCTAATTCAAGTGTCTATGCTGTCAGCATAGGCTGGGTTATGCTGCAGTAAGAAGCGCCTTGAAAATCTCAATGAGTATATGAGTGAATTTTTTTACTCATGTTACGTTTCAGTCAAGAGTCAAAAAAGTGCTCTGCTCTTCAAGGTCACTCTGAAATGCAGATTGATTATATAGACATCTTAACATATGATTTTATGATCATGAAGGCTTAGAAAAAAAGAGAACATGAAAAACCAAATACTGACTCCTTAAATTTCTACAATAGAAATTACTCACATCACAAACCTATAACGTAAACTCTCATCATTGCTATAATGTCATCAGTTATTATTTTTAATATCATAAGCAGGAAAGCACAATCTTTTAAAGTTTTGGCGGCCATACACTTATTGATGTCTTGGAGTTTCAAAGCAAAACAAGTTTGTAATAAGACACTCTTTGGTTGTCAGACTATCCCCTAAGTTACTGAAAGCCTTTATGCTTTAAATATAAAGCTTGAATAGGTCATTTTGTAATAATATAGCAATTTGATTACAAGTACTAATGCTAAGTTTGAATATGAATCTGCTATTGCTTCATAGCCAATTTCAAACAATTAGTACATTAATTTTGACTAGAGTCTCAGTCCCTGAATGTCTTTCACCTTTGAGATGCTTGACAGCCAACTTGAAGACCATGTTACTCTCCATGTTATTAGGCTTCCTGGAGCAAACTTCCATGACTACCTTTAATGAGAAAGAGATAGTGAGATCAGTAGTGAACTCCCTGGCACAGCCACCAGTTTGAGCTGCTGTGGTGAATCCATGTCCGGTCCACTCAGAAGAGCTGTATCTTTTCTGCTCGGAAGAGAAAGACCCAGCCTCTCCAGAATTTATAAAATCTCGTCTATTCATATGGATGTAACTAATAATTAATCCTCTTTGAAAAGGAGCTTACCCTCTTGCGTTCTACAGAATTTAGGGTAAAAAGACAGATGAAATAAAGTCAGCCTGTGCTATTAGTTTATAATTGATTATCTACTATTCATAAAAAAGTGCTCAAAGCCATTATTTTCTTAATGAAATCATTTGACAGTAAAACCTAACATAAACTGACATGAGGCTATTTATAGTCTTTATTCATCCCACTTAGCATGAATATTCAAGGATTCTCCAGTGCAGAAATATTAATGTGTCCTATTATAAGTTGATAAAGAGACCCCACTGGAGGAGTTACATAGTGTTTGGTAGCTACAGCACTTTGCTTTTTTAAAACTTAAAAATTACATAGTCCACAAAAGTTATTGTCTCAAAGTTTTTGAATATTGTACAAGAGATCTGTATGTCTATACCTTATAAGTATGTGCCAAATAGAAATAATGAACATTCTCAAAATTCACCTTAAATTAGGATATTAGGTTTTAAATAGACAAAGCAAGAAACAACTCAGTGTTCATCAGCTCACATAATAGCAATTCATTACAGAATGATTATTAATAGCTATGGCAAATTTTTACTGAGGTGTTGCTTAAGTTTTCAGTTTTGTTTTGTTTTGTTTTATAGAAACGTGGTCTCACTTTCTTGCCCAGGCTGGAATGCAGTGGTGCGATCATAGCTCACTGTAGCCTTAAACTCCTGAGCTCAAGCAATTCTCCTTCCTCAGCCTCTTGAGTAGCTGAGACTAGAGGTATCCACCACCATACCCAGCTTTTTTTTTTTTTAATTTCTTGTAATGTAGGGTCTTGCTATGTTGTGCAGGCTGGTCTTGACCTCCTGGCATGAAGGGATCCTCCTTCCTCGACCTCCTTGAATGCTGGGATTATCACTGTGCCCAGCCAACTTTTCAATTTTGTCACATATTTTGGTCAATTTAATTTAGATATTTACTTATTGACTTCTAAACATATTATAATTCTGTAATTCTGAGCTATGCTACTTAAATAAATAAAGTTTCTCAAAGAGTCTCAGTTTAATAAGAAATAAACATAAAATAGATTATTTTTCTACCATGTATTTCACAAAACCAGCTATGACGAAGCTCCATTTTCTAAAAAGGTTCCTTAACCCTTGACTGGTTAATGGTACAAAATGGCTACACTGCATTCCTGCCACAGGAAGAAGGGGTGGAGAAAGTCATACTCCTACCTTAAAGAGAAACTTCTTAAAGTTTCCTCATGGGACTTCTCTTAATATCTTATTTGCATTTACTTAGTCATAGTTACACCTGGTTACAGGGCAGACTGAAATATACAATCTTCTAGCTGGCAATGTGCTCAGCTAGAAATTGGGCTCAATGATTCAAGAGAATAGAGGAAATTAATGTTGGGAAGCAACTAGGAGTCTCTCACAAACCAACAGTAGGTGAAATTAATTGAGAATTCATTATTGTCAAAGCAAAATTAAAATGAACACTAAACATTTAAAAATCCTAAGTGAACAAAACTAATGAGGCCTTATTTCTGAGGGCTCTGTTCTGTTCCATTGATCTATATCTCTGTTTTGGTACCAGTACCATGCTGTTTTGGTTACTGTAGCCTTGTAGTATAGTTTGAAGTCAGGTAGCACGATGCCTCCAGCTTTGTTCTTTTGGCTTAGGATTGACTTGGCGATGCGGGCTCTTTTTTGGTTCCATATGAATGTTAAAGTAGTTTCTTCCAATTCTGTGAAGAAAGTCATTGGTAGCTTGATGGGGATGGCATTGAATCTATAAATTACCTTGGGCAGTATGGCCATTTTCATGAACTATCTGATCTTTGACAAACCTGAGAAAAACAAGCAATGGGGAAAGGATTCCCTATTCAATAAATGGTGCTGGGAAAACTGGCTAGCCGTATGTAGAAAGCTGAAACTGGATCCCTTCCTTACACCTTATACAAAAATTAATTCAAGATGGATTAAAGACTTAAACGTTAGACCTAAAACCATAAAAACCCTAGAAGAAAACCTAGGCATTACCATTCAGGACATAGGCACGGGCAAGGACTTCATGTCTAAAACACCAAAAGCAATGGCAACCAAAGCCAAAATTGACAAATGGGATCTAATTAAACTAAAGAGCTTCTGCACAGCAAAAGAAACTACCATCAGAGTGAACAGGCAACCTACAAAATGGGAGAAAATTTTCACAACGTACTCATCTGACAAAGGGCTAATATCCAGAATCTACAATGAACTCAAACAAATTTACAAGAAAAAACAACCCCATCAAAAAGTGGGCAAAGGATATGAACAGACACTTCTCAAAAGAAGACATTTATGCAGCCAAAAGACACATGAAAAAATGCTCATCATCACTGGCCATCAGAGAAATGCAAATCAAAACCACAATGACATACCATCTCACAGCAGTTAGAATGGCAATCATTCAAAAGTCTGGAAACAACAGGTGCTGGAGAGGATGTGGAGAAATAGGAACACTTTTACACTGTTGGTGGGACTGTAAACTAGTTCAACCATTGTGGAAGTCAGTGTGGCGATTCCTCAGGGAACTAGAACTAGAAATACCATTTGACCCAGCCATCCCATTACTGGGTATATACCCAAAGGACTATAAATCATGCTGCTATAAAGACACATGCACACGTATGTTTATTGTGGCACTATTCACAATAGCAAAGACTTGGAACCAACCTAAATGTCCAACAATGATAGACTGGATTAAGAAAATGTGGCACATATACACCATGGAATACTATGCAGCCCTAAAAAATGATGAGTTCATGTCCTTTGTAGGGACATGGATGAAATTGGAAATCATCATTCTCAGTAAACTATCGCAAGGACAAAAAACCAAACACCGCATGTTCTCACTCATAGATGGGAATTGAACAATGAGAACACTTGGACACAGGAAGGGGAACATCACACTCTGGGGACTGTTGTGGGGTGGGGGGAGGGGGGAGAGATAGCATTAGGAGATATACCTAATGCTAAATGATGAGTTAATGGGTGCAGCACACCAACATGGCACATGTATACATATGTAAATAACCTGCACATTGTGCACATGTACCCTAAAACTTAAAGTATAATTAAAAAAAAAAACTAATGAGGCCTTATAGCCTTGTAGCCTTAACCTTGCTTAAACTGCCAAGTGAAACTTAGTTCATTTCTGGTGTGTATGCTAAACAAACAGAACTTAAGCTCAGCCAGCAGCCAACTATCATATGATTAGGTGACTAGGGACGGTCCAACAAGACAAACCAAAAAAGGCAATTTTGTAACTGCAACCAATTAAATAATTTCTTTATTTTGCTTCCAGTATATTTATAGGCATTCATCCTGTAAATAATTGCCTCAGATGTTTTGTCATGGGGACACTAACCTCTTTTGGTTTGGTGTTTCCAAATTCATGAATTGCATCTTTATGCATTTTGTAGACATGATTTGGGGTTTCATTTCTAAAGTACTTTAGATTTTTTTTACATTACTAAACAACAGTAAATGAGAAAAATATTCTATTTATAAAAAACTATCGATAAATTGTTTTTATAATTCTAATAGAAATGCAGTATCCAATATAGGAAATTATGGTGCCAATCTACTCTGCATTTATAAGTCTATTCCTGACAAACTGTACTCAATTTTTGACAACATATTCAAAATGGGAATTTGAAAGATAGGCCTTATTTATTGAAGAAATGGAACCCCAAATCCATCTACAAAATGGATAGCTGGAATGAGTCTGTTTTAGTGGAGAAATGAAATGTTCATGGGACTGCTACCATCAAACTGAAAAACTATCATCTTAGTACATTCAGACTTCTATAACAAAATACTACACACCAGGCAGCTTATAAACAACAGTAATGTATTTCTTATAGTTCTGGAGACTGGGAAGTCCAAGATCAAGGTGAAAGCAGATTCAGTGTCTTGTGTGAGCCCACTTTCTGGTTCATAGTTGGGGTCTGCTAGCTGTGGCCTCATGTAGTAGAGGGAACAAATGAGCTCCCTTAGGCCTCCTTTCTAAGGACACTGAACTCATTCATTAGGGCTCT
Source organism: Homo sapiens (assembly GCF_000001405.40). Classification (NCBI taxonomy): domain Eukaryota; kingdom Metazoa; phylum Chordata; class Mammalia; order Primates; family Hominidae; genus Homo; species Homo sapiens. The sequence goes on along the minus strand of NC_000001.11, from coordinate 191,621,410 downwards.
GTCCTCAAGATCTATCACCTCTCAAAAGGTCCCACTTCCTAATAGTATTACATTGGAAGTTAGGATTTTAATGTGTAAATTTTGGGGGAGGACGCAAACATTCTGACTATAGAAACTATCATATGGATTTATATTTGTGTGACTCTGGAATATCCATAAAAAGAATTTTGATAGAGGCATATTCTAAGCATGGGTAAAGGTATTTATGGCATACTGTGTTACCAGAAGGCAAAGAAGTGATAGGGATGATAAATTGTTCAGTCAATGGAGTTTTTAAGCAGAGAGTGCATAATAATCATGTGTCTTGAATGTGAGCACACAGCAGTTGGTTAGAGAATTACACAATATCCAATGTTAAAATTACATGATTCATATTTTTAAAAGACACTTAAGCACTGGGTCAGAGTTTCTGAAATTGCAATATCTGGTGATTACCACCTTGGATTGCATTTGAAGGAGGCTAACAGCTGTTACTCTAATAAAGGGTTATATAGTCAAATTACTTTAGAAGACCCTGGGAGTTAACATCTTAGACCTTGAAGATGCTAATGAGCATTGTGACCCTCAAAAGGGGTTAGAGTATGCAGGCTTTTCAAACTATATTTGACTACAGAAAAAAAAATTACGTGCATGTTTTAACGTCTCCTATAAATAGTGCTTTACAGAAGGCAGTTTTAAAATTACTCCCCCCATAAATTCATTTTAATCTCCAATTGTCATGAATGTGTAACTTAATTCCAATTGGCAGCAACTGTCTCATTTCCAACTAAATCTTCTGAATTCTCAATTGGGTCTTTTTGTAAGAGTGAAAATGATTGGAAACCCGAAAATGAACACTTTTTAATACTCTCCTTTATATAAATATCCTGAAAGGTGTCTTTTTGGGTTTATTTCAAAAATATTACTTTTTGGAGGGACATTATAATATCCATACAAAAGAATTCATTTCATTTAAGTTCATTGAGATTATATGTATGTGTACTATAAACATATATAATATATACTATGTATGTACATATGTAATAATATACTAGAATATTATATACTATAATAAATTATACATACTATAATAACATAGTAGTATATTATTACATGTATAATATTAAAGCTAATTTCCTTCCCCTTTCCCGTGTTCATTGATTCTGAATTTTACATTTGTTAGGTATCAACCGTTGATTTACCAAAGAATTACCAATATATGACCTGATGAACAAGAGAAGTCGAAATTATGCCCAACCACAGTAAGGAAGGCCATTGTGCTTCATGGTGCCTAGGAAGGGAGTATTTATATGGTTTTTGTCATCTAATATAAGGTAGAGGGGGTTTTCTAATCTAATTTTAGTAGGGTAGTTGGGGGAATGCTGATTAGACTTGGACAAAGTTGGTGATATAGTAGTTAGGATTGGTGGACATAGGCAAGGTTTGTAAAGCAGGTGATAGAAAAGTACACACATATTTGATGAATCTAATTGAGTGATCTATTGCTCTGAGAAGGAACCCAGATGAAAGCATGCGGAATAGTCTATTTTGGGACAAGTAGATTAAAAGTTTCTGAAAGAAACAATAAAGTTATCTACAACTTCATTTCCTAGGCAAGAATTTCCTGGGCTAATTAAGTCATATTAATTTAGAGAGTAAAGCCATGGCTATAGATGATTTCATTTCTCACAGGTAAAACTTAGAATTCCACTAGTTCTTGGCCCTAGAAAATTATATGTTGAGAAGACGAGATAAGCTAATTTAGCATTCCTCTCTTTTTAAAAAATTATATAACAAACTTTCATCTAATACTGTAATTTAACATTATAAAAACTACTATGTTATTGTTCACATTTTATTGAATTAAAGATGGAATCTATGACATATATGATGTTCCATAAATAGTACTTGAGCAATTCAGTTTTAAAAAGTGCTGAAATTTAGTTTGCTTATCTGAATTTTGCAAATAATGAGTGGGTAAGAAGCTCCAAAAAGCACTTTAAAAAGCTGATTTTTAATAATGGTGTTAAATGATAAAAATATTGTGCTTTTTATCCTTATCATTTATCATGTTCTATAAGGCAGAATAGTTCTGGTTTGTTAAACATTAATTAAAATCACAAATTTGCTTCCTGCTAGTATTGATGATGCTTTAGTTGGTGAATTATTCATGATAACTAATAATAGTTTAGTTGCTTGGTTTCTTTCTATTTATTATGCATGTAGTACATCATTTAGAATTTTGATCCTTTGCACATTAAAATCCACATTTACCTTTCAGCCCTTTATAACACTGTATAATCTTTCTTGTTTGAGAGGCCTGCTAGATGACTTTATACATAATCACAGAAGTTTGCTTAGTACTTAGTGCCTTACATTTCTGTGTTTAGAATAATCTATGATAACACCAATAGCTAGCCTATTGACTAGCAAATATATCCCCTTATGAGAGACTTTTTTTTTCTTCTTGGCTATAGTGCCAATTTTGATACCTTGAAATCAAGTTTGTTATGGTTATTCATAACAAAAGGCAACAAGTTTATAAAAAGTGTTGAATTTACCAAACTATTAACAGACAACTTATTAAAAATGCAAAAATAAACTAATTAGAGCTTACTGCAGAACAGAGTGAGCAAGGCTTAGAAGCGATCCAGAAGGAAGCAGGGTTCAGAAGAGGCCTTTAGGGTCTGACCTGAAGTCTCGTAAAGTAAATCTTTCAAGGAGGGAAAATGACTGGGTTTGAGCAAAGTTCATGATATAATATAGTTTAGGACTGGTGGATACAGTACAGGGATGGTGTTTAAGTAAGTATACTGTTACTTAGCAAGTGATACTTGCTCACATGAGAATATTTTTATCTTTGTAAATTGATCTCTAGGAATTTTCTGAAGCAAAGAGTGATTTGTTGGTTTACAGTCTTATCTTTCCCAGGCAAAACTTTAAGCCACATTGACACAGTCTCAGTTCCCAAAGCCAACTAGAGCAAGAAATAGCAAGTATTTACTAACTGGGCCTTGTGTTTTGCTGAGTCTGTAAAAAATTTACTGCTGTCTTCATGCTTGACTCAAGACCTAATGTAGGATCAGCTCCAGCATCTGGCGGAATTTGGATAAATGTCAACTGTTCTGGCCTCAAAGGACAAGACCATTATTTATTCACTTTTTCATTTCTTCATTTAGATGTTCAAAAAATTGTCGTAATGGTTTATGTTGCAGGAATTTCTATTTATTTCTGGAAACACAAACTATATGAATATAGGTGTTTTTCTCCCATTTTCATGGAACAATATTATTTTGGTACCTCTATGTTGCATAGACATAGACATCCCAAGACACCAACTGTAACACTCTTTAATTTCAGTCAAGCTTTGAATTTGTTCACCAAAGGAAAATTTAGCAAACATTTATTGCTTAAGTTGTAATACTCTCTAATTCCTCCTTATATTTCTCTTATCTTGGTTTTTATCTCAGACTCCCAAATCTCAGCCTTTTAGGCTGCAGTTCTGATACCTCAACCAACTCTTGCTAGTTCCTTTTCTCAATTCTACTCACCGTGTACCCAGTCACTGGGTGGGCTTCTGTCAAAAACCGGGCCTCTATCAGAACTACAATGCAGATGAAACTGTTGCCTTTGATCTTATTTTTTATACCATGTCTTAGCTTTCCATTTTCTGTTCATCTTGGACCACTGTTCATCAAGCCCAGCCTTTGCAGCTGAATAAATTGCCCAGACTATAACTTTCAGTTAGTGAAACCTGGCCTTTCTGAGTTTCTAATGTTTTTTCCTCTTCTAGACCCTTTGTGGTAACCTAGACCAAACATAGTTTCTACCAAAGTGTATATTAGTTAGGGTTTCCCAGAGAAATAGAGTCAATAGGAGAGGTGTATGTGTGTGTGTGTGTGTGTTCATGTATATATATATATAGAGAGAGAGAGAGAGAGAGAGTGCAAGGGCACAAGGCATAAGACAGGATTTATTATGGGAGTTGATTCACTTGATTACTGAAGCTGAGAAGCCCCATAATATGGCATTTGCAAGCTGGAGAAGCAGAAAAGCCAATACCATAACTCAATCCAAATCTGAAAGCCTGAGAACCAAGGTTGCCAATGGCGTAACTCTCAGTATGAGACTGAAGGCCAGAGAAACTGGGGCCACTGGTGTCCCCTGACCAAAGCCCAGAGAGATCCCTGAGCTCTGATGTTTAAGGGCAGGAGAAAATGGGTGCCTCAGCTCCAGAACAGAGAGCAAATGTGTTTTTCCTCTGCCTTTTTGTAATACCCAGCCCTCAACCAATTAGATGGTGCCCGAACACACTGGGTGAAGGCAGATCTTTCTTCCTCAGTCTACTGACTCAAATGCCAATTTCTTCTGGAAACACCCTCACAGACATGCCCAGAAATAAAGCTTTACCATCGATCTGAGTATCCCTTAACCCAGTCCAGTCGACAACTGAAATTAACCGTCACATCAAGCCTACTCTTACTATGAGAGATTATATTCAGGAAAATACAGACTATATTCAGGAAAAGAGGCTTGAAAATGGGTAAAGAAGTGGCCACAGGAATTAGGAATTTAAAAGAATAATAGTAAATACTAGGAACAACTTTTTATCCTAATCAGATCAGCTGAAACAGTTTACATATCTAGTAAAATTTTAATTAGGTAATGCATATGTCTTGATTAGCAGTACTTTTAACAATTCCATCATATTTTTTCCAAGTAATTTATACTAAAACTTGGTAGCTATTTGTTTATATGGTAATTATAAAAAAACTAAATGAACGTTTGAGATTTATTGTTTGATAAGTCAAACAATTGTTTGATAACATATTACTCATTAATATATTATCAAAAGATATTTGCAGGTGAAATCCTACTTTCTGATTTTTTTTTACCACTGAACTTTCATTCTAAGGAAGGTTATTACCATATTTGCCCTAAACAGGTTGAACTCATTTACACTTTGTTCATTAGTGATGCTCTTCTGCCTGCTTAGATCACCAGATCACTAGATCACTTCTCTTCTCTTTGGATAGCCATGTCATTCAAAGTCACATAATTATTTTCCAGCAAATATCTACCAAACAATGTTAGGCCAAGTTAAGAGGAGCAAAGATGAAGTACAGGATTCACCTTCCCTCTTCTAAATTGGATTTTCCATGTCCATGTAGAAGAACATCCAAAGTATACTCTTCCCTTAATATCTTTTTTTTTTTTTTTTTTTTTTGAGACGGAGTCTCGCTCTGTCGCCCAGGCCGGACTGCGGACTGCAGTGGCGCAATCTCGGCTCACTGCAAGCTCCGCTTCCCGGGTTCACGCCATTCTCCTGCCTCAGCCTCCCGAGTAGCTGGGACTACAGGCGCCCGCCACCGCGCCCGGCTAATTTTTTGTATTTTTAGTAGAGACGGGGTTTTACCTTGTTAGCCAGGATGGTCTCGATCTCCTGACCTCAAGATCCACCTGCCTCGGCCTCCCAAAGTGCTGGGATTACAGGCGTGAGCCACCGCGCCCGGCCAATATCTTTCTTTAATACTCTATATTACACTGATTTTTCCCTTTGCTTGAATCCTCTAGCTTTTAAAAATATACTAAAGAATTGAGAATTAAAATATACTTTGTTTTTTCTCACTTTATTTAGCATGCCATAGCCATGTCTCCATAACCAGGTTCCTGGAGAACAGGAAGTAAAGTTTTCTTATATATTCCCTATGGCATATATCTCAATATAAGTAGTATATACTTCATAAATAGTTTGTCAGTGAGTCACTGATTGATCAAGGACTTGTTGACTAAAGCAACAATTTAAGCTGCTTACTTTATTATACAGGAGCATCAGACACGGCTGTAAGAAAACAAAGGGCCCAGATCACTCCTGTGATTGCCTCTGAATGAATAAAGCAGTTAGCTCCAGTTCAGCAATCCTCAGTCCACTTTCGTATTCATTTTACATAGCTTATCCACAGGGCATTCAATATTATTTCCTGAGTAGAAAAGTCAATATTTTAGAAATAAAAATTCACCATGTAATTCAAAAATCTGTTCCCATAATCTTCAGGGACTTGTCCTGCCGTTTTTACATGCATAAAACACATTAAAATCATTTGGAAGTAACACATAAAAGTGACAAATTGCATCATTGGGCCAAGTAACTTCAGGCCTAAAGCCAAATATAATTATAAAACACTAGAAGCATTGGGATATCACAAAGCGTTCAGAAGAATATTCCATATTTTTTTCTTAGCAAGGATTTTCAGTATGTAATTCATGAAATGGTCAACTATTAATGTACTAGTGAAAAATAGTATATTCTCATGAAATTAAATCTAATTTACATATACTTTGCAAAGCACTTCAGCCTACATAGGTGGACTCCTTGAATTATATAAATTACTGATGCAAAGTCAAAACAATGATTATTGCTTATTCCCCTTCTCTAAAGGACTGTGGGGCTAAGAAAGGAGAAAACTGTGAAGTGCAAAGAAACAAAGCCCTCAAGAACTGCTACGATTGGTCACATATCACTGTGTTGAATAGAAAGGCATTAGTATTTGTTAAACAGTAAATATTGATCAGAGGTCCTCATCCTCCTTGAATGACTTGACCACACCATCTTCCTGGAAACACTTTCTTCACTTGGTTTCTATGACACACTCTGAATTTCCTCCTATTTCACTGGCTATTCTATCATAATCTCTTTATGAAGTGTCTCTTATGTGCTAATGTCTTACTGTTAGACTGTGGAAGCTCAGTTTTTTAATCTATTATATATCGATTCAGTAGTATAATAGTATATACTATTCTTTGTTACCTCATCAAGTTTCATGGCCTTAAATACCATCCTCTACATTGATGACCCCCAATTTTTAACTGTAGCTCAATTGTCTCCCTTGTACCCAACCTCCATGTTTTGAGTAGTATTTTCAAATTCATATCTCTCAAATGTGGCTCCCAAACAACATCTCATTTAATTGCAAATACAGTCTTCCTGGTCAGGCCAAAGGTCTTGATGTAATCTTTGACTTTTCTTTCTCTCACATTTCTCATTCAATTGATTGAATGTCAGTATGTCATAATAACCTATGAATATAACATAATATTCCAAATATTAACATTTCTCAATACCACCACTACACCTTCCTTCATCTAAGCCACCATTCCAACTGGCTGGGTAGATCTTTACAGAGGCCTAAAAAATGCAGTACAGGCCGGGCGCGGTGGCTCACGCTTGTAATCCCAGCACTTTGGGAGGCTGAGGCGGGGGGGGGATCACAAAGTCAGGAGATCGAGACCATCCTGGCTAATACTGTGAAACCCCGTCTCTAATAAAAATACAAAAAAAAAATTAGCCAGGAGTGGTGGCAGGCACCTGTAATCCCAGCTACTGAGGAGGCTGAGGCAGGAGAATAGCGTGAACCCGGGAGGCGGAGCTTGCAGTGAGCCGAGATTGCGCCACTGCACTCCAGCCTGGCCGACAGAGAGAGACTCCGTCTCAAAAAAAAAAAAAAAAAATGCAGCAAGTAGGAACCCATCATCACTCTGACCTCGCTGTTTACTATTGTACTATTGGTAACCCTGGCCCACACACACAGAACTCTTTGCTCTTCTTTCGAAACATCAGTTGTATTCCCCAATTAGAACTTTTGTAGTCTTATTATTATTATTATTATTACTATTATTTCTGCTGGAAGCTATTTTACTGCTAAAAACCCATGTCATAAAGTTAATTTCTTCTTCTTTTAATTCTTTGCTCAAATGTCATTTTCTTGGCTGCAGATCTCTGAAATATCTATATAATACCATAGAACCAAAGCCTGGCACTCCCCAACCCACTCCAGGATTTATTTACAATTCCCGCCTGCAGGTGCTTGTGGTATACATTTGTGCCTACCTTTCATGAGACATGGTTAGAGAACTGTATTAGTCTGTTCTCAAGCTGCTAATAAAGACATACCTGAGACTGGGTAACTTATAAAGAAAAGAGATTTTATTGACTCACGGTACCGAAATTTATTTTATGGTCAAGCATATGCCTTTTCTTGGTGAATGTTTTATAAAGACTTGAAAATTATGCTTATCTTACAGTTGGCATTTTATAAATATCAATTTGTTTTATATTGTTGTTCAAACCATGATAACTTCTGTCTACATTTCTACTTCTTATCCCACATGTTGAAAGAGGTGTTTTTAAAAGTCTTAACGTGTTTCTATTTCTACCTTTAGTTCTGTTCAGGAATTTATAATCTGAATTTAGAAAATCTATTATTAGAGGAATATGACTTTGTAATCTTCATGTCTTCTAATGAGTAGGAACTTCTGTCGTTGTAAAATGTATTTCTTTATCTTTGTTAATACAAGTTATCTTTGAAATCTACTTTCACATTGATAGAGCCACATCTGATTCCATTTGAATGTTTTCAGAATATATCATGTTTAATATTTTGAGTCTTAGACATAATTCATTTTGTCTATTTTTTGTTTTGTTCTCTTTGTTTAATCCAGTCTCACAATCTCTGTCTTCTATTTGTTGTATTTAGTCTATTTCTATTTAATGAATTACTAATATTATGGCATTTAAGTTGATTTTGATATTTATTTATTTATTTTTATTTGTCCAATCCATTTTTATTTCGTTTCTGTCCTTTTCTTTCTCTTCCTTCTTTTAAGTCAATACTTATTTTTTTAATTTTTATTTCAATTTATTCAATTTTTTTACTATGTATTTTTGCATTACTTTATTAGATTTTGCTCCAGGGGTTATGATATGGCTCCTTAACTAATTAGTCTACTTATAATTTATATTGAATTATTTCAGTTAAAATATACTATTTTTTAGAATAATACAATTCTATCTACATGCATCTATTCTGAAAAAATATTATTTTGGTAAATAAGCTGCAAAAGCATCAATATTAGCTTTTATTTGAAAAATTTCTTTTAAAGAAATTAGAAAAAAAATATATAATATTCTTTTATATTTATCTGTATTTTTTACCATTTCTGGGGTCCTTCATTTCTTCTTATAGAATCAAGTTCCCACATTGTATCATTTTACTTAAACTTGAGATTTAAAAATATCTTTTTGTATGTAGGTCTTCTGGCATCAAATTCATTATACTTTTGTTTATCTGAAAATGTTTCCATTTCACTCTTACATTTGAAAAATATTTTTGCTGGATATTTAAGTTTTGGTTGGTAATTTTTCTTTCTTTGAGCACTTAAGAGATGGCATTCTGTTTTTTTTAAGTCTTAATTGTTTATGGTAAAAAAATTATCTGTCATTCTTACTTTTGTAAACTGTATGATATATCCTTATTCTTCAGCTTCTTTCCAGATACTTTATTCATTTTTTGTTTGTAGCAGATTTACTATGATATGCCTTAATGTAGTTTTCTTTTTTTTATCATGCTTGAGATTCACTAGTTTTTCAGTATTGATAGATTAGTGTTTCTCACTGAATTTGGAGAAGTAAATACTTATACACACACACACACAAGTACATACACACATTTGCATATATGCATAGAAACATAAATATAATGATACATACAGACATACATGTTATATACATATGTGTTCCATTCCTGTTTGTTTGCTTTATTTAATTTTCACTTGTTCTTCTTTATCAAAATATTCTGGAAAAGAGCTTCACACAAAATGGGGTAAATTGAAGTCAAACTGAACTACTGTACTCTGGAGAAGAGTCTGATATATGTAACCTAACCTAACCATTCATCCATTTTTACGTTAATCATTAAATAGTTAATTATTTAGCATAAATTTTACTTTTATTTTAAATTTATTCTAGAGAATATTAGAATGATTCCAGTAAATTTTACATAAGCAAAGAGTTATAAAACTTCTACATGATTTTATATATAATTTTTAATCTTTAAAATGCTATACTTTTCTCTAACAATTTGCAATTGTATTTTTCATTATATCTGACACAATAAATTTTATATAAATACAAGGAAGAAGTACAAAATGTATGAACTAGTAAATATTCAAAATAGAAGTCACTTGTTTACAGTTTGTAAATAATAGAAAAATTTTTATTTCTATAAGGTGAAAATATTATTACCATATTTAAACATTAATTATAGAAGATAACTACTATTATTACTGGATATTTATCTTAAAACATCTTTTGTACAGCAAAACATGCCTCTAGCCTATCTGCATACAAAGTATGTGGATAAATGCATACAAAGACTTTTAGAAAAGTTCTAATTGCTTTCAAAGGAACAAAAGAATACTCGTTTAGTGTGTTTGTTTCTGAAGACCTAATAATAACAGCTTGCACATTTTAATTCAAAAGTTATTGAGTCATTACAATTATTTGACATTGTTGTATTTTATATAGGTTCTGCCTAGAATAGCTCATATTCACTTAATTAAAGCAAAAAATAAAAATAATATTTTGAATCTTAGCAAGATATTATTCGTATCAGTAACAACAAACATCATATAATCATTTTAGTTTTGATTTACTAAGGTGAAAAATTAGTCTCTATTAGTTAAAAAATAAGAAAGGGGGATGTCAGAAAATAAAAGCACAATAGCCAAAGCTATCTTTCATTTTTTTTGCATACTGGAAAATAAATAAAAAATATTCCTTCTAAAGTGTTCTTTCAATCCTGAGGACTATTTAAAGTGAGGTTTCTAGTTTTTAGAAAGGTATTTTCTTCTTGGTAATAATGTGTTTATTGAGTATTGAAAAAAACAGTAGACTGAAAATCATGACAGTAGATTATAATAGTCATAGCTCAGTCCTGATTCACTATGAGACGTTAGGGAAAATCTTTTAAATTTGTAAAAACTTTCTTTCTTTACTAGAAAAACATCAAAGTCATAGTTTAACTCAGAGACCTTCAAAGATTTTTCCTTGTCACCAAAGTAAAAACATTTTGCATGCTACCTTGAAATTTTTATATATATGTATATATGATTTTTATATAAAATTTTTATATATTTATATTTTTATATATAATTTTTATATAAAAATTATATATACATATATAATACATATATACACAGATATAAATTTCAAGGTAGAAGATATAATTATATATAATATATAAATTATATATATTTTTATATATAATTTTTACCCAAAATAACATTATAGCATATGATTCTCTCTAACCTACTTATTCTGTTCAATTTTTCTTTTTAGTGCTAGTCAGAATCTAAAATGCATGAGCTATTAACTAACTGATAATTACACAGTTATGTACCACATAAGGGTGTTTTGGTCAACCTTGGAGCACAGCATTTCCATAGGATTATAATGGAGCTAAAAAAATTCCTATTGCCTAGTGACATTGTAGTAGCCCTGGTAACATAGTAGCACAAGCAAGACCTTACCTTTTCTATATTTAGATATATTTACATATGCAAGTACTTACCATTGTGTTACAATTGACTACAGTATTCGCTAAAGTAACATGCTGCACAGATTTGTAGCCTAGGTGTGTAGTAGACTATACCATATAAGAGGTTTGTGTAAGTACATTCTATGATGTTCACACAATGAACAAAATCGCCTTATGTCACATTTCTCAGAAAGTATATTCATCTTTAAGCAAAGCGTGAGTGTAATTTGGAATATATTAAATCAGGTGATCTCTCTCTCTCTTATTTTATTTTATTTTTTTGAGACAGGGTCTTGCACTGTTGCCCAGGCTAGATGGAGTACAATGGTGAGATCACTGCTCACTGCAGCCTTGATCTCAAGCAATTCTCCCACCTCAGCCTCCTGAGTAGCTGGAACTACAGCTGTCTACCACCATGCCCAGCTAGTTTTTGTATTCTCAGTAGAGACAGAGTTTTGCCATGTCACCCAGGCTGGTCTTGTTACAAGTAGTTAGGCATGAGTGAGGAAAGAGAGAGTTCTTCTCCCCACCCACTAGAAATGTCAGGTGATGGTTAGGCAATCACATTGCCTCTCTAAAAGTGCTAAATTGGCAGCTAGGCCTGGGGAGGCCATTTCCTGATGGTCCACACCCATTAACATTAAAATGTTAATTGATTTCAGGCCCCAGGAAGAAGCAACTTCCTGGGCATGCACATTAAGAGACAAAAATGGCAAAGTATGATCTTCCAGGTACACTGTCACTCCAAGTGTCAGGTTCTAGCCTAAGCTGAGGAATGTGTGGTGTGACTGGACATGTGGCAGGCAGCTGAAAGAACACTCTTGTAATCATAAGGAGTTTCAACATGGCTTTATTCTCTCTCTCTGGGCACAAGTGGTGTGCAATCTCTCTCTCCCCTCATCTGCCTGCAAGGCGGTTGTCTCTCTCTCCATGGTCACGGGGGATTAATCTATCACTGCCCAGGTTTCCACCAAAGCCCATCTGAGCAGCATAGCTGCCAATGGGTACTATAACCCACGTTGCAGCCACATGGCCAACCCAGAATCAGTGGGGACCGAAGGCTCACTCACCTCAGTAATCGTGCCGACTACACCAAATGTCATGCCAAGTTTCAGGTTCTGGCCCAAGCTGAGGACCGAGGGGAGTGGGTGGACGAGTGGGGGCAGCCAAAAGAACACTCAAAGGATCACAGAGAGTTTTGACATGGCTTTATTCTCTCTCTGGACACAAGCCTTGTGCAGTCTTCGTCTCCCCTTGTCCACCTGCAAGGTGGATGGCTCTCTCTGTCTTTTTCTGTCAGCCTTTATCTCGGCTACTTGCTCTGGCAGCATCCCCTCTCAGCAGCCAGCTTTGTGGCTCCTGCCCCCCGAATGCCTGCAGCTGCACTCCCTGGCACACTCGCCAATTCTTGGCTCCCTGCTGTCTGCCTGCAAGGTGGCTGGCTCCAGCTTGGCTCCATTATGCCTGTGCTCTCACAGTATTGGTGATGCATCTATGCACCTCACAGACAATAGTGGCTCAGAGCCAGGTGATGAGCTTACACAAACAGGTTACATAATGGGTAGAGTTGTGCACCTGCACTCCAAACTCTCTGAGTCATCCTGGACCAGATGCCTGCCTCGGCCTGTTCTTGATTGCAGCACATCCATTTTGCTTACATACATGCTACCAGAAAAGGGAAGAAGGCCTCAGAAGGGCATGCCTATGACCCCTTAAATACATTGCCTGTGCTCAATTCCCAAGGGTAAGAAAGACACTGCATGCAGAAGCCCACCCTAAGGGAAGAATGATGGGAAAAAAGTGAGCCTATAAAGTTCCAGGATAAAGTTCCTATAAAGTTCCAGGATGAAGCCTATAAAGTTCCAGCCTATAAGGTCACTCCTGTTTTCTCTCTTTGACCTTCAGGCACCCACTTGTATCTCTTCCAAGGATTCTTTTATTTTTTTTTTATTGTTCTGAAGCTTTAAAAAGCTTTAAAAAGGAAGTTAATTAAAATTAACTTCCACTCCTGCTCTGGAACTCACCTAGGTCTCTTTTTTCTGCTTTATGCCCCTCAGTCAAATTCTTTCTTCTGAGGAGGCAAGAATTGAAATTGCTGCAGACGTGTATGGATTGGGGGATGGTGACTTGGATCTCTTCCACCACTAACAGTCTGGAACTCTTGGGCTCAAGCAATTAGCCCACCTCAGCCTCTCAAAGTGCTGGGATTGCAAGCATGAGCCACCACACCTAACAGTGATATCTACTGTCTCACAGCACTAATATTTGATAATTCTAAACACACATATTTTTATTATACCTTAGCTCCATGCACTGATTTGGGCTAAGTTCATAAACATGTTGCTGATAGAATTCCCTAGAGATCCTGCTTTAATACTTTAACAAAAACAGTGTGCCATTAACAGGATTTCTTCACAAATGTAATATATATTGTCAAGTTATTCTTAGAGAAGATAAAAACTTATCTCCTACACCCTTTAAACATTTAATCTGTTTGGCAAACTTTTTTGTATATAAATTGTGCAAAGATGTACTTTACATCCTGCACAAATTAACTTATCTTCAGGGAACAATGTAACTAAGTTTTATTTTATTTGTGGAGTTTGGTAGTAATGTTGATTCAGATTGACTCTTTAACTAAGAATTCTTTAATACAATTATTGTTTTTGTTTCTTTATAATGTGTTATTAAAGCTGCTCAAATTAATTTTTATTGTTTATCATGTTTACTTCATTTTAGTGAGCTATTAGTATAAATTTGTTTTAGGTAAAAATAGGGGAAAATGTAAAAATTAAAATTTTTCTCTATTAATATATAATGCTAAATTTTTCCAATTAATTTGTAACTTTTATCAGTAATATGTATAATATTCTCCCCCACCACCGTTTGCTGTAAGAAGTGGCTGCTGTCCACAGACTTCCTGACCCTCCCTATGGGACCTGTGTTTATGGGAGAATGATATTTCCTGTCTCATTCATTCTCATTTATAACTACTAAGTGATTACACTGAAAAGGTGTTTGAGCAACAAAGGTTGTTTATTATTCAGGCTTGGGGCAAAAAATAAGCTAGGATATGGCCTTCAAGGCCTTTTGTTAAAGGACCTCAGTCAGTTAAGGTGAAACCCTGAAGACTCTCTCAGTATTAACTCAGGAAAAGAAGACTGAAGACAAGGTTCTCCAACGAACATCTAATAAACTCTAGGTGACCAAAAATAAGGAGGGAAAGACAGGCAATTCCCAATGAAAATTGTGAGTATCTAAGGGTAGCTTATCATAATTCTTTAAGCTGTTTATTTAAGTGTTTTTTGTATGTATAAGTTTTCTAAATTGAATTAATCTAAACAAAACATTTAAAAAAGACTTTGATGTTATTTCTAGCTCTGTAAAGGTTATCAAAAAGTATGGTAATTATTAGGTTAAATCTTTCTTTTTTTATTAGAAATTGATAAATTCCTATCCCACATTAGGGTCTAATGCATAAAAAATATATAAAGGGAACTTCTTAACATGTCTTAAAAATACAACTTTAAAATATGAAAATAAACCAGTTTCTTTAAGTACAAAAGCAATAAGTCCTAACTTTTAAAACTATGTTTTGAAAGTTATAATGTACTGTTAAGTATAATTCTAAATTTTAATATATAGCCTTTCTAAAACAAAACAGAATATAACATTTTAAATTTACCATTCAGAAGTCAAACTTCCTATGTAAATAATTATAGTAATTTAAATAACAAACATGATTTATTAATTAGGAAAAGTCTGACATATGTCCAAATGTTTTAAATAATATTATGCATCAAGTAATATTTATTAGTTTACTGATTTATAACCAAAATGTTTTGGATAAAACATTTTAGATCAAATGCCTAATCAACATTTGACAAGGTTTACTGTTATTTCTGGTCTGTGGATATTTCTAATGGTGTCACTTATCTTCACTCACTAAACTCCAATCTCATGGATCGTTCATGCTAAGCCCTCAACTCTTGCTTAATCCATTGATAATATACTCTTATTATGATACATGGAGGCACAATTAGTTTGTTCATTTATTTGTATTTTAAAAATTATCTTTCTCAGCAGAAGCTAAGTTCCCTAAACTTATGATCAATTGTGTCCCATTCTCTGGTATTACTTCACCACCTCTATAGTAGGTCACAACATTCTAGCTATGCTTTATTGAACACTTTCTATGGTTTAGACACTCTTATAAGCTTTGTATGTTTTCATCTTTTTTCATTTTTATAGCATCCATAGGAAATGAATAAAAGGATTATTATCATTTTAAAAAAGCAGAAAACTGAGAAAGGTTGTCATTTATCTGGTATTTCATAACCAGTAAGTAGCAAAGCCAGGATTTGTTCTCAGTTTAGTGTTAAATATCAGTTGCAATAATGAATATAATATACACTAGATTTGTAGTATAATTACTATATGGAGATGTCAACAAATATAATATCATGTGCCAGCAAAGGTTAAATATATTAATTTTACAAACTCTAGTATTTAACATAGATGTGTTTTATTTCATAATTTAAAAATAATTAAATAGCATTTTATCGTGTGTTCGATAATGATTTTAAAAACTAAATCAGTAAATACTGGAAACACTTCTGCTTGAATTATTCTGGAGAAAATTCTCATCACAAGACTGTGAAGAATATGTCACAGAGATTAAGCATGTTATTCTAGCTGACACATTTTGATGTGCTATCAGAGTAAAACAAATTTAAACCTAGCATGCATTCACTGTGGTTTGGCTCTAGGTAGAGTGGGATCTGTTTTACTACCTGAACTTACATTGAATATTGATTGAAACAAATATATGTGATTACATGTGAAAGCTTATTTGAAAAAAATAAGTGAGACATTTTTTTCCTTTTCACTCTCTGCAGAAGAGAACAGGTTTTAGATGGAGATCTCTATTGGATGGAGATCTCTATTGGATGGAGATCTCTATTCCAGAAAAGGTGTCAAGTAAACAACTGGCTTCATAAGATTGAACTTGACTGAAGAGATCCAAGTTGCAAAAAGGACTCACTTGAATATAGATAGGATTTAAATCCAAAAGGATGGTGAACAAATTATATACAGGATAATACAGACCTTTGAACCACACCTTGGAAGTTACTTAGCAGCTAGGAAGAGGAAACGTAGGTGGAGGAGGATGTAGAATCATGAAAGTGCTTTTAAAAAATTAAATGCAGATAGGAAATTCTCAAGTGTTTTGAGTGTGAAAATACAATGTAAATATGGTGATTATAAAATTATATGATAATTTTTATTCTAGAGGAGCTTAGAGCCTACTAACAAAGAGAGGACACACACAGAATGATAAAAAACAATTACCAGGCAGCAATAATAACTTTCAAAAAACAATCTGAAAAGCATAATTTTCTGGTAATTGTATTCAATAATACATTTTACATTTAGTCTTATTTATGTTTTTACATTTAGTCTTGAGTTCATATTTTATTTAGCTCTGATGACTGGCATTTTTTAAACAACCAATTTCAATACTCAGGTTGTTTTGTTAGAAACCATTGTAGCTCACTGTGTTAAACAAGATTTGTTACCTTTCAAAAAAAAGATCTTCTAATATTGATAATAGGACAACTTTTTATAAAGGCTTTTACCTTATCAAGAGAGAATAGCTCACTGCCTTCAAGTGGTTAATAGCACACATAAAATTATTATTCCTTCAGGCATAAAGCGTTAGGATTCTGTGGTGGTAGATACATGAGTATTCCACACAGAAAATACACCTGTGGGTGACTTACTTTGAGAAGAAAAAAAATACACTGAGGGTTGGTGAAGTGGATAAAGAAGCATTAAGCACTTTGGAGGCAGCCAAGAACAGCAAACAGCAACACTTTTGCCCACGATGGAGAGTTCAAGCCACATTTAACAGTTTGATTTTTTTTCTTTCTTTCTTTGAGACAAAGTCTTGCTCTGTCACCCAGGCAGGAGTTCAGTGGTGCGATCACGGCTCACTGCAGCCTCCATCTCCTCTCAAGCAATCCTCTCATGTCAGTCTCCCAAGTAGCTGGAACCACAGATGCACCACCACACCTGGATAATTTTTTGTTGTTCTTGTTAGAAAAGGGCCTAGGCAGGTTCTTGAATTCCTGGGCTCAGGTGATCCTTCTGCCTTGGCCACCCAAAATGCTAAGATTACAGGTGTGAGCCAGTTTTGTGATGTTTTACATGAGAAAATGCAACACTGATGTTTAATAGATGTGTTCTTAAAAACAGAAGATATATATGCCCACATACATATATGTATTTGTGTATATATGTACAAAAAATCCTCACTTAACATCATGAATAAGTTCTTGGAAACTGCAACTATAAGCAAAATGACAGAGAAGGCCCTCAAATAACATTGTTTAGTTCAATGTTGTTTTGTTATAATGTTTATGACAAAAAAATGGTTTTAGGATACATTATTTTTCTTAAAGTTGTAGTTTCCAAGAACCTATCAACAAGGTTAAGTGAGGACTTCCATTATATGTGTGTATTTTTGTGTGTATATATGTGTGTCCTATTCTAATATACAAATTACCAATATCCTATATACCAATTTATGGGATCCATATATCATATATTGAAGAAGGATTATTTTGGTTTCTTTACAATAAATTAACAGTATTAATTTTAACTCTGAAAAAAGTGCCAATATAATTTTAGGGGTTGTGTCTATATTAGTAAGTATGATGGGTGTTACTAAGTATAGCAGTATAAAAATATCTGAACTTAGTAAAATTATCCAAGCATTAAAAGCATTAAAATATTTTTGAAATGGCCATTTTATAGTTGATAATAGGTATCAACTGGGAGTACTGAGGTAAAGGGGCCCAGACCACAGTATTTTTTTATTCAATAAGCTCAAGTTGTACAAAGGTTGTAGGATTTTGAAGTTTTATTTCCTTTTAATAGAATATGTGCAAACTGATTCAAATGACAATTCCTTGAATCTTTTTTTTCTCCCATCTGCTTATGGGGAATAATTTTTCTCCACCAAAATGACTGAGGGGATATATACCTGACTAATTCTTGTACAAACCACATATCCAGAGAACTTTATAATCTCACTTCATGCTCATATGTTGTGGTATGATGTCATGGATGAGAGAGGAGTCATAGTAAGTTTGACTTGTATTCCTTTTGCATTTGTTTCTCATCATCCCATATTAGGCAACAATATCCTTTTTGCTTTTCACAAGATGAAAGTATTTTCTCTACTCCAAGTTCCAATTTTTTTTTTTTACCTGGTCATGAGTATTAAGTTTGAATCTTATATCTTGTGGCCTCTTCTCAGTAAGCACACATTGACAAATATTTGCATTAGTGCAGAGCTAGAAGAGAGACCTAGGAGCTGATGGTATGTCTGCCTATGATGTTACTGTTTTGTTTGTTTTTTTTTTTTAATGAGATGGAGCATCACAAAACGCCCATTATTGTGAACCAACTAGTCTGCTGCAGTACAGTTCTGACACTAACTACCTGCAGTTAGCATATACCTCACAAGCTAAAGAGCACAGTCCCCAACATAACTGCCCTCACTTCAAATGTTAGGTGCATTTTGAGGTTCCTCAGGCCACCTGCACTTATTATCAATGGGCCATGAATTCTGTGTTTCCCACATTTCCTTTCAATTTCATAATTTGCTAGGAAGACTCACAAAACACAGAAAAGTATGATTACAGTTTTATTATAAAGGATACAAATCAGGACCAGCCAAATGAAGAGACACACAAGGTGAAGGTTAAGTCTGGGAGGGCTTTATATGCAGAGCTCCCATGCCTTCTTCTGTGTAGCAGCCTCACTGTCTGGGATATCACCTGAGATTCTTTTTCTCATGGTCATGGAAATCAAAGATGCGAACACAAAGGGCGAGGTTACAGCAGAAGTTCAATAGGTGAATGGAGAAGAACAGCTCTCTGTCACAGAGAGAGGTCCCAAATGGGTTGCCATGCTGCAGTAAAATGTAAGGGTTTATATAAATGAGCTAGTGGGGAGGGGGTATCTTATCTACATAGGGTGCAAAAACCTGGTTAGGACCAGGTGTGCCACCAGCATAGAGCAGAGTCTCTGTTTCTAGCACCCTCGACCTCACTCTTTTATCCTGCAGGTGGGCTCTTAGCTTGGGCTACTCCATGCTGCTTATCCTTGCACCGTGCATCTGCTAAAAAGGGGAGGGGGAGTTTCTATGCCTGGTCCCAGGTACCTCCTTGTAGCTGCAGGCATGCCTCCATCACCCTGCAAGCTTTCGGCGTCCCTATTTTAGTGTGCCCAAAAAAAGGGAAAAGAATGTGCTCATTAAGACCCAGTGTTTTTATTGGGACCCATCATATGTATGTGAAGTTTCGTGATTACCCAGGAAACTCTCCCTTTGTGCTGGAGTTGCCTATCTGTGTTTTACAGCTGGATCTTCCAGGCTGTTCTTTGTTAGAAGTGATTTCTTTGAACTGCGTGTGGTTAGAAAGACAGTAATTTCTGAGCTGCTTCTTGTTAGAAGGAAAGTTTTGCCAGGGTCTCTTTCACCCTAACTATCTGCCTAAATAATTTCTTTCTATCTCCTGTATCACTTGTGGAATTAGGAGGCATCACTGTCATGGTATATTGATTTTGTTTACCAGCCAGGAAGTACCACTGAGCTTCCATATCCAGAATTTTTCATGGGCTTTTGCTATGTAGGTATGTTTGATTTAATCATTGGCTACAAGGCTGAATTCAGTGTCCTACCTCTCTACTTTCCCCGGAGGTGGGGCTGGCTCAAAGCCCTAACTCTGTAATCACAGGGTTGGTCTTTCTGATGACCAGCCCCCATTATGAGGTATCTGTTTAGCATACACTCAGGTGTAAGCCAACAGACTAATAAATAACAATTCATAATTTATGTAATTAATCCTCTATCGATGAACATTTCACTTGCTTCTGATTTTCTGCTATGTATTAACAGTGCCACAGTAAACATTCTTCTACATTCCAAAAAAAAAAAAATAACAAAGACAGTCCTATTGTCAGGGTGTAGGTACAAGAATTTACTTTTCCTCTCAGGCATCAGGGACAAAGGCCAAATTTTCTCTCTGTCTTTTCTCTCTCTCTCTCTCTCTGTGTGTGTGTGTGTGTGTGTGTGTGTGTCTGTGTGTGTGTGTGTGTGGTGAGAACACTTAAGTTCTATTCTGTTAACAGATTTCAACTATACAATCCATTATTACTAAGTATAGTTACCATGCTGTACATTAGGCCTCCAGAACTTATTTGTCTTACAACTGAAAGTTTGTTCCCTTTGACCATTTATTCTTTGAATACATTTATTCATTTATTTGTATCTTTTATTCTATGAATAAAAATATTTTATATAATAGGAATTTAACCTAAAATAATAAGATAAGAAAGATTGAAAAAGGCTTGAGGAAACATGGAGCCGAATAGGAAAAACAGATAGTTTCTACATGCTCTAGGAAGATTCATAGTTTAAAATTCATTGTTATAATTACTGTGTACACATTTCATGCCACCCTGCCTAACAAAGATGAATGCTTTTCAATTGCAACACAGTCTAGGCATCCCTCCTCATTGGTTGGAATAAGAAAGTTGGCAGGTGAGATGAAATGCCTTCCCCAATAATGTAACAAGAATTTATAAAATTTTGCTTTTGATCATCAGAAAAATGGATTCATGTTTTAGGCTATGAAATAACTCATATTTTCACTTATATATCTGTAAATTATTTTTCTGTCATTAAAATAGCATTCATGTGCTATTATCCACAATAAAAAATAACAATAAAAACTGTAATCTATATATGCTTGCATTTACAAACATTGCAATGCATTGCTCCCTCTAGCAATTATATATGTTTGTGTGTATATATATGTGTGTGTGTGTGTGTGTGTGTATGTGTATGCCTTTATCATCCATGTAAATGTAACATATGAATTTTTAAAAAATTCTTAGGGCACAATCACTACATTATATCAGGCTTATGTTGTAGAACATGCATTTTTGATGTTGCCAATTATTTAACAAAGCTGTCTATAATGTGCACTTTTAATGCTGGATAAAAAGTCAACGGAAGTTTTCAGATACATTACTGAGAAATCAAACCAAGAAAAAATGCTGTTGTTTATTGTTGACTTTGTGAATTTCTTCTTTACATTAACCTAAACTCATACTATTTTTGCATAACATATAGATAAATGATAAGCATTTTCTATATTAAAATGTCAAGTCCTCTTGAGGTTTTAATCCATTTTCAGCAGAAAGAGATATTTTAGACATTATTTTTTAAAGTCAGATGGCACAGTAATTTTCAAGGGGGAAGCCAAAGTAACACATCACAAGTAGAGCCACTTAACCTGACCCCAAGGTCAGGTATACCTTCTTTGGAAGGTATACATTTTGCAGAAGTAGAATATAATGAGATAAACATGAACTAGAATTTTAGTTTCATAGAAAGTGTTATTACATATGCAACATTGGAATGTGTTTTTTAAAACATTATGGATCCAGAATTTTAGAATGTAAAAAAATTACCAGGCATGCTTTTGCAAACCATAGTTTGTGTTGCCTTTACCCCAGAAACATGGATTAAACAGAAAAGTGGTGAACTCTAAAATCTGCATTTTTTTAAACAACATCCAGAATGACTATGATACAGTCAGACTAAGGCATGCTTTAATAACCTGTAAAATATTTCTAAATTTTCTATACAAGAAGTGTGGTACAGATCTTTACTGATGTGAAAAGTAAGGACTCTCTATCAAAATATTTTTGAGAGATGAACAAACATTTAAAAATATATTTAAAAAGTTGTTTATGTTCATAAACCATAGTCCCTTTAACTGTAACTTACCATTGCCAGGAAACACATACCTAAGCTTGGTATATTTTTGAGAAAATACACGGCTTTGCTGAATGAAATATAAGTAAAAAATGTTAGTAAATGACTTCACATGTATCCTTGCCTATTTAATTCTGTTAAGTACTAGATATATTTAAAAATGAAGATGCGCTTTGATGGGTCTATACAGTCTATCATTTCCAACATTGTCAACAATTTTGCATGATCAAGCTCTATATTTGTTGCTGCTTTCTTGTTTGTTTACAGCATTGACAATAACAGAGAAAGTTTCAGAGCATGTATATGTACTCTTGGTAGGTCACACTTGATACCTAGTCTCTTACAAAAAGAAGAAACAGAAGCTGTCCTCTTGAAAGATAAATAATGACAGCATTTCTTAAAATCACCTTGTAGTAGTAGAAGGAAGTCAGAGTCTGTAAAATGAATGTATTTAGGTTTCAAACCTAGGAGAAACATACATTGTCAAGTAGTACCTTTGGGAACTAGTTAGATAAAATAACATATGAGTATATACCAATAGATAAAAACATACCAACAGTGGAATTCGCTAGTGAGATTAAGAAATAGAACAGTTCCAGTTTATTAAGTTATACTACATTTTAGAGACATGTTTAAGTGACAACAGATTTACGTATTAGTCTTTGAACCAAAAATCAGCATAAGTGAAAGCAAAATGATTCAAAATAATTTTGTGATATTTTGTACTAATTTACATTGTTTATATACTTTCTGTCTTCTGGGTTACATAATTCATCTACTATCAATATTTCATGATGAAACTAGAGATAAATCACGATATCTACCCAGATACAATGATAAATGAAATAGCTTAAATCAATATACTCAGTAGAATAAGTAACTTGCTATTTTTAAGGCAAAAAAATGTAGCTGGGAAGAAATATGTGCTGTTATTTCTTGCTTAGAATTATTTAAATCAACTAATTGGTAGTAAACTTGGCCTTTTCTACTTTATATGTGTACATATATTCATATTTAAGTTTGATGAATATTATTGGCCCTTGGAAAAATGGAAATGGATTTATTATTGCTTTAGTATTGGTCATGTTTTTGTAAATTTAGGCCCTCAATTGATAATTTTTTTTTCCCAGAGAAAAATAAATGAGCATTCCTTCCAATGTAGAGGGAATATGAGAATATCCACAATATTTTTAATAGTAAAAAAGTACTTCTCAAATAACTTTTTTTTGTTTGTTTGTTTGAGACAGAGTCTTGCACTATCACCCAGGCTGGAGTGCAGTGGTGTGATCTCAGCTCACTGCAAGCTCTGCCTCCCGGGTTCACACCATTCTCCTGCTTCAGCCTCCCGAGTAGCTGGGACTACACGCACCCACCGCCGTGCCTGTCAAATTTTTTGTATTTTTAGTAGAGATGGGGTTTCACCGTGTTAGCCAGGATGGTCTCGATCTCCTGACCTCATGATCCACCAGCCTCAGCCTCCCAAAGTGCTGGGATTACAGGCATTAGCCACCATGCCTGCCCCAGTAATTCTTAGAATAAGGAGTTCATTTTTTGTAAGGGAGCTCATTTTATTGTTGAATAGATCTAGCATGGGAAAAATATATTTGATATCTTCAATGAATTTGTTTTTTTAATGTATTTATTTTTGTTGTGATTTCTGGAGTAAAAAATGTGTGATGTTTTCTCCACCATTCATAACTAGCCCTTCAAGGATGCAAAAATGGCTTTTCTAGTTGTTTTACTCTCACAGAACAATCTTCTAGTTAGAAGTATAGCCCCTGATGATAGACCCCACTATAGCATTTTAAACTAGGATCCTTAATTTGATAGCTAATTGACCTTTAATGGGTTACTTTATAGCTCTAAACGTGTTTTCTATTTTTAAAATGAGAATAGATTAAAACATTTTACATCCTAGGAAATTTGTATGTATAAAATGACACACACACACACACACACACACACACACACACACACACACACACACACACACCTAAAACTAAAACTAAACCATGGTAGGGAATATAAACTCAATTAATATTAGCTTCTATGATCACAATTTAAGTGAGTTCACATTTCTCTCAACAATAATTATAAAATATTTTACATACCTTGTTAAAATAAAAATAAAATGTCTCTAACATCTACTTCCATTTTCTACTTTCTGTCTTGTATTCATCTATCAAATTCACTTGATTTTTCTGGCACCATATTGATGGCAGTGACAGCCCATCTGAAGTGGCCTCTTACATGATGCTGGTTGCAACTGGGGAAGTGCAGACAGGGCTTCATGTTCCATGGATCCAGCTGGAGCCAGGAGCCAGGATCAGGATCCACTTGAAAGCCCAACCCCTTTGAAGTTGTAGGTTTGGGACCTGCCCTCTCGGGTGCAGCTGCAGCCACCAAGTCTCTGCTGCAGGCATGGGCATCTCTGCACTCTTGGAGGCCCAGGTAGCCCCCCAGCTCCCTCAGGCTCAGAATGCCTGCATCCACTGCCTGGCCTCTCCCTGCTCCCAGTGCCTGCTCTGATTTTTAAGCAAAGTTGTGACTTAGCCCATGCACTGTGACGACCTGGCTAGGTGTGTATGCCCTCGGGACAGCGCCGACATGCCAGCTCCCTGCTACCGTTCCCCTCTGGACTTTGGGCACCAATAAGCATGGGAGGGAGGCTGAGGGGGAGGGGACTAAGGGTGGATCTCCACCGGCCTGCAGGCACCCTTCAGCATGAACAGCCTGAGTGCTGTGGACACCGTGGATAGCAAGTTAATGATAGCAGGAGGCAGAAAGGCTCCTGGGTGGAAAGGAGCAAGTACCCCATGAAACTCCACCTTCAAACCAGGGACAGCTTGAGGCCTGGGGGCTGGGCTGCCATTTCCATGGACCGGAGTGAGAACATATGGTGCTTTCTTCAGGCCTACCCATTGCCAGCCATAGACCAATCAGCATGCACTTCCTCCTCTCTGAAGCCCATGAAAATCCCGGACTCTGGCCGGGCGGGGGCAGTGGCTCACGCCTGTAATCCCAGCACTTTGGGAGGCTGAGGCCGGGGGATCATGAGGTCCGGAGATCAAGACCGTCCTGGCTAACACGGTGAAACCCCGTCTCTACTAAAAATAAAAATAAAAATAAATAAAAAATAAAAAATTAGCCGGGAGTGGTTGCAGGCGCCTGTAGTCCCGGCTACTTGGGAGGCTGAGGCAGAAGAATGGCGTGAACTCGGGAGGTGGAGCTTGCAGTGAGCGGAGATCGTGCCATGCACTCCAGCCTGGGCGACAGAGCAAGACTCTGTCTCAAAAAAAAAAGAAATCCTGGACGCAGCCAGACTCTGGCAGATGATAGGACAACCTGCCTTCAGAGAGGAGCTACCCACTGCGGGTCTCCTCTGAGCTGTTCTGTCGCTCAGTAAAGTACACCTTTGCCGTGCACACCTCCCTCTTGACCACATTCCTCATTCAATCTGGACACGGGACAAAAATTCAGGACCTGCCAAATGGCAGGGCTGAAAGAACTGTAACTCAAACAGGGCTGAAACACACTCCTTGCTTGCCACATTGTGGGCAACAAAAAGGAGAGAAGAAAGAATGAGAGAAGAGCTGTGGCCCTTCAAGGATCCCAGACCTAGGAGCTCCCTGAGTCATGGCTGTTACACTCTCTTTGGGGCTCTGTGGTTCCTGGTGTCTCCAAGCTGCCAGGCACCACTGCATGTCCCAGTGCCAGCCATGAAAGCAGCTTACAGTACACCTGGTCCAGCTGCAGACTCACAGGGAGCCATCACCCATGCCAGTGCCTGGAACTGCCCACCCAACTGAAGCCAGCATGCCTGGTCATGTGCAGTGACCAGATCCAACAATTGCTCACAAATATACCCCTCACAGCTCTGCTCTTGGTTTTCCCTTGGCGGGCATGGGATCCAGGCCGGTGCTGTGAGCTGAGTGCAGCCTGCCAGACCAAGTGGGCGGGATGAGTACAGGAGGCCCCAGCAAAACTCAGGCAAAGGCTCCACTGGCCTTAGAGGTTTACAGCCAGAAAAGCAACACCTCAAGTACCCTGTGACAATATAAAAAAATAAAATGAATTGTCAATACTTATCTTTAGTTGTCAATGCTTGTCATAACAATACTTTTTGTTCTGAACTGTGATTTATTTCACAAAGTATTTCCAGATAATGTCTATTAATGTGTTCTCAAACATTGCTGGGACTTAGCATCAAACTTAACAGTGTCCCGAACTTGTCTTACTTACTACTTCATAATATTAAAACAAATGTACATAACTCCCAGCTTCTAACAGTCTTACATATCTGAAGTACATAACAATTAATGTTACTCATAAACTCAGATGAATCAGAGAATATTTTGCAGTACCAAAGAACAAATACATAGAAATACTCTTACATTTACCTATTAATAGTATAATATTATGGGAGATAAATTTTATAACTAATTACAATTTCATGAGACAAGTTCAGTGAAATTCCACGTTTAAAAAGTGAAAACTTCAAAATCAAATGTTAGTTAAAAGCCTATAATTTTTAAATAATCTCAAAACTTATCAACAGTCATTTATACTTGTGACTAATTGCCTTAAAATTTGGTTTCTCTATTCTTTTTTCGATTGTATTATTTTCTCCAGAATTATCCAGAGATGAAGATTATCCACCTCCCCTCCATTACCATTTTATACTCAAGGTCTGATTGTAATATTATGCAAAATAGAACTCACCAAAATAGCTGAAATAAAGAGAGGTCACTAAATAATGTGTCCCAAATCACTCCAGATGTGGGAAACTTCCTTTGAAATGCCAAATGCATGATTTTGAATGCCCTATTAATATATATTTAGTGGGTTGATGAGTTATAATATAAATTGTGAATTGTTGGATGTGTTCTTCAACTTCAGTTCTAATTACAACGTAGTCAACTCTTGATTATCCATTGTAATGAAGACGTGAAATGTAGAGATAAACAAAATCTACAGATTTTTCTCACACTTCTAAAAACCATTAGTTTTTATTGTTTTTGCATGCAACCTTTATTTGCCCTCCACATTCTCTTGCCTTCTAAGCATCCTTAATTAAGTAACAAAATAAACTGAAATTGGACAGGCATATGTTAGTATACGTCTGATATTTGATAAAGAGTAGCTAAATTTACAAGGTGTTAGCTGAAATTTCTGTGTCCCTGTAAAGGCATGGAGATTATAAATAATAAATGAGATTGTTCCAATTATGATTCCATTGTTCATTCATTGTTATGTATAATAATATGACTTATGTACTCATACAAATAATCATGACTATTCAACATACATGCAATAGATAGATAGATTTGTCCCCTTTATACAGTATTAGAAATTTGGGTGTATCTGGATCTGTACTCCTCAAATATTTTTCTTTTTGTTGTTTAAGTCAGTTGACTATCTGGAGTAAAATACCCCAAGTCCAATTATGGGATAAACCCTAAAATAAGGCTAATAGGTTTAAAGAAAATAACATAACTCTAAACATGTCTACATTCTTTTTTCTTTTGGAACTAACCAGTCACTGGGGGTGTGGCTAATATTTTAATACAAACATTTTTCAAGGCTTAATTTCAAAGATTTGGCTAGCTCTTTTAATAGTCGAGAGATCAGGCAGGCATTAAGAGGTCAACATTCATTATTTTGCTGGAACCTGTTTGTATGGGTTTCTGAGAGCTGATTCCTATTATTTCAGGAATTTTGCCAGCAGCTTGTTTAACATTGGTGGCTTAAAATAGACAGTGATAGGAGTATTTACAACACCAAAATTTGCAAAGGCTAAAAATCTGAGCTTTTTGTTGTCTAATTTATTTTTTGAGAGTCCATTACCAATGCACACACCTGTCAGCATTAGGCTAATTTCTTACTTTTATATGGCTAATGGGGGAAAATTTTAAAGGGTTGACCTTGAGGGTGAGGAGAAGGAAAATAATTAATATTATTCTACACAATAATAGGAAGAATCAGGTTCTTTGTAGAACCAGACTTGTAAATTCCAAATTACACTTAAGGGATTTAGCAAATGTTATGCTTCCTGACCTTGTGTCACAGTTTAAATACCAATTCTTTGTTTCTCAGACCTTGTACTCCTGTCTAAAAAATAAGGTCTTTGTCTTATTCGCTTTTCTCAAGACTCTGTTTCATAAGTTCCATGCAGTTAAGATCTGTGTCTGTTACGTTTAAAGCCCATTATTATGTCTTCAGCAACAAACCCAATTCCTTGAATGTAGTAGCCATCCAAACATATTGATGAATGAATGAATCATTTGCTCAGCACTAGATGCTCTGGGTTCTAGCCTAGGTTTTGCAAGCCTCCTGGCAACTAACTCCCAAGAAATGGATTCCTAGCTCCAATACTAAACTATCTAAGATTTATTTTAAAAAACTCATCTGATTGAAATCATCTGCCTAATACTTGAAGCTGTTCCTCTGTAGTGCTGGTGTGAACAGCATTCTGTTTCCTGTGTTCAGTATATTATTACTTATTTTCCTACTGGCCTTTTATATCTCCTTGTGTCTTTATATGCTTCTCTCTAGGAGTCTGTTTTGTTGCTATCTTCAGACACACCCTAGGCTGCTTGATTGATGACTATCCCTCCCAAAAGAAGAAAAATTAAAAAGAAAACAAAACCAAAATACGAATAACAACCATAAAGCATTTCTATTTTGTTCAAGTAAATAATGCAAGAAAGTCACAATGTTACTATATACATCTTAAGAAGAAAATGCAGACTTTCTTCTAGTGATACTGTAAGTCTATTTTTCATTGAGAAAAATGTTCAGCAGCCAAGACATGCCACTTGCCACCCTACTGAACCTTCATTGGCTTTTCTTTGCTCCTCTGCAGGCTTTACAAGACTGAAACCAAGCTATCACTTTTGTTATTGCTACAGAAGTGCCTAGGTTTTTTTCTCATCCCCAGTTACATGACACATAATTCCTCATACTGCGCATCTGACTTGATTCTGGAAACTAAGGAGTTTCTCATGAATTGTGTCACACTGAAGTAAGCATGTGAGAAGCAGTGTAAAGGATTTCAGCTTCAGTAAAAGGGAAGTAAGTGGGAAAGAAGTGATTGTAAGTGGGCAAGAAGTCAGCAAGATGTAAAGAAGAATGTCATATGTGTCTATAAGATAGAAAATATAATGTTACTAAATTTGATTGGCTGGGCACAGTGGCTCACACCTGTAACCTCAGCATTTTGGGAGGTCAAGGTAAGAGGATCATTTGAGCCTAGGTTTTGGAGACCAGCCTGGGCAATATAACAAGACTTTCTGACTACAAGAAAGAAAAGAAATTAGCCAGGCATCATAGTGCACACCTGTGGTCCAAGCTACTTGGGAGACTGAGGTGGGAAAGATAGATTGAGGCCAGGAGATTGATTGAGGCTGCAGTGAGCCAAGATCAGGGCACTGCATTCCAGCCTGGGCAACAGAGCAAGACCACGTCTTAAACAAACAAACAAATATGTATATATTACATTGTATTCTTGTTCTTCAACAAATATGTTCTTCTACAGTGTATAATATACAAAAAATCTAATCTAAATATATATTTACATATTTATATTTAAAAATATACATCTCATATTTATAAAATTATACATATTTCTATATAAATAAATTTGATTATAAAGATGTAAAAAACATTACAAGAATATTTGCCATGCCCATTTTAAAAAGACCATTTAAACCTGCCACAATGTAAGAAAAAAAAAGGAGAACTATTTGAAATAACTCATAAATAAATAAATATGAGCTACCAGTCTTGCCAAGAAGTACTGGAGAGCATATGCTGACTCTATACCATGTCTTAACACAGAGCACGATGGCACTCTGCTCCCATGTTGAAAAATATCTCGGAGCAGCAAAGGAAAAATCTGTAGAGATTTGGACAAACCAATCACAGCTGTGCCAACATATGGCAAGCTGATTAACGTGTGTGTCATTAGTAATAATGAACGATAAGAAAATGTTATGCAAATAAACTGTTTATTTTTAAAATGTAGGTCTTTCCAAATTTATTTTTTAATTTTTTGATCAAAAGATAAGTAAAAATATAAGAGCCTTAAATTTCAAAAAATTCCAATGAAGTGTGTAAGGTAATGATTAGGATATTCAAATAAGCATATTCTGAATCATGACATCCGAAGACTTTCTTCCTTTAATGGGCGTTTGTGTCCTTCAGAAATGACCTCTCATGGAGGCCTCTAGTATTTGGCATTTGTAAAATTTGCCCCAGAAATGTAAAGTATAGTGTTTCTCTTCTTTGATGCTAATATGGGTAATGACTGAGATGACTTTATTTTTTTTCTCAGCGGTAGAGATCTGAACTCTTTGGTATTGAGACAGATCCATTCAACAGCAAAGAGGAAGACCTGCCTTGAGAACTAATGCATGCATTCTCAAGGGAGGAAGTATTGCCCCAGGGGAGCATAACTAGTTCTTGGAATAAAAACAAATCTTAATTATTACAATGGCTGTGGTTTTCCAAAGAACCACCCTAAATAAACGTATATATGGTATATATGTGATAGTAAAACTTCGTGGAAGTTGGGGGAGTGATTAGGAAGAAAAAAAGTTTAACAAGGCCTCCTTAATGGGTGATAATATGAAAAAAATAAGGTTTATTAACTCTGGGTTAAGGTATTCCTCGTTCCAGATGGGAGTTGTCAATCCATGGGACTAGAACCGGCTCTCAGAACCTAAATGAAGAACAAGAATACAGTTGCACAGCTGGGAGAGCAGGTGAATGTGTAGCAGGTATTTATTTGGAGTTAACGGTGTGGTAGACATTTAGAAAGTAAAATGCACAAATCAAGAATCTCATGAAATGAGGGAGTACAGTTGCCATGTAAAATGCAGCAAACTCAGTTAAATTTGAATTTCAGATAAACAACAAATAATTTGGGACATATTTATACTACAACATTATTCATTATCTTAAATTCAAATTTATCTCTGCTGTGTATTTTTATTTTAGAATTCTCTTAACTCTTTTCTGCCAAAATGCCAGTTTTCCATAGGATAAAGATGAAAATAAATCAATGATCCTAAAACCTTGTGTTCTATCTAAATGTTCATGGTTTTTCAGAAGGCTCTATTTATTCCCAAAGTTAATATATAAGTTAAGTTACTTTTCTAAATTGAAAAAGTCTAAGCTGCTAATCTACTTCGTTTTCCCCCACAATCTTCTCTCTACCTCACCATCCCTGTTACCTTGGATCAATCTCTCTCTACTGCTATAGAAACCACTTAGAAATAAAAATACATATGTACATACAAAAGTACGCATAGCTACACGCACTTAAATATTTATAATCACACCACAAGGAACTCTTAGCAATCCTCTCTGTTAAGCAAGAGGACAGAGAGACATTCCGTTTACTCCTCATCTACTGAAACATTGTTACAAATTTGCATTTGGTTGAAAGGTAGACAGACAGGTAGATAAATAGCAGAAAGAAAGTAATAGCTAGGTCTTGTCTCTGATCCATTGATAAATACATAATACATTGTCAATCAGCTGACAATTTTCCTTCACTCTAATACCTCCATGAGTTATGAATTTCTTATCATTAGAAAATCATGTATTTTCATAGGCCTGGGTTGTTCTCAGACTTTGAGAACTGCTGTTTTGCCGTTTTCTTCATTTGCTCCTGATATATTTCTCCATGTCATTAATTATTACTAATATTGAGTTATAATCAGCTCTTACTGCCTGTAGTCTGAGGACTTACATGACTGTTAGGAATAATAACATTTTCCTAAAACATGCAATTTAATGTGAAAATAAAATCGCTGATTGAGAGTTCAGTCTGAATCAGACTTATAGTTCTAAATAGATGTACTCATGAATCAGGAGAAAATTAGTTATGCTGATATTGTGAGCAATGTGCAGCATGTAGTCAAAAAATCTAAACAACCTTCTATATTTTAGAAATTATATACACAAATTTAATGTAAGTAGGACCTATTAAGTGTCAAAATTCTTTGCTCAAATAAGCTGTAGTCAGGCTTCTTTTGAACCTGCCCCTAGACTCATCTGTGCACTACCTTGTAAAATCCCGTTTCAGTAAATAAAACTGCCAGGGCAGTTTAGGGAATTTCCCCCTCCCTCAATAACAGATCACTCTCAATGTCTGACCAGGATTTTTCACACCCTGTGTTTGATACCTGATCACCCTGGCCTGCCTTCAGCAGGAATCCTGTTGGGTTGATTCAGCCAGAACTCTCCCCAAACACCATGTCTTCTCTTAGAAATTTTCCATCCACAGACCCCTGCTTCTTGGCTATAAGTCGCTGTTCTCCCCGGTGTAGTCAGAATGGAGCCCATTCTCATTTTGTGGTCTCTCTTCCCTTAATGAAATAGTCCTGAATTAAACTTGTTTTCACTACTTTAACTTCTGCCCAGCTCTGCATTCCTTTGGCATACCATTCACTCGTACATTAAATAAATGGGAGGGAACATCTAGTGTTATGACACCTTTGAAAAAAACTTTTATAAAAGATAAGGGGACTAGGACCAGCAAATAAAGACAAGTCATTTATCAATTTACATCTGAAGCTTCTCTCTTAGTTTGGGGTATTTAGACCATAATAAGAGAGTATTTAGTTGCCAGTGAGAAGCCATTTAAGAGCTGCAGTAAACCAGCTTCCAAGGACATAACTATATTTCATATTTCTCAGAGACTTAAGAATAAAACAATTAAAAATTACAAAAAATTTATTACTTGGACTATCAAGAGCATGTAGTATAAAGATGTGTTTATATTCACAACATACCTTAAATATTTTGATAAATGGGGAAATATTTTTGTACATTTGCTAAATTTTCACTGAAAATTGAGTCACAAAATTAAATTTGAAAAAATCTTATAAATTTGAATAGAAATAATTAAAACATAAATTAGTGTCTCTGTTAAACAGTCTGTAAGTCAGCCTACACAGATTCTAGAAAAGCACTAACAGAACATTTTCCAATATGATTTGAAGAAGCTACATAACATATTGAGAAAGTTATTATATCTTTTTGTTTAATATGAGTGGGGTGAATAAAAGGCATTTAGGGCGGGGTGCAGTGGCTCACACCTGTAATCCCAGCACTTTGGGAGCCCGCGAGGGTGGATCACAAGGTCAGGAGATCGAGACCATCCTGGCTAACATGGTGAAATCCCGTCTCTACTAAAAATACAAAAAATTAGTTGGGTGTGGTGGCAGGTGCCTGTAGTCCCAGCTACTCAGGAGGCTGAGGCAGGAGAATGGCATGAACCAGGGAGGTGGAGCTTGCAGTGAGCCGAGATCGTGCCACTGAACTCCAGCCTGGGTGACAGAGCAAGACTCCGTCTCAAAAAAAAAAAAAAAAAAGGCATTTAAAAAATTCTGGTATTGTTTTATAGGGCCTATGAAAAAGTCAAGACATTTTCATCTAGTGATCAATTTTATTCCCTGACACCTTCAACTCCCTTCACTCCATCTCCTCTAATTTTTAATTGAGTACACATAATTTATCCTAATAATACATATTAAATCTCCTTGGAATATACATTGAATACTTTCATTTTTAAAGCTCATGAGCTCATTTACTCTAACAACATATTTCCTTTAATAAAGCCTCCAATATATTTATCTTCTGTACCTGAATTTTCTAAACTTCTGGTCCTGTGTATTCAATAACAAAGGGACATACCTTTTGATGGCTGCTTAACACGTGAAAATGTCATTTACTATAGAAATTCAGCCAAACAGAAAGGATTACCAGTTTTTGTAGTCATACACTTTAATAGATTCAAGACTTCTGGCATGAGGCATCACCAAGTTAAGTGAGAGACTGAAAAATTAAAGATTAGAAGTCCAACAAAGTTTTATTTATTTAATTTATTTATTTATTTATTTTTGAGACAGAATTTTGCTCTTGTCACCCAGGCTGGAGTGCAATGGCACGATCTCGGCTCACTGCAACCTCTGCCTCACAGGTTCAAGCAATTCTTATGCCTCAGCCTCCCGAGTAGCTGGGATTACAGGCGTCTGCCACCATGCCCGGCTTATTTTTGTATTTTTAGTAGAAACTGGGTTTCACCATCTTGGCCAGGCTAGTCTCAAGCTCCCAACCTCAGGTGATCTGCCCACCTCGGCCTCCCAAAGTGCTGGGATTACAGGTTGCAAAAATGCTGGCCCCAACAAAGCATTTTTATATTTCAATGTCAGGATCAATGTAAGAAATTTAAGAAGCAAGAATATGGGAACTTAAAATAATTAGGCCTTATTATGGGGCCAACAACCTTTTTGACAATTGCCTAGAGTAACATGAACATGAGAACATCTTTCAGTCTGTAGATGTCATTTTGGGAAATCTATTTGAGAGTGTTATAAAGTAAAAAGATATCCCCTACCCACATTTTATGAGGCCTAAAACATCTCCTAGTTAAACCACCCTCCCAAACCATGATATTTCCTACTTCAATATTTTATTTATTCTGTTCTGTCTTCCTGGATTATTTTGACGCATTACTTTTCCTCACTAACTCTGTTCATCCAGGACTAAGCTCAATGATTATTTCCTCGAGCAAGCCTCTATAAACTACAATATTTCAGATGCTCCCACATTCTTCCAAGTTATATTTTTTTCTACCTCAAGTGTATTGTGTTGACTGCCTTTTCTCATTATGATTGGCCTAAATAAGTAAACCCCTAATGCCAGAAAGGGCCATGTTTATTCTTTTATTGCAACAGCAACAGTAAAAACCCAGGTGAATATGAAGATGGCAATAAGTGTTGCAGTGGGCTAGGTACTGTGTGTAAGAAAAGATAACACTCTTTTAAGTCAAGACTTAGAACACTCCATCTGGAAGTAGTAAGTAACTCATTGTTCTAAGGGACAAAAAATACGGGAGTAAACAAACCAAATTTCGTCCCCTTGTGGGGTGAGGAGAGCAATAATGTTGGATGGTATATGATACCATATATGGTAATATATATTATACCATATATAAAATACCATGTATAATAATCTTGGATGGTATAAGATACAGGCCAATGTGGTTGCTAGTTTGTGTAAAGTTGTATGAAAGTCTATAATGTCACGGAACAGGACTTGAAATATCTTGGAAAACAGTGCTACAGGCAGAAAAATTGGCCAGTACTGAAGTACAAAATTCCTGACTTGAGAGAACTCTTGGAAGCATTTTGAACCAAAAAAATATAAGTATAAAACTATTGCAACTAAAGTAATCTGATCCATGTTTGAAAGGAGATAGGAGGCCAAATGGTGGCTGTGGTTGGGACTTGAGTATTTGATTAAAGACCTAGGCTCCTGTAGGGACTGTGGTTTTCATGCTAAAGAAATGCTAAATTTTGAAGAAGTTTGAACAGTTTATTGTCACTATTGACTTATGTTTTGAAAAATAACTCTAGAAGCTATGTTGATGTGAAAGTCAAGCCTTCTTATATAATCAGTTGCAATCCTATGCTAATATCCATGCACCTAGAGCCACGGTGATGGCCCTCGGCCAAACCTAAATGAAATGTACTAATTATTGGCTGCCATATTTACTGTTTCACAGCCTTCACTGGTGATACCTCCAAGTACTAGAAAATCCGAGGCATCTAGGATCTAGCGCAGACTCTCCAGCAAACCACAGTAGCTGTATGAAAGAATAGCCAGACTGTTGAAAGAAAACCAAACAAACAAAAACAATAATAACAACAACAAAAAACCAAAAACCCTATCTATAGGTCAGCAACTTCAAAGATCAAAGGTAGATAGCCCACAAAAATGAGAATCAATGTAAAAATGCTACAAACTCAAAAAGCCAGACAGCCTCCTTTCTTACAAATGACCTCAACACCTCTCCAGCAAACGTTCAGAACTGTGCTGAAGCTGATATGGCTGAAATGACAGAAGTGGCTTGAGAATGTAGATAAAAATTAACTTTGTTGAGCTAAAGGGGCATATTGTAACCCAATGCAAAGAAGCTAAGAATCATGGTGAAACACTGCAGGAGCTGACAGCCAAAAATAGCGAATATAGAGAGAAACATAACTGACCTGATAGAGCTGAAAAACATAGTGCAAGAACTTCACAATGCAACCACAAGTATTAATACCAAAATAGGCCAAATGAAGGAAAGAATCTGACTATCTTTCTGAAATAAGACAGGCAGACAAGAATAGAGAAAAAAGAATGAAAAAGAACAAACGAAAACTTTGAGAAATGTGGGATTATGTAAAGAGACTGAATGTACAACTGATTGGGGTACCTGAAAGAGACAGGGAGAATGGAACCAATTTGGAAAGCATATTTCAAGATATCATCCAAGAGAGCTTCTCCAACCTAGCATGACAAGCCAACATTCAAATTTGGGAAATCCAGAGAACTACAGTAAGATACTCCATGAGAAGATCATCTCCAAAACACATAGTCATCAAGGTCAAAATGAGAGAAAAAATGATAAGGGCAGCCAGAGAGAAAGCCCAGGTCACCTACAAAGGGAAGTACATCATACTAACAGTTGACTTCTCAGTAGAAATCCTGCACAAGAAGAGACTGAGAGCCAATATTCAACATTCCTAAAGAAAATAATTTCCAACCCAGAATTTTGTATCTGGCCAAACTAAGCTTCATAAGAGAAGGAGAAATAAGATCTTTTACAGACAAGCAAATGCTGAGGGAATTCATTACCACTGGTACACAGACCAGTGACACTATGAAGCAACCACATAAACAGGTCTGCCAAATAACCAGCTAGCATCATAATGACAGGATCAAATCTACATATAACACTATTAACTTTAAATGTAAATGGGATAAATGTCCCAATTAAAAGACACAGAATGGCAAGCTGGGTAAAGAACCAAGACCCAGCAGTATGCATGAAGAGACCCATCTCACATGCAATGACACTGATAGGCTCAAAATAAAGGAATGGAGGAAAATTTACCAAGCACATGGAAAACAGGAAAAAGCAGGGGTTGCAATCCTAGTTTCTGACAAAACAAACTTTAAACCAACAAAAATTTTAAAAAGACAAGAGCATTACATAATAGTAAAGGGTTCATTTCAACAAGAAGAGCTAACTATCTTAAATATATATATGCACCCAATACAGGAGCACCCAGATTCATAAAGCAAGTTCTTAGAGACCTTCAAAGAGGCTTAGACTCTCACACAATAATAGCGGGAGAATTTAACACCCCACTGACAATATTAGACAGATCATCAAGACAGAAAATTAACAAAGATATTCAGGACCCGAACTCTGGATCAAATGGATCTGACAGTTATCTACAGAACTCCGCGCCCCAAAACAACAGAATATGCATTATTCTCATCACCACACAGCACTTACTGTAAAGTTGATCACATAATCAAAAGTAAAACACTCCTTAGCAAATGTAAAATAACTGAAATCATAACAAACTGTCTCTCGGACCACAGAACAATCAAATTAGAACTCAAGATTTAGACATTTACTCAAAACCATACAACTACATGGAAATTGAACAACCTACTCCTGAATGACTTTTGGGTAAATAATGAAATTAAGACAAATCGAGAAGTTCATTGAAACTAATTAGAACAAAGATACAACATACCAGAATATCTGGGATGCAGCTAAAGCAGTGTTAAAAGGGAAATTTACACCACTAAATGCCCATATCAAAAAGCTGGAAAGATCTCAAGTTAACAACCCAATATCACAACTAAAAGAACTAAAGAACCAAGAGCAAACAAACCCCAAAGCTAGCAGAAGATAAGAATTAACCAAGATCAGAGTTGAATTGAAAGAGATAGAGACATGAAAAATGCTTCAAAAATTAATTAATTCAGGAGCTGTTTTATTTTAAAAATTAATAAAATAGACCAGTAGCTAGACTAATAAAGAAGAAAAAAGAGAAGATTCAAAAAAACACAATCAGAAATGATAAGGGGAGTATCACCACTGACCCCACAGAAATACAATCATCAGAGAATATTATAAACACCTCTAGGCACATAAACTAGTAAATCTAGAAGAAATTGATAAATTCTTGGACACATATATCCTCCCAAGACCGAGCCAGGAATAAATTGAATCCATGAACAGACCAATAACAAGTTTTGAAATTGAGGCAGTAATAAATAGCCTATCAATCATAAAAAGCCTAGGACCAGATGGATTCACAGCTGAATTCTATCAGAGGTACAAAGAACAGCTGATACCACTCCTCCTGAAACTATTTCAAAAAAATTGAAAAGGATGGATTTCTCCTTATCACATTCTATGAGGCCAACATCATCCTTGGTACCAAAACCTTGCAGAGATACAACAACAAAAAAGAGAACTTCAGGCCAGTGTACTTGATGAACATCAATGCAGAAATTCTCAGAAAAATACTATCAAACCAAACCCAGCAGCACATCAACAAACTTATCACAATCAAATGGCCTTCATCCCTGGGTTGCAAGGCTAGTTCAACATACACAAATCAATAAATGTGATTTATCCCATAAACAGAACTAAAGACAAAAACCACATGATTATCTCAATGGGTGCAGAAAAGTCCTTCAATGAAATTCAACATCCTTTCATGTTAAAAACTCTCAGTAAACTAGGTATTGAAGGAACATATATCAAAATAATAAGAGCCACCTATGACAAAACCACAGCCAATATCATACTGAATGGCCAAAAGTTGGAAGCATTCTCTGTGAAAACCTTCACAAGATAAGGTTGCACTCCCTCATAACTCCTATTTAACACAGTATTGGAAGTTCTGGCCAGGGCAATCAGGCAAGAGAAAAAAATAAGCATATTCAGATAGGAAAAGAGGAAGTAAAACTATCTGTGTTTGCAGATGACATAATCCTATATCTAGAAAACCCCATTGTCTCAGCCAAAAAGCTTCTTAAGCTGATAAACAACTTTAGCAAATTCTCAAGATACAGTATCATGTGCAAAAATCACTAGCATTCCTTTACACCAACAACAGGCAAGCCAAGAACCTAATCACGAATGACCTCTTATTTACAACTGCCACAAAATGAATAAAATACCTATGAGTACAGCTAACAAGAGAAGTGAAGGAACTATTCAAGGAGAACTATAAACCACTGCTCAAGAAATCATAGATGACACAAAAAAAATGGAAAAGCATTCTATGCTCATGGATAGGAAGAATCAATATTATGAAAGTGGCCATATTGCCCAAAGCAATTTGTAGATTCAATATATAGTTTATTCCCATCAAACTACCATGGACATTCTTCACAGAATTAGAAAAAAACTGTTTTAAAATTAATTTGAAACCAAAAAAGTGCCCGCATAGTCCAACATTCCAAAACAAAAAGAACAAAGCTGGGAGCATAATGCTACCCAACTTCAAACTATACTACATCACTACAGTAACCAAAAAAGCATAATACTGTTAAAAGATCAGACACATAGATCCATGGAACAGAATAGGGAACCCAGAAATAAGACCGCACACCTACAACCATCTTATCTTCGACAAAGCTAGCAAAAACTAGCAATGGGGAAATAATTCCCTATTTAATAAATGGTGCTGGGAGAATTGGATAGCCATATGCAGAAAGTTGAAACTGGACCCCTTCCTTACACCATATACAAAAATCAACTCAAGATGGATTAAAGACTTAAATGTAAAACTCAAAACTATAAAACCCTAGGAAAAAAAAAAAAAAAAAAAAAAACGTAGGCAATACCATTCAGGACATAGGCACAGGCAAAGATTTCATGACTAGATGCCAAAAGCAATTGCAGCAAAAACAAAAATTGACAAATATAATATAATTAAATTAAAGAGCTTCTGCACAGCAAAAGAAACTATCAACAGAGTAAACAGACAACCTAAAGGAATGGGAGAAAAATTTTGCAATCTCTCTATCTGACAAAGGTCTAATATCAGCATCTATAAGGAACTTAAACAAATTTACAAGAAAAAACACACAATCCCATTAAAAAGTGGTAAAATGACATGAACAGACACTTCTCATAAGAAAGCATACCTGTAGCCAACAAACCCATGTAAAAAAGCTCAACATCACTGATCATTAGAGAAATGCAAATCAAAATACAATGAGATACCATCTCACACCAGTCAGAATGGCTCTTATTAAAAAGTCAAAAACTAACAGATGCTGGCAAGGTAGTGGAGAAAATGGAACACTTTTACACTGTTAGTGAGAGTGTATATTAGTTCAACCATATAACATGTGGAAGACAGCGTGGTGATTCCTCAAAGACCTAGAAGCAGAAATGCCTTTCAACCCAGCAATCCCATTACTGGGTATATGCACAAAGAAATATAAATTGTTATTTTATAAAGACGTATGCACAATATGTTCATTGCAGCACTACCCGCAATAGTAAAGACCTAAATGCCCATCAATCAACCTAAATGCAAATCACTGATAGACCGGATAAAGAAAATGTGGTACATATACATCATGGAATACTATGCAGCCATATAAAGGAATGAAATCATGTCCTTTGCAGGGATGTGGATGGAGCAAGAGGCAATTAACAAATTAATACGGGAATAGAAAAGCAAACTAACACCTCTTCTCACTTATAAGTAGGAGCTAAATGACGAGAACACATGGAAACATGGGTGAGGAACAGTGCACACTGGTGCCTGTCATCAGGTGGAGGGTGGCAGGAGGGAGAGGATCAGGAAGAATAACTAATGGATGCTGAGCTGAATACCTGGGTGATGGGATAATCTGTGCAGCAAATGACCATGGCACACGTTTACCTGTGTAACAAACCTGCACATGCTGCACGTGTACCCCTCAACTTTTAAAGTTGGAAATTTTTTAAAAAATGGAAAAAAAAAAGAAAATTAAAACCTCAGGGGCATTCTACATTTACTGTTGTTTGCATTATTCTTATACCAACTCAGTTGATAGTCACTTCTTAAAAGCACAGAAGAATTTCCACTAGTAGATAGTAATAGATACTGCTATATTTTTTTAAAGCCATTATCTATAGACAAGATCTAAACATTTAGGTCTGTAGAGAAGAGAGTAAATGACACACCGCCGTTATGGGATCAGTAATATATTCTTAAATGTGTCTTATTTAGTAATACTCTAGGGTGATGAGCAAAGAAGAGTTCAGAGGGTTCTCATAATGACAATTCCAGAAGTTTCTCTGTATTCCCTTGAAACTTTCTGGTTCTTAAAAGCTGTGACTTTGACATGCTCACCTCATGCTCTTGCTAAGACATATATAGGTTATATATTCATATGGAATCTTTACGCCACATAACAAAATATTTTAATAAGGATGGATATACACTTCATTTGATAATTCCTTTCAAAGATAATCAAAAATAGAAATTTGTCAAGTAAGTGGTAGCTACAAATGCATAAAGCGTTGTTCAGTTAAGCCATTCTAGCAAATTCAAAACACATTCTAAAAACACTCTCAAAGACATTAACATGATTTCTGAGACGTGAGTGAACTCTCCTCTACTTTTCTTCTAAATAAGAAAAATAAAGAGAGAGAGAGGAAAATAAAGGAAAACCAAAATACTTTTTCAAAGGATTATTTGTTAATCGCCTCTGCAGCATTCCTAATTTTTGCTTTTTCTATGAGTGAACATGAATATATAAGTCTGTATAACATATAAAATACTGAACACCTACACATTACTAGGATATTTGTGGCACAATGTGTTGTTGATTCAGGAAAGAGTATAATTATCATACCCCTGGCTGGTATTATTTGGAACCTCAGCTGTCGTGTCCACTTAGGGATGGCTAAATTGCAAGTGAAATGGAAATTTTTTGTGAATGATCTTTAGGAAAATACACTAAAGGAATAAATCAGAGTTTTGGAAGGAAATACGCAGCATGTCCAAATTTGGCCAACTTGACCATTTGCTGTTAGTAGTATTTAAAAAGTTGTGGACAACCTCTCCTGAAGCTCAAAGGATTGTGCAATATCCCGAGGCTACTAACAGTAAAACACTGTCAGCACCCTTTGGCTTAAAGGAGCAATGGGCTAGAACAGTTCCCAAAACATGAAGAGAGAAGGCAAATGAGAATAACAGAATTTTGTTCAAGCGATGCCTAGAGGAAGAAAGTGTGTGTGGATATAAATCCCCAGCCTTCCCCGGATGTCCTGCTGTGCTCTCCTTTCTGTAAGAGAGCAGGGTAGCTTATTGCATTCTGTATTGGTCATCGTCCCGGGGAACAGAGCAGGGTACAGAATGTGGAAATTCAGATAGAAACTAAGGGGCAAGCAAAAGGTATCCAGCAGAGTAAGAAATAATGACAAGAAATAGAGAAGACGTATTTAGGAAACAGAGACAAACAAATCAGAAACAATTATATGCTCTGCTAGGGAAAATGTAGAAATACATAGTGAATCCCGTAATACCTTGCTTCGTTGGTTATATTATTGCTGCTGACACTTATTTGTTTGATTTTAGGTTTTCCTTTAAAATGAAAGGCATTTTCTAGAACATTTTTGGACCAATATAGCTGGAGCCATTTCAAAATGCTTCTTCTATTCAGTGTGATAAGAATTTCCCCAAGCTGTAGAAATATGTATTATCTCTACTAAATTTTAAAAGGAAAGATGAAGCCAAAAAATGATATTAGAAATTACGCATTCCTTAGGCAGGATTTTGGAGGACTGTCTCAGTGTTTCTTGTTGTTTAGGGTGGCTTAAAGCCACATTAACTTATTATTTGTCATGACTCTGTCAGTTGACAGGGCTCAGTTGGGCAGTTCTGCTCCATATGGTGTAACTGAGGTTAAGTTATCCAGTTTTAACAGCTGAGAGCTCAGCTACAGCTGGAATCTACACAATGGCCTCATGTCTTCTATGGCCTCTCTTCACATGGTCTCTCATCTCTCATTATTCTAGACTGAGTTTTATTACATAATATACACTGGTTTTTAAGAAGGTAACATTCCAAGGAGACAAGCCCCAGTGTGTAAGTGTCTATCAAGCCTCTGTTAATATCATTCTTGATAATGTCTCATAGGTCAAATGAAGTCTCATGACCAAACTCAGAGTTGTAAGAAGGACTCTACAAAGGAGGCATCGTTCACTGTGGGCCGTCTATGTAAAAGTCGAACAAAGCATGTACTTACATGACATCATGTATTTATACCACAAGTTTTTATGAATACCAAGCACACTGATTTACACTGAATATATA
Organism: Homo sapiens; assembly: GCF_000001405.40. Taxonomy (NCBI): domain Eukaryota; kingdom Metazoa; phylum Chordata; class Mammalia; order Primates; family Hominidae; genus Homo; species Homo sapiens. The sequence goes on along the minus strand of NC_000001.11, from coordinate 191,578,007 downwards.
AAAGTTATAAAGATTAAATCCATGTGTTCAAGTAATTTGCAAGGCATAAAATGGGACAAATACTTAACAGTAAAGTTCTGTAATAGAATTGCATATGAAATGTTGAGAGAAACCTGAATATGGGACCATAATCTTGATCTGGGAAGTGGAGTGGGGGAAATAAAATCATTTTTTTTTCTGTGTCTTGAGGAATGTAGATCTTCATGAGTTAGGGAAAAATTAAGATATTTCCAGGAGAAAGATGAAAAAAGCATGGTGACATGACTATTAATTATGTATTTGAGAAATGGTGTGATCTGTTAGACAAGAAAAGCAGTTATATGAAGTATGATGGTGCTGAAAAGGAACGTTCAGTCCAGCTGGGAAAATATTGGCAATGCCCAGCTTCTGTGGTACATAAGAGAATGATACATCAGATGTCTCATAACTGAAGACAATGTGGGATCCATGGTATTGTCATTAGCAGAGAGAGAATATTCAGGTTCATCATACAAGACAGGAGCTATCCGGGTGGGAACGAGGTATGTAGATGTGTTCATGAACAAGAGGGGTCAAATTACAGTGGGGAGGAGCCAATGTCTTGACCGGAAGACAGATATATGTGCAAGATCAAAGGCATGAGGCAAAGGAGTAATACAAATCATAGAAACAGAGATAACGGAGCTTATTACTACAAACTGTATATAAATCATGGATACAGAATATAGTAGAGAATTGTCAACTTCTTCTAAATTTCTCTAAAACTTAAGCTTCTCATTAGTAATTTGGGCCAATGATAATATATATTGTTGCTTTAATATTTAATGTATACTATATATAATTATATATAATATATGTAGTTATGCATATATCAAGCATATAATTATATGAGTATTATTATAATATGTTATAATTATTGCATAATAATTATGTAACATTACATATAATATACAATTATATATTGTGGACATATATAATATATAAACATATATTATATATACATATACATTATATATAACATTATTTATATGTATATATTATATATTATAATATACATTATATATTACATATTATAATATACATTATATATTACATAAAATGTATTATATATTTATATTATATACTATATATTACATAATATAATACATTTATATTATATAATATATATAATATTTATATTATATTATATATTACATAATTAGCAAGAGAAAAATATTAACTGTCCTGACATCTAATTTTTTTTAAGCTTCAAGAAATGATAATAGAATTATATTATCTCTTTCTTTTGACTCCTTTCAACTTTTGGCACCTTTAAGGTAATAGGTGCTGCCTTGCAGAGAAAGAAGTGAGGGTATAAATATTATATATAATATGTATATATATTATAATATGTATATATAAGTGTTTAGTGAAGTGCTTGTCAAATTGCTGGTGTTTAGTAAATGGTAGTGGCTGTTATTTTCTCCTTCTTAATCCAATAAGTAATAGATACCTCATCAAGCTTTCTATAATCATTTATTCTAATCCCAAATAGTACAGTGCAAGTTAACTACTGTTATTTATGTTCTTTATACAAACAAAATCAGTACCAGAAAATCGTTTTTCTAGCTTAAGTGCATAAAGAAAGTTAATTTAAAAATCTAACATTCAGGTCTCCCTAATTTAAAAGGCTGGTTAGCTATTAAATTCTGCCACAATGTAGACAGAATGTATAGAAAAAAAAGCCAGTTTATTAGGTTTAAATTGTTGGGTAAATATGAACTATTTAATTCTCAGCCACCAGTTTTCTGCAAGTGCTGAGTCTGCTTTTTACAAAGAAAACATCTTAATAAAGCTGCTACCCAAAGTAAACAGAGAACCTAGAAGGAATACAATGTCCTTGGGTAGAGAACTATCACTTCTGAATGTATTAAGTTTGGGGTATCTGATAGTTCATTTGGAGAAAATAGTGTGCCTTCGTAAATATAAATCTGAGTCACCAGAGAGCACATTAAAGGGGAACATGCAGAGCACAAACTAAAGATCTTCACCACGCTGGCAGAAACACTGTAAAAGATCAAGGCCTACTTATTAAGTACAGGCTTGTGCATTGTGTGGGCTGAATGTCAATGTTGGCCTTTGGACACTCTGGGGAATTTTAAAGAAGGGAATAGGGATAGAAAGAATGTTAAATACGATCTCCTTTGGAGAACTCATCCATGCCTTTTCTTACCCTCCCTTCATCTTTCTCTGCAGGACTAGCACCTCTTACCTTAAAGGAGCCAAAAGTTGAAAGGAATCAAAAGAAAGAGATAATATAATTATATTATCATTTCCTGAAGCTTAAAAAAATTAGATGTCTGGACAGTTAATATTTTTCTCTTGCTAATGCCATGCTACCCGGTATTGTATGTTACCATTTATTTCATTTAATATTTCAAACAGTCTAGTAAGGAAATGCCTGCTATGTCTTGCCTATATCTCCTCAAATACCACCATGAGCTTCTCACTCATTATACTTCAGTCAGACTGCATTTCTCACCAGCTTGTCCCTAAATTCAGGTCTGTCATATTGCTGTTCCCGCCACTTAGGAAACTTCCCCAGTGTGTGCATGGATAACACTCTTCATGCAGTTAATGACTCAGCTATCTCTTCTGCAAATATTTTCTTGATGATTTAATCTAACAACCCCTCCATTCTTACCCACAAAGTTTTCATCTTTTGGTCCTTTTGAAAATGTCGTCATTCTACAAATCACTGCCTGAAATTATCTTGTTTCAATTATGTCTACTTGTTTATTATTATTTGCTTCCCCAGATTAGAAGGTAGAGTCCATGGGATCAGAACCTTGCTTGCCTTGCTCTTCGCTGTGTTTCTGGTGCTCAGAAGAGGGAGCACGTGGCATAATGGCAACAATAATATATGCTTGTTGCATTAAAGGATGGCTTTCCACTTTAGCTAATAAAAAAAAAAGCCAAGCCATAGTAAAAATAGATGTATTGTGAAATATAAAAGAGCTGATACTATGTAAGAGCAGAGACGTTAGCAAACTTTTTCTGTGAAGAACCAGATTATAAATATTTGGGTTCTGAGGGCCTTGTAGTTTCTCACAACTACTAAACTCTACCATTGTGGCTTGATTGTGTTTCAATAAAACATTACTTACAAAAACAGACAATGGACCATAGTTTGCTAAATTCAGTTGTAGGGCATGGAAATAATGCCCTGACATTTGTGTATAAGCAATAAGTGCTGAATTAACTTCAAATGTGCCAGTAGCTGTGATAAATCTGTACCTGATGAATCAATTTTTTCCTCGCTCTCTTTCACCCTATTCCAAATAAGCAAAAATATATGTAGTTTATGTTTAGACAGGTGGTTCTATTAACTAGGTTGTGTGTTTCATAATAGAATATGATACTTTTTCCCATAAATATAACTCTTAATAAGTCGGCTAATCAGTTACAAGCAGACATTAAAACCTACCTACGTTTTTTACTCTCCCTTTCCATTGCATGCTCCTATCCTAATTACTAAGTTAGTTTTTCCATGTATTTAGTTAGTTATGAACATTCAGAAGAATTATTTAGATGAAGTAATATGTAGATTTTGGCTTTAAATTCACAGCTTCAGCAGGAAGCATTCATAGAACAAAAATAGCATGTTATACTCTCAGCCAATGCAATTTTTCCTGCATGTAAATAATTACTGTTTATTAATTTCTTTGGCTCCCTCTACCTAGCTTCATGTTAAAAAAAAAAATCAAGGTTCATAGTGCTACAAAACACTATGAAATAATTGAGACAAGCATTTCACCTCATTAAAGAACATTGCATCAATGACTCAAAAATCACACAGCTTCAATAACATAATTGACATCTTCTGCTTGATTATTTGAAAATAATGCAGAAAATATAATAATTGAAAACCCCTGAAAACAACAGTTTTGGATTTTTTTTATCAACTGTGAATTCTATTATATTCCAATATTAACAACTGACTAAAATGTTCATTGAATATTATCATATCATTGAATGAAATTATGGATTTAATATTATTTAACAAGTTAATCTTGTGTACATTTAAAATCCATGCTTCAGATGATCTTACTGCTATTTCCAAAATCTTATGCAGGTAAAATCTTCCTCTTTTCCAGGGGACTTTATTTATCTTGATGATTGATGACTATAGACTTGGATTACACTCTGTCACACTGCTAAATGTTATCTTTGACACTGACATGTATGTCTTTTATTTACACATTATAAATACGGCTTATTTTCTGAAATTCAAATAATATTTCATTTGATCTTGTACATTATTCATATTTGAGTGAGGAAATATTCTCTAGGTTTGGTCTTCAGGCAGATTGATTCTTTTACTGAAAATTTGTTGTTTTGCCAGTTTTTTCCATAGGTCCATTTAATAGTTTATTAAATGACAATAATTCATATGAATTTCAGCAAAGACTTAAATCTGCCAGATGGTTTATAACATAGTTGACTTCAGCCATTTAGAATGTTATTTGTAAACATTTGTCATCTTAAATCTTATCATGAATCTCTTTCATGCAACTCTTTTTTTTTGCAAGAAATCAGTTCCTTACATGGTCCTAATTCTTTCTGAGGTAGTTCTTCTTTCTTCAAGCTCATTACTTTTTCCTAAATAGATTTGCAGAGAAAAGCCAAAGTTTCCTGTAAAAAACATCACCATATAATCTTTAAGCTAGTTTTATCCCATTTATACTATAATAATTAACCATGGCCTCAAGAAGTCAGAGATGTAAGCGATAGGAATTATATTTTAAAAAATGTAAAATCCCATTTTTAATAAAAAGGGAGTATGTAACTAATATTAAATACTTTATAAAAATGTGTTGATTAGTGAAAGATACATCTTCATATATGGAATAGCCAGAAATAATATACCTACTATTGGTAATTAAACTATTAGAACCTGAGGTTACTGTTAGGCAAGGTAAATTGTTCCGAGTTTTATTACCTCAGAATTCAGGTTCTGTGTGGATACTTATTTAATATGTATTGTAAGTCAGCATTGTCAATGAAATGGAATGCGTTTTAATGAAAAATGCAGATTTGCTGACTATAAGCAAATAGCAAGTAAGTTACTATGTTCAAGTATGGTTTTATTAGAGTCCGGAGAAACTGAGTTCCAAAAATTAATGTACATAATGCTATATTATTTTAAATATGAGAGTTAGAATGTGTAACTGGTCAGTTCATAGTCCAAAGAGTATTTCTAAAATTGATATATTTTAGGACTAATATTCTACATGTCTATTTAGAGAATTTTCAGTGATTGCATAGAACCTGTACCTACAAAAGTCTTAGAGACATATGCTTGAAGAGATAAGGAACAGAAAACTTTGCCTGCCCTTTGTTTACCAGATGGCTTTTGCTGAAGAAAATTGCAGCACAAATATTTTAGTTTCCCTAGACATGTTACAGACCAGGCCACTGGGAAAACAATCATACATTTTAATATTTTATAGATACATACAAATAAATACTACATAATGGGATATTTCAATAAACTCCTGCAAACATGCTTATCTTTAATATTTAGCAGAAATTTTTAAATTCAAAATTTAAAAATTGTAAGCATATTATTAGAGGAGTTTTTTTAACTTTCAAAATTATTAGAGTTTTTCTGCAAATTCTGGACTCTCAAACTTGCCTATTTGTTTACTATTATGTGTTCTCCAAGTTTGATACCACCTGGTTGGAGCCAATTATTTTTTAGCATAACCTTACACATTAGAGTTATCCTAGCAAACATTCCAGTGTTTTCTTTTTAGGTTACCAACCTGAACATATTTATCTCTATTATATGAGAATGGCAGGAAAGGTTTTAGGCATATCTCTTTCACTAAATAATGTACTCGGGGTCTATATGTGAAAACATTTGTGAGGAAGAAAGAATACTATGTTGATTGTATTATATTTTATTTAGATGTTGCCTTCAGGGAAATTAGTAAATTATGGACAAGGGTGATATTACAAATATTTAACAACCAATCAAAGCTGACACTGACTGTTATGTTCCTAACTGGCTACAATCTGTCTATTAGCTGAGTAACAGCCATAACTACCTGGAATAAATTCATGAGCTCATATAACTCCTTTAAATATTTATAGTCACAAAAACCTGTACCCTTAAAACATCACATGTTCTGCATTGGTTTTCTTCCTCCAAATTTGTTTTTGTTTTTTTTTTGGATATGATAGATAGATATAGATAGATATAGATAGATAGATAGATAGATAGATAGATAGATAGATAATCATATTCCTGAGGTAGAAATAACTCATAGATTCCAAATGTCAAATATCTGGGGTCTCATTTCCAGTCTTCATCTCATAGCCAGGTACTCCTCTGTCTCAGTAAATTAAAGGAAATACTCAACCTTTGGAATTAGATCTGTGATACAGCAGAACTGCAACATCTTCTCTCACATTTCATGCCTTCTTCTGAGCCCTCCTAACTGTTCCAACCTCTGCCTGTTACCCAGTTCCAAACTTCCACATTTTCAGGGATTTTTTTTTTTTTTTTGAGACTGTCTCTGAGTCTCCCTCTCTCCCTCTGTCACCCAGGCTGGAGTGCAGTGGGAGCTCACTGCAAGCTCCACCTTCTGGGTTCACGCCATTCTCCTGCCTCAGCCTCCCGAGCAGCTGGGACTACAGGCATCTGCCACCACGCCTGGCTACTTTTTTTTTTTTTTTTTTTTTTGTATTTTTAGTACAGATGGGGTTTTACTGTGTTAGCCAGGTGGTCTTTATCTCCATTTTCAGGTATCTTTATAGAAATGCCACACTTCTCTGGTACCAATATTCTGTATCAGTCAATTTTCACACTGCTTTAAAGAACTACCTGAGACTGGGTAATTTATAAATAAAAGAGGTTTAATAGACTCACAGTTCTGCAGGCCATACAGGAAACATGGCTGGGAGACCTCAGGAAACTTACAATCATGGTGGAAGGAGAAGCAGGCACAAGCTTTACACAGTAGAACGGGGGAGAGAAAGAGAGCAAGCGGGGAAGTGCCACACACTTTTAAACCATCAGGTCTTATGAGAACTCACTATCACAGGAACAGCAAGAGGGAAATTCACCCCTGTGATCCAATCACCTCCCACTTGGTCCCTCCCTCAACATTAGGAATTACAATTCAACATGAGATTTGGTTGGGGACATATAGCTAAACCATATCAGTGAAATAGAACGAAATGGGACAAACATCCAAACTATATTAGACAGTTAGTTAAACTCTTTAATTTGAACCACCTATTGGAATCACAGTTAACTTTTCTCGCAAAAAGTTTGACTATTTGAAAAAATGCACTAAATAAAAAAGCTAAAACAGCTCTTACTTTATTTCCTTGCATTTTATATTTTCCTTTCTGACCCATATGATAAGGATTATGGTAGTAAATAATCAGACAAAAACATAATTCACATGTCTGAGTGTGTTGCTTGATATACTTTTTTCAACTTCTTCTTTAAGTTCAGTGAGTACATGTGCAGATTTTTTACATGGGTAAATTGCATAGCCCTTGGGTTTGGTGTACAAATGACTTCATTACGCAGGTAGTGAACATAGTACTCAATAGGTAGTTTTTTGATCTTCACCCTCCTCCCACCCTCCCACCCTCAAGTAGGTCCTGGTGTCTATTGTTCCCCTCTTTGCATTCATGCATACTTAATTTATAGCTCCCCCTTATAATTAAGAACATATGGTATTTGGTTTTCTGTTTCTGTGTTAATTTATTTAGGATAATGGCTTTCACTTACATCCATGTTGTTGCAAAAACATGATTTTGTTCTTTTGTATGGCTGCATAGTATTTCTTGGTGTATATTTACCACATATTCTTTATCCAGTCTACTCTTGATGGGCATCTATGTTGATTCCACGTCTTTGCTGTTGTGAATAGTGCTGTGATGAACATATTAGCATGCATCTTTTTGGTAGAATGATTTATGTTCCTTTGGTTATATGCTCAGTAATGAAATTGCTAGGTTAAGTAGTAGTTCTGTTTTAGACTCTTTGGGAAACTGCTTTCCACAATGAATGAACTAATTTACAGTCTCAGCAGCAGCATAAAAGCATTCCCTTTTCTCTGCAACCCTGCCAGCCTCTGATATTTTCTGACTTTTTAATAGTAGCCATTCTGACTGGTGTGAGATGATATCTCATTGTGTTTCTGATTTGTATTTCTCTGATGATTGGTGATGTTGAGCGTTTTTTCATATATTTGTTGGCCATGTATAAATATTCTTAAATTGTTCCAATCTTAATTTTTACCAATATAAAAATTTGAATCTTCTCCTACTGAGTACTTCCTTACATGACAATGAATAATTAGAAGCACATGTATTATTACATAACATTTTTAGGTATTTTAAAACAAAACTTTAATTTTTTCTATAAATTATTCTTGCTGAAGATTACTGTGATTCTTGCATTTTTTTCTTTTTAGAAATATTCTAAAACATAATAGGCAAGAAAAATTTGCTAGAGAGACAAGAAATTCTTATCAGACAATGGGCATAGTTTGGGTTGGAGACTAACAAAATATTTACATTGATGTTAAATGTAAAGATTACATTGATGAGCTATATTTAAAAAGTGTATTACATATTTAGTGATAATATGACATATTGTAGCTATTTTCTTAAAAGGGTATTTGAAGTTCCGTAGCATTGATATAAATTGTTAAAATTTTATTGTAAATAAACATGTCTGAGCACTAAAGTTCAATTTAATAACTTTCCAGATGGGATCACTTTTAAAGTAAGTTAATTGGAAGTGTAACTCAATACATTCCATTTAGTTCAGTGTTGAACTCTTGTGACCAAATTAATAATTGAGCCATGGATAGTGATGGCTCACTAAATGATAAAGCAGATCAAAAAATTAATAATTTTTCTACAAGATGTATGTCAAAATATGCTATGTCTAAAGTGTGTGTGTATGTGTACAAAACAGTTTCGAAAACCAAAAAATAAACAGAACAATTACATGTCATTCACCCTTATGTCTAGATCCAACATCATGTCTCATGTTCAAAATACATTCACTGGTTACATTCTAGAACTATATTAATGATTTCAAGTATTTTACAATGTTTTCTGCAATACTGGATGTAGGAAGTTGTGGAAGCTTTAAAAATTGCACTATATTGCATTCAATTCAGAGATTCTTTTGTGTGGTAAGCAAATTTTCAGAACTCACAAAACAGATAATAAAGTAAAAAGCGATCATATACTGCAACTTACTCTATAATCTTAAATCAGATACAAGAAACTATTGCAAAAATGCCTTTACAGAGATTAAATGTTTATGTGAACATCTATATCTTACTGAAAGTAGCATCATTAAATTCTTTGAATAATTCACATGTTCAAATACAAGAATGTGAATATAATATTTGGATGTAAACCAGTAAACATATTTTACACAATTTGCAAATAACAAATGTCTTCTTATATACTCTTTATTCCATGTCCTTGGAAGAATATGATACTTCTAGCTTTTCCTATTTTATCTAATGAGTTTAATTTTGCTGCTTTTTTCTTTTTATTATTGTGTCATATCACTTGGGAGTGACTTTATTTTGTACTAAGGGTTCATTTAAATTTATCATCTTCTATCCCTAAAAATTACTGTTTTCATAGAAGGAATTTACAACACATAGACACCAACCCTCCCACTGTTCTTTATTTTACTGAGAGAGTCACAGAAACTGGGCATTTGCAGCCTCTCCATAGCTAGAACATAGCTCCATCATTCTCCTACAAATTGTGTAACATACAATTAATTGAAAGGAAAAATGTGATTAGGGAAGTCATTCTGATGACTTAATTTCCAGTTTCCTTCATGGGCAAATTTTATTTTTCTATATCCCTTTAGAATCTCATTTTTATGTTCAGTGAAAAAAATTGTGGATTAAAACATTTTTCAAAGGCTTTCCCAAAAAAAGAGGAAAAAATAAATGTATTATTCACTGAAAGAAGGTATAGACAAGATTCTTCTCATGAGTCTTATCTTTTAACTGGAGAGAAAAGGTTTTCTAAAAATAACATCACCCTTGACGCCCTCTGTCCCAACCCACTAAAGCCTGCTTCATCTAATACTTCTGAATCTCACAGGGACCCCTAACTGTAAGTGGGACTGGAAAATAGCTTACCTTCCTATGGAAGTGCATACTAGGTGTCAAAAAGAAAACTTATTTAGCTAGCCAAGCAACAGGATTCTTCACAACTTGATTGACTCCAGTCTATCCATCAAGTTAGTGTCTAAACATCCTTGCCTGCAGGACATCTCTCCTGCCCCCATTGCTTGGGTTAGGTTCTTTATTCTGTGATTCTATATGATGTTGAAATTATCTTGTCATAACTTTTTAACAGTAAATCATAATGACTTATTTGTCAACCTTTCATTAGATACTAAACATCATGAAAAAAACCATTGTTTACTACTAAATAATTGGGGCTAAGAATAGACTGGACGCAAAACAATCATTGAATACATGTTTCCCAGAAAGAATGAAGAAATGAAAACTGAATAGCTGTTTAAAATACCCGGAATATATTAGGTCCTTAGTAATTATACCTTCTTTCCTTTTTGCTGTAACTCTTTTTTATTTTCTACGTTATCTTTGAAACATTAAGAAAAATGTTGAAAAGCTTAAAAAATTTTTAGTGGTATCTGAAGAAGCATATTTTGGGTTTTGTTTGTTTATAAAGTAATTTTGATTCAGAATTCAAACTGTCTGTGTTTCTGGTTTCAAATCTTACTTATGGGGAAAATAGGGACACTCAACACAAAGTTGTAGAGTATAAACAAGATAATCCAAAAAAAATTAGTGACCTCTATCTCTAACATTATATAAGTAACAAATACATGAGACCTTTTTTCTATTAGCTTTAAGTGCAACTCTCCATTAAAGTAGACCCAATAATGTAAATGGACAACTTACTGTTTAGTCAATATAACATTGACATTATTTATCTAGAAAATGTTACTTTTTGGTGAACAGCTGAACTGAGGGTGAACTCAGAAGAGATATCAATGATTTGTCCTTAGAGAGACCAGTTCCAGAATAATAAACTCTGAGGATTAATCTATTCTTAGAGTTGTATACTTATTAATAACCTGAACAAAGCAATTGGAAATTTGCTCATCAGTTTTGCAGATGATACTAAATGAGACAAGTTTGTTAATGACCCTGAAAGTGAGAAGTTAAATTTTAAACGAATTTGAACAAATTGTAACTGAGTTCCTTTGCTAACACTTAAATAAATAATACATTCATGATGCCATTTTTTTAGAACTAGAAAGACAAATAAAAGGTAGGGGGTATGGAAATGCTAGCCAGTAAGAAGCACAGAAGAATAGAATTAAAGTCATAGTTGGGTATAAGCAGAAAAACTGAGTTAGTGATTTACCCTTTTATTAAAAAAATTAATGGATTTTACATTTAGGTTAAGTACATTTTTTCCAATAATATTTTTCTCATTATTTTAAATTTCCTAATTGTATTAACATTGCCTTTGCCCAATAGATCTGAAAAATTCTGTTATACAATGCCTGTTACACACTTTCACCTTCCTTAGCAACCAAGCAGTATACATGAGTTGTATACACCTTTGCTGGCTGTAATTACTTGGTCTTTAAAAAAATTACTAAGCCTACTAACACCATTTTTTCTTACCATACTGTTGAATGTCTTTTTGCTACTATCATCCATGTACTCAATAAGAAAATCTTCCCACCATTTACTGTATTTGTTTATCTCTTAGATAAATATTAAGTTTATTTTGCTGTATTATGACACAGTTGTTATGTAGAATTTATGGAGTAAAGGCAAATTTCTAGCAACAAGAGTCTTGTGTTTTTTGAAAAATTGAAGGTCCAAGGCATAAATTCCTCATGTTATTATTCAACTCCCTAAAAAGCATTTTGGGAAGTTAGGAGGTGTTTTTTGTTGTTGCAATGACTTAGAAATAATACAGGCAGTTAGTGGAAGGGTACCTGAGGTATTGTAAGGGACAGAATAATGCTTCATATGATTGAATTGCCCAAAACTAAGCTTGACTACCCTTTTGGACATTTGTGTATGTGAAAACTATCTTCAAATTATGACCCTAGACCATTTTTTTTAACATATAAACACAAATAATTGTCTATGATTTTAGTATACACTAAATTCCCAAAGAATATAATAATTATACAAATTTAGGAAGATTATATTTGGTTTTACTTAGAGCTTCCAAGAGCTGTTCACCATTCATAAAATTGTGTTATCAACAGCAAGATTGCTTATGGGACAATATATGTGTCATACACATTACACATCTGAACAAGTCTGAATTGGTAGTTATCACAATCATGGTGATCTTATCTATAGGTGTGAGCAACTGGCTACTTCATTATGTCTTCTAGTTAATCCATTCTCTTCCGAAAATCTATTTGGTGAAATACATGTATCTCTATTATAACATAAGTTTTCCATCATATTTATAACAATTATAGAATATATTGATTTTTAAAAGTCATTTGTGAAAGTATTTAACATTATCTTGAGTTTCACAGAGAACCTGTTATTATTATAAGGGATTTTTTTGAGGATAAATCAACAAAATGACTATTGGTTAATACAGTGCTATTTTGAGTAGGCTTATTCCTGGGGTTATCCTGAGATAACAATCTACCCTGTATTCATTAAGTGGGTTCTCATATAGGAAACTCTGTCTCAGAAGGTGGACCTTAGAAAGGAGTATAAGACCTCTGAGGCTCTCAGGAGAGGGATATCTTTGTTTCTATTATTGGGGATAAAATGTTCTCTGCTTCACAGAAGCAGAACAGTAGCAGGAAAGTTGCCTCATTTTGTGTCACAAACTGAAAGTCAGATTAAATAATTGCTTGGTTTTGGCTAGACCTATTTATCTCTTCCCAATCCACAAACATTTGTAAAGTGCACACTGATCTCAACTAGAATACATTAAGGAAAAAATCTTATTTGCAGGATTGGGACAGATTATTAAGAAGGAAGAAGTGCTCTCTTAAATCCAGTTTAAATGGTGGCAGAAAAGGTGAACCATAAGTTTCCTTTCTTCTTCCACTTGTTGATGTTTATTCCATCATTTCACAGCTTTAGAAACATAGTTTGAATGTCTTAAGTCAGCTGGCACACATCTCACTTTCCAAATTAATAAATTTAATATAAACAGCCAGTTGCCCTTTCTTCTGCATTTCTCCAGCCATGGCAATTTGGACACCACTCTTCTCTTTTGCATCATCTCTTCTCAGTCTCTGTCAGTAGATTCTTTTTTCTTGATATACTTTTGAATTTTTTAGTCTCAGTCTTATTGTCTCTTCATGATATATCATCATTAAAGAAACCTTGCTCACACGAATCTATCTACAACCTAAAAACTAATGGCTTCTAAATGTAAATACTTAGTTCTTGAGATCTAAGTCTATTCTTCTCCAATTTTTCTTTAGACATGTTCCATCTAGATTTATCACAGTTACTTCAAATTAAATGACATCATTATTCACTCACTATCTACTTTTCTTGTCCCCCCAAATCATGCCTTCTCTTGTACAATATATCTATATTAACGAATGTCACTGTTTTCATCCCACTTTAGCTAGCTTTTGATCTCTTAATTATCCTCCCTCTACTGTACAATGAATTACCAAATTTTGTGAATTTATCTTCTCAATATCCATGTTATTGCCACCTAATCCCCATCCCCATTGTTACAATCGCTCCTCTGCATGGACTATAGCAATAAATTAATACCTACTTTTCTATTTTCTCACTGTATATCCTTCTTTTTATCTGATTTTTAAAATAGAGTGTGGAAGACGATCCCATACAAAAAAAAATGTAATTTCTGTGGCAATTTGCCCCAATTATTTGCCACCTGTGTCATTTTTTTCTGACTTTCTCTTGGATGTTTGGCTCTTGAATGTAGCTGTCATGTCTGTGGAGTGGCTCATATAGAAAGGATCAGTGCAGCAGCACTAACTTGCAGGGCCTGGGAGTGAACCTTCTTGGAATTTGATCCACCAGCCCCAATTCAGCTACCCCAGCTGACATCACCATTTCCACCAAGACAAAGCAGAGTCGACAGAGCAGAGTCAAACTATTTCCACCGAGTCCTGATGAAAAAGGACAAACAAAATAAATGACTGTTACTGTCTTAAAATATGATACTTTGAATTTTCTATGCTGCACTAGATAACTGACACAACCTCTATTATGACTATATCATGTGAAAAAATATATTCACTTATATGTAATATATACACTGATCTTATATCTTCACTGGTCTATGTGGTGGAACATGCAGGGTATAGTACAATATTTGAAGAACTCTAAAGGAAACACCAAAGTTCCCAAGTACTGAAGTGGTGAAAGTAGCATTCTTGTGCTCGTTTTTAGTGCATTGCAACATGCTGCAGTAAATGTGGTCCTGGTTAGGAGTCATATAGATTTAAAATAGCTAATACTGCCTAATCTAGTTTTTACAAAGTACACGAATAACTTGAAATATTATATTTCCTCTAAATACATATTGCATTAAAGATGATATTGATAAGATTACCAAAACTAACCAAAAGGGATAAGGTAACATGTTACTTTGTATTCATATGCCATTGGTAACATAATACATCAAAACCATTCATAATCTAATCATTTTTGGCAGGAAGTTGGCCAGAAAGTTTATAAACATTGAATTACCAAGAGCATTATTTAAAATAAATTTTATATCAGATTTTTCATAATGATTCTTGTCCTTTGTATGTATTATAACTTCATATATTATTAAGGACAGGACAAAAATAAATTTTAAAGAAAATTTTAAAAGCCAAGAAGGCAAAGCTAATTCTCAACAATTGTTTTAGGTAATATTTCTAGCTACATGATATTAAATACATTAATTTATAAACTCACTGGACTTAGTAGTAAACAGTTATAAGCCTCACTTGATTTAACTTATTTAAGAATAAAAGGATATAATTCACATGCTTTTTTGTAAGTAGTTATTTTCCCTATTACAGTAACAGTGACTAAACTAACGTACAAAGGAAATAAGGCAATAAATAAAAATATGTCCCTCTGTCCACAAAGACTATTGAGAGACATAAGGTAAGATTCTGGTGGATAGAATCTTCCTTCTGTTGTGTTTTTGTACCTGGTGTACAGTCTATTCTTTCTTTTCTTCCCTTCATTTCTTTTTCCTTCTTTCCTTTTTCCTTTGTTCTCTCCTCCTTTCCTCCCTTCTTCTTTCTTATTGTGATTTTAAATGTTCATTTCCATTAGGGGCCACAACAGGACTATTTCATAAAGTAAGATGTATATCTGCTATCACATTTCTTCAGAAACCTTCCTTTTGTACCCTGGGTGCATATTATACATTTATTTAAGAAAATATAGAATATGATTTTATGCATATATTCATGGATAGCTTTACTAAAAATACAAATAATAGGAGTAAAAGGTCCATGTCACATTGGAGATAAAATGTTTACTCAGGCAAAAAATATGCATAAAAGCAGCAAAAATCCAAATGCCAAAACATTATTAAAGTATTGGAGCATTGACAACTTAGTTTCTTAGGAATTGGGCTGCAACTGAAACTGTGCATATGCCTGGCAAAGAAGAAAAAAATTGCATGACACTTAAATCAGTTTCAGATGAGGTATGTCAGATGCCAAATGCCAGGTGAAATATAATTATCAGTTGCAAATCAACTTAGTGGGATGCATTCTAGAATTCTTTTTAAGAAACAGAAGGCAATAGAAAATACCAGAGTTCATAAAAGTTAATATTGGTGAAAATCATTTAGTGAAATTTTTATTTAAGACTGTGTGTGTGTGCTCAAGTGTGTGTCTGTATGTGTACACTAGAACATTATATAAAATGTATAAAGTGTGAATTATAGTTAAATAATAAAAGCTAGTACTTTATATAATGAATCAGTTATGATTTAGGAAACACTTTCATATCTAGATATGATAGAAAGCAACATTTTGAGGAATCAAAGAGGGCTATTGTTCAAAGGTACTCAAGGTTTCAGAGGTTGAATTAGACTCAATTAAACATGGATAAAAATGTCTCCATAAATTTAAGTCAGATCTAACTATTTTGAATATGATTTTGGAAAATAACAGGAAACATTATTAGATTTGGGTCACAGAAAGTGACTAATGCACTTAACAGGAAACAAAGAATCAGAGAGAAGAACTGAATGGTTTTCTGAAAGAGGGAAAATTCAAAACATTGTTAAGAAGCACTCTCTCAAAAGTTCAGTGCCATAGGGAATCACTCCCTGAAGAACAGATTAGCAGTTTCAAAATGGTTATAGAAGATTGGTCTAGACATAAAAGAGAAAGAGAGGAAGAACAGAAGAAAATATTCATAGCATTATCAAGTTCCAAATGATATCTAGAGATGCAGGTGTGACCTGGACTTGATATATTAGTCAAAAATTAATGAATTTTATGGCCTCCGCCTGCTCCTGGAGTCAGGATGATTTGCACTTAGAACAGGCTGTCCCTCTGGAAAACTGCGTGGGTTTACTGTTTCTAAATCCCTACTCATTTACTATTGAGATGTCTCCTCGCCTTTATTCAGTCTTAACTGCTTTGCTTAGGTTTTCCTAGGCTTCAAACCTTATACTGACCTCACGCTTTTTAACATTGCCTCTTGGGCCTTATGAAGCCATCCTCACAGGATTAATAAGAATTCTGGACAGATATATAGTTATAATTAAATATTAATGAGGTTACACTTTGACTCACTTGCTTATAATGGGAAATCATGTAACTAGTGTATTAGGCTGTTCTTGCATTGCTATAAAGGAATACCTGAGATTGGGTAATATATAAGAAAAGAGGTTTAATTGGCTCATGATTCTGCAGGCTGTATAGAAAGCATAGCACCAGCATCTGCTCAGCTTCTGTGGAGAACCTCAGGAAGTTTGCAATCATGGTGGAAGGTGAAGTGGGAGCAGGCATCTCACATAGCAGGAGCAGAAGCAAGGGAGTTGGGGAAGGTACCACAAACTTAAATGACCAGATCTGTGAACTCAGAGCAAGAGCTCACTTATCACCAAGGGGATGGCCCAAGCCATTCATGAGGGATTCGCCACCATGATCCAAACACCTCCCATCAGGGTAGACCTCCACACTGGGGATTACATTTCAACACGATATTTGGGTGGGGACAAATATCCAAACTGCATCAACTACATACTATTTGTATCCCCATTATTCCTATAAATAGAATCTCTGACATTAGAATCATAGGTCTTTGTTTAAGAATTGCTTAAGCAGATCCTGAATTCCAGCAGAACAGCTAATGCCAACTAGGTTAAAGACCTCTACAGAGAAAAAAAATCAGTAGGAGAATTCAATTTCTTCACCTCCTTGTCCCATGACTTTACCCAGCACTCTGATTAATCAGAAATCTCAATACTTTGGGTCATTCTAAAACTCTGAAAAACCCTACCTCCAAACTCCTTGGAGAGACAGAGTTGAGATTTCCTTCCAGCTCCTCATTTAGTAGTCCTACAATTAAACTTCTTTCTCTGCTACAACCCAATGTCTCGTTGTATTTACTTGACATGTGCATTATGAAATCGACATATTACAGTTATAATTGCTCCCACATTTTACATTGGGTTACTAGTATTTCTGTAGTTGTCCTTTTTCAGAATCTTGAGGTATGTAGCTGGTCTCATTTTTTCTCTACTTATGGGTTCTAACATTCATTTCTATTTCTAACATATTACTTTAAATTTAGCCAGTGGGATAATTTACAATGAGATATTGTAAATGCCATATGTCATTTAAACAGACTCTATCCTGAGTAGCCTAATTCCACACAAGAATTCACACAGCATTTAAACCAGGCCTTGAATCTACCTATTAGGGTCTACCTGTATTCCATCTAGTTTACATCATCATATCTGAATCATATTTGGTGTTGTAATTTTACGGACATTCTTCTAAAGCACCCAGCCTGTCCTCCAAGCAAAGGTCAACAATGAAGGCCTATAGAACTGTAGCATCAGTTAGCATAATTTAATATATTCTGTCATAGAAAAAAATCTTCAGAATTTCTTTCTTTTAGGAGAAATAAATCTTCAGAAAGATGTTTTTTCAGAAAGTTCCAGAAGATATACCAAAATATGTAATTTAGAGAAGCTTATGCAAATATACAGAAAAAGATACTAGTTGGACTTATGGAGACACATTTTTTTAGTCTCATTTCTTCTTTCCTCTGCTCAATGTCTTACATTCTGTGTATTTGTTTGTTTATTTCTTCATCCCTTTTATGCAAGTCTATACACTTACAATTCAAGCTTAGGACCCTCACTGGAAGACTCCACATCTTAGGATCACTTGAATAAGCTACTGTTATTGATCAGTTGTACTCCTGGCCTCTCCATCACCTATTATTTGTACATAGGGTGGCATTGGTATGCCAATAAAACTTTGATAAAAATATTGAACAATTGATTGAGTTATTGAAGTATTAATTTAATGGGGATTTTTTAGACTAAAAATGCCACATAGGCTGATGGGAATTTTCCTGTGGGGTTTTTACGTATTTTATATTTTGTAGAATGGCAGTGAGAGACTACATTGCAAAACTGAGAAACTGCCCATTTTAAACATAATAGGTAATCTAGTAGGAAGCTGGATAGATAATATGAACAGTGATGGTTGTGAAAGATACAGTATGAGGACACGTCTAACAGTGTATAAATATCCTTGCTCATGATCTTATGCTCGGTGCCACATCCCTCCACTATAGAAAAGTTGAAGGAACCCTGCTGAGGGACATTTTCAAAATCTGTTATATCATTCAATCGTTTTGTAGATAGCGCAGTCTATTTTCAGAAATCTACTGGTAATCTGAGAAAGGCTGACACTAGAACTGCCATCCTACTGGGAGGTATTTGGTGAATGTTAAAATCTTTGTTTTGAATATGTCAGCAATTGCAAAGTTGAAGGATGTGAGGTTTAACAATACAGTCTTATCAGAAGAGATCCCAACTGAGCTTATTGTAAACCTGGATACTCGGATAAGTAGTTTATCTGAATTTCAACACATTTCTTTTGTCATATAGTATGCTGTTGGGAGATAGTTCTCAACTGGTTTCTTACATTTCTGTATGTCTTCCAAGCAGAAGCCCTAACAACCATTGTCCCAGAATATTAACATATTTTCAATGATTTCTGTAAAGTAAAGGACAGGTTTGTTTACTGTCTAGTACAATAAAGATGATGTGTTCACCTGGAGCAACATTAAGAAGTTAGCTTTCAGCCCATTATAAAAGATGGGGGTTTCCTAAGCTTGGGTATGTTCATCTGTGACACAGACCCACGTGTGTATAACATTCACCCTGACCACTCTATGTTGCTCCCATGAGGCTTGGAGTATCAGGGGAGTCAGTCAGCATGTGAAATTTATGCTGCTTGTCATTCTGTGACTAATAAACCCCTTTGTCTCTGACCCAAGTGTCTCATGCCTTCTGCTAGTGTCCAGGAAGCTTTTGTTTCAATATCTCAGATCCATATAAGATACGATTTGGAATGAACTGAAGCATAGGAGCTCAAGGCAGTGATTCTGATGGGTATGATATGAATTGCAAAATATATCAGTGTCACACTCACTTTATTTCCTCATACTGGCTCATTTAGGGATTAAGCAATGTCAATATAGAGGCTCTAGAAAAGTATGACACAGATCTCACTGCTGACCACTTTATGGTTACTATTCAAATGATATAAATGGGAGAACAAACCAAATCAATTCTTCATAAGCATGCAGGACTCAGTACTGCCCTGAGGTTTTGGGAACTAGGGCAAAGGCACTAAATGATGACTCAAAATAATGTGTTGTGGGAATCTGACCCAAACTTATATGGACTTTGAACTGGAAATGTAATAGATTCTTTCTATTTTGAAGTTAGATTTTGAATTGAAAGTTAGATTCCGTAATATGGAAAATAAGATCTAGGAAATTAGTAAGGTCCTGAAAAACTTGTACACCAGATATCTGGGTTAGGTGAGTTTGATAAATATATGAAAGCACATATGACATAATTGTTTTTCAAGGAAACCATAGCAAAATCTTTGAAGTAATATTTGACATTTGTTATACAAGTGATATAGTGAAAGTGTGAAACATATGTGGACACACACTTGGCAGCTTCTAAAGAAAACTGCCACTTCAAAAACAAAAACAAAAAAACTCTGGTCTGGGAAAGACGTTATTATCCACTTGCTATGATCGCACAATATTGAATTAATAAAGTTTTACTTTAGTACACTTTATAGACAATGATCATTATAAAATAATGCTACACTGGTGTTTAATCAACAGTGATAGTTGATTATCATTAAAAATAATAAAATAAAAAAATATTTTAACTTTATTTGTTCTCCGATGCTTATTCATCTTTCTGTCGATTCAAGTTTCTAATTAATTTTCCTTCAGTGGAAGATTTTCTGTTAACATTTCAGAAAAGATTTGCTGACAGTGAATCCCATTAATTTTTGTTGGAATTATCACAATAGTTTGATTGAAGAAGACTTTATTTCTCTTTCACTTTTGAAAGATAGTTTTGTTGCATATAGAGTTCTATGTTGGCATTTTTACTTTTCCAACACTTCACATTTTCCCTCCATTTTCATACTGTTTGTATCATTTTTGATGAGAAGTCTACTGTAATTTTTATTCTGGTACCTCTATAGATGAAGCATTTTTGTTCTACAAGATATTGTCTTAAGTTTTCTGGAAACTTGATATAAAATGCTTATGTTTTTATTTGTTTGTTTTAACTTTTGCTTGTATTCATTATGCTGATTGTTGCCTGAGCTTCCTGGATCTGCTGTATGGTGTCAATAATTTTGGAAAGTTTCCTGCCATTACTATAATACATCAAACATTTCTTCTGTTTTGTTCTCATTTATCTCACAATTCCTTGAAGTTTTATTCTATGTTTTGCTTTTGTTTTTTTCTTTAATGTTTTTATTAGAATAATAATTGTGGAAAATCCTATTGATCTATATTCAGGTTCACTGATTTCCTGGGCATGCCAAGTCTACTGATGAGCCTACTGAAGTTATACTTCATTTTTGTTACAGTATTCTGATTCTGATTTCTAGTATCCCTGTAATTCTTTCTTAGAATTTTTATCCCTCTGCTTACATTTCCCATCTGCTCTCTTGCATGTTCTACTTTCTCCATCAGAGTTCTTAACGTATTACTTATGGATATTTTAATTCTCATTGTGATAATTCCAACATCTTTCTCATATATGGATCTGGTTCTGATGATTGCTTAGTTTCTTAGAAGATTTTCCTTTCTTTTTTTTTTTTCTTGTTTGTTAGAAAGCTGGACATGTTTTATTGAGTAATGGAAACTGAGGAAACTAGGCCTTTAATATGGGTGCATATGTTAAACTGGCTAGGAATTGGGTTGTGTTTATTGTTTGCTCAGCTATAGGTGCCAGAGGCTTCACATTTCCTCTTGTAGCCTTGAGTTTTGTGTCCTATGTTTACTTTGTGCTTTCCTAAGACTTCAGAGAAAGCCTGTATCTTATAGCTTTTTCAGTTATAATTCACTGTTATAATACTGGAGACCTGCTGGTATGGTGACAAGGTTTGGAAGATTAAAGGGGAGCAGTCTGTAATCTTACAATTAAATCTAATCTTTTACTCAACAAATGTCTCAGGGCTGGGACCTTTACAAGTCTTTCTCCAGCAATATAACACACTCTCCGCCCCACTCCACTTTCTACTCCTTTTCTTCCTTTCCCTGGCGGAAGCATTCCTAGTCTATTGCCTTGAAGCTTTTGTGACTACTGATGACATATTATATATATGTAATATCTATCTATCTATCTATCTATCTATCTATCTATCTATCTATCTATCATCTGTCTACCTATCTATCTACACAGGAAGGCTACAGGGAGCTAAAACTGATCCAGAAGGGGAAAATAATCTCTTCCCTTGGAGAGTAGCCCTGGGTGATAATGAAAAGGTCTTGGGATATTTCACAAGAGACCCTTACCCTCCCCCTGCTGGCAAAGGTGAGAGGACTTTTTTTCTGGAATATTACTGTATGAACTTGATTGGGTTCTCAGAGGTGAAACACACAAAAGTGTGCCCCACTCCCGACCCCATCCCAAGATTATATGGTCTTTAGTAATTTCTCATTCACACTAATCCCCACTTGGCTTCCAACAGTTTATTAAAATCAGCATTTATGTGTTTTTACCATGTCTACCAGTTTATGACTCCAGCAGCTTCTGCTCCAGGTCAGCAGATCTTAGGTGTGACTCTGAATATACTTTTCTCCTCAGTTTGGGAAAAAGTTTTGGGATGACAGTTCACCGTGTGACCTTAGTTTTTTGATGGCTTAAAAAATTGTTGGTATTCAGTATGTTCAACTTTTTCTTGTTTTAAGGTAGGGAGTGATAGTTTCCAAGCTTTTTGCATGTTGAAGCTAAAACCAAAATCCAAAGTCATGTTTTAATTTAAATGTTTTATATTTTTCTGTACTATTAACATATAAATTAATTAATACATGTTCTTTAGTAATCAGGAATTAAGAGAAAAAATAAGGTTCCCTCCATTCATGAAAAATTAAATTTGCCATTTTCTTTGAATATAGCCTGTCTAACCTTCCTGACAACCCTCCTTCAACATTTTAGAATAACTGTGTTTCCTTTAACTCCTCTGAGTCAACCATCCTATTTTTGTCTTTTTCTACTCCTAGAAACCATAATAAAGAACAAAATTTGGTAAGTTTTATCATTAAAGGCAATGTGAATAATCCTCTGCAAATTTAGATGTAGGGATGGATAGGTTTGAAAACTTCTCTATAGGCACTTGAGGCTGAAATGCATTAAAATACCGGGCCCTTCTTTGCTACCATATTCAAAAAATGAGGTTAAAAAGATATAATGGATGTTGAAGAGAACTGGCAGAGATGATTAAATAGATGGGAGGTATAGCCTGTAGGGAAAGATATAAAGACTTCAATTCTTTCATTTGAAAGTGATCGTTTATAACCTGGACCTGAAGTTACAAAGCCATGATAAGAGGATACTAAATGAAAGGGTGGTGCTTTGATTCCTATTTCAAGGAAAATAGAGACTGTGACCTTTTAAATAATATATGCACTAATTGCATAGTTGGTCTAGAGTGAGAAATGAGACCTACTCTATTTATGCCCTTGAAGAATTATGATTTTATGAAATTATCTTGTTTCTTTCATCACATTATTTCTGACTTTATTTTTCAAGGCAATTTCATGACCCTAATTTGGCTTTCTAAATAAGTTTTTTCCAATGAAAAAGAAATACATTGATGGGAAACAAAAGGAAGATTAGCTAGGTAGTTATAATTCCCATGGAAAATGAATCTATTGACCTTCTCTTTAACACGTTAGTATTTTATGAATTTGGTTAGCCTATAACAGGCTGTTAGGGCCAAATAAACAATTCAATCATAAAAAGGGACCTGAAATTGAGATCCTTAAGGACAAAATTATAGGCTACAAAAGGAAATCTGACTAGGAGGGTAATCTAGGATTTGCAAATATAAGCTATGTTATTAATTACTACTTCACATCAGTTATTGGATACTGATGAGGAGACATACTGACCTTGGTATATCAGCAATGCCCAAAATGCAACACAACTAACTTAGCAAAATGCAATTAGCTAAATGGATTATTAATGTAATTATTGCTGTGGGCACTAATTAAGATGAAAATTAATTTCATGACCTGGTATAAGAAAACATCTAATCACATAAATTATCATTGTTATAGAAAATTGTTTGCCTTAGGAAGCCACATTTTTAAAAGAATGGGAATAAACTGCCTCATAAAAATGATTTTCATAACCATCTAGTTATTGTCTGTGAATACCAATTAAATGTTTATATAATTTTATATGACAAATATTGTGGTCAATAATTATATAAGGATACTATTCAGAATTTTTTTCAAACTATTTTAAAAATTGGAAAGTTAGCTAAATTGTATAACACATTTAGACACTAAACTTTTTGTTTGTAGTTAAGTTTCTAAAAAAAAAAAAATAAGAATTTCCCATTAACTTTTCAAAGTTGTCAGTTTCTAGGTGGATATAAAGCAACCCAAGGTAGAAGTAAATATTTAAAAGATCTGACTTAAAAAGCCTAATTTATAAAGCATTCATTCATTTATTAAATATTAGTTGAATTTCCTCTGACCCATACACCAGAAAAGCGAAGTGGAATACATCAAAATCATATGCCTCTTCTCTACAGAAATAAAAACAACCAGATACCTGCCCTTTAAGAGATTATAATCCAGTAGCATGGACCAATTAATACAGTATAAAGTGATAGAGTCAGAAATATGTTAATAAGTAATAGAATTCAAAAGCCAGTTTAACTTCTGTTACAGCTCTGTAAAGGAAGTTGCCCAGGACATGAATACACTGAAGGGATAAAAATAAGAATGGTCTCAAAATGTTACTGGCAGGTGAGGAGTAAAATTCAGATTAATATGATTTTAGAAGTCTTAGCAATAAGCAGAGTAGTTGAAAAGAAAATATTCTCAGTCAAAACTGAAAACTAAAGTAAAAGGAATGGGGAAAAGACAAACAGTTCAGTTTAACAGAAATAGGCATTAAGATGTGAACAAGAGAGTATACAGTTCTTTTGATCACATAAAGCAAAAACAATATTTTTTTAGAAGAAAGACTCCACGGTATTCATAAGAAGTTGTCTTGGATCTGCCCATATTATAGCAACAGATACCACAATAGGAAGAACAGTAAATAAGAACAGTTCTTGTGTGGTCCAGAACAGCAAGAAATTGCTGGGAGGGGATCTTGAGTGGATTAAAGAGAAACAACAGAGGTAGGATTGTGATTTTGTATACATATGTCATGTTTAGCCTGAAAGCACAAAGAATTTTTCATCTTGCATATACTTGTCTTTCTACTACTGCCATAATCACAAGTCAATGTGAATAATTCATGCAATGTGACATCTTGTCTCATTTCAACATCTCTTGTGAGTAACTTCCAGGATGAAGACAGTGAAGCTCATCCTTTTGGTGGTAGTTTAGAAGGGAAACTGGGATGGCAGCAGTTATATCACCATGCTGCTTTGACTGTTCTTTTTTCACTTGATTACCACCAAGGAGAATGGCTTTCTTTCCCAAATAGGGAGAAAAGAGGAATTTTTTGTCATCTACATCTGTTCTTTCCTTGAGGAAAATATAGATGTCATTCCTAGGAGCACTCATTTCTTGAGGAAAATGAAAGAAATCAAACAGTAGGAAGACAATTTATTTCCTCAAGGTTATTAAGGTAAATTTGATCTAAAACTCAAAACATGCACAAAAATCTTCACCAGCTTTGTTAAGACAAGTTGAAGACATTTTGTGTACTTAGTATTTTTTCTTAGGCATTTCCTATTATCCTCTCAAGCCAGTTTTCCATCAGGCTAAAACCAATTATGCTTCTACATTTTTGTTTCATTTTCTCTTGAAGTGTCTACAATAATCTAAATTCTGCCAGCACTGATGGTCAGATTTCAGCTTCCCAGTTACTAAATTCACAGCAGTCCTGAAAATCATTTCTCCCACTCCCTCTTCCTTGGACACTTCCTCCCAGGGTTTTGTGAAAGCATATTCACAGATAAGGACATTTATAACTGCTTGTTTTGTTTTGAGGCATGCCCTTGAGATACTTCCCAGAAATGGAAAATTATATTTTTGGCATCTACATACTCAACAATTGCTGATAGTGTATTGGGAGAAAAGAAAGGTTGGTATGAAAGCATAAAGCACCTAGAGGTGAGCTGACAGTGCTTTTAGGAAGTAAGAGAGAGAGATATAGGTAACTTTGATATGTTTAGTTGTACTTCCTTTCTCCTCCACCTTTATTATGTCCTCTGAAAGATACTGGTGCTGAGGAGATTCTAAGAATATCTTCACAAATTCTGAAGGATATCCAGTGGTTTATGAAAGTCACAGGAGAATTACAAAGGCGAATAACTGTTTTTAGTGATTTATGTCATGGAATATGATTTGATATATTGTTCTAGCATCAAACAATGTGATATCGTGGGAAATAAATGAAATTGTTTATTGAAATTTGTTTTGTTATCTCATACTTTGATATATATTTATTTTTAACAAAGAGATTATGGAAAAAAATGTACCTTTTTGCTTATCCATTGCTCAAATAATTTTTTTCTCTTTCTTTTTTATTATTATTATACTTTTAAGTTTTAGGGTACATGTGCACAACGTGCAGGTTTGTTATATATGTATACATATGCCATGTTGGTGTGCTGCACCCATTAACTCGTCATTTAGCATTAGGTATATCTCCTAACGCCATCCGCTCAAATAATTTTAACACATTGGCTTTTCTTCAATGTACCGACTGGTTGGAATGAAGAAAGATGAAGATTGCAGGAACTAATCAAATATTCCTTTTTTCTATTGTTAAAAGGGTTTTTAGACTGTATTCCCAAAGACGGATAAGCAAACCTGGGAATATAAAATACATCTTGTTAGCCTAATTATTTTCTCAGACATTTCTGACTCTTGTGAAAAATTGGTGTAAAATTGACCTACTAGTATTTTTCCTACAGCCTGATGAAAATGATGGAAAATAAACATTATCTGAAACTGGTTTGGTTAAAAAGGTTTACAATTAAAGCCCTCATTCAATAAACTGGATCACGTGACAAGTAGGAGGGGTCTAGTGTTCCAAGAATCAGAATTTTAAATTGGAGCTACTTATATTAAAAATGGTATTTTTATATCTGTCAAAAATGATGTTCGTTGGTATCAAATCCTGATTGCCAATTTTCTGCAAAATAAATGAAAATAGAAATTGTTTTTGGCTGAACAAGTCTAAGTCTGATTGTGGAAAACCATCAAGAATTGGACATACCCAACAGGCAACCAGCAGCAGGACTCTAATCAAGAAAAATTATAATCAGCTTTCTGGAAAAAAAAAAGTTCTACATGTAGCAGAATACTAAATCTATATCTCTGTTTTTTTCTTTTTCTTCATTGAAGTTAGTGGACTGCCTCCACGAATTCAATTCTTATTCACTCCTAAACAAACTGAATTTTATTCCCTACTATAAAAAAAAAAAGAAAAGAAAAAACATTCTCCTGAGTTCATTTCCATTTTTATTACCCCCTTTGAAGAAGCTGATATTATTTGACTAATACCAAATTACCCCTTAGTTTCTTATTGTCACTCTCCTCTTTTTACATCTTTTCTTTATTTCTTTGTATTTCTCACGGTTCTAAATTTGGTTTTCTCTCTTAACATACTCCTACTAAAGGAAATTATCCATGATGACTTTATCTATTGCCAAAATTTTAGTAACTTTCAAACCTATGCTTTCAGACCTAATTCTCCTCTGAGTTTCATACCCAAATTTTACTCCACGTTGAATTGAGCAGAGATGGCTCAAACACACCTGACCAAGAGTGAGCTCATCATCTCCATCCATGCCTCCAAACTGCTGCTCAGTCCAAACATTCCATAGACATAATTTTTCCAGGAATAAATTGTTGTTATTTTCAACTACTTCTCCATGAACAGCGATCTCTTATCTGGCACTAATTTGTCGTTTGTGTATCAAAAATTTATCCTAAATCCCACTTGGGCCTTGATTTCTGGCCTTTGTTTTCTCCCACCCAAATGACTAAAATGTTCTCTTAACTAGTCTTTGTTCTTCTACTTTCCACCTCAAAGTGTCTAAAACAGTCTTTCTTTCATTTTTTCATTCTTCATTGTAAGAAAAAAAATTATTCCACTAAATCTACATTGCTTTCAGTCTAGATCTATACATAGTCAGGCTATTCATGTTTCTCCATGAATAAGCCTACGCGTGTAGGATTCATTTTTTGTTGTTCCCCCCACCAAACCTGTGTTATGTTTAATACACAAGGCATATTGGGTTCCTTGCATTCAAACAATAATTTAGGCACCTACTCCACTTTATGACTTTGGACATGAAGCTATTTATTTCAAGAAAATATCTGTCTCACATCTTTTTAATTCACATCCATAATCACTAATAGGATATGACAAGATAATAGGAGACAAAATTGAGACAATGTAGATTAGCTTGCTACTACTCTAATGTTTCGTATTATTTTATTCCACTTTCAATTTCTACTTGAAATTTCTTGCTATTTAGTTATCTCTATTATTTTTCATAGGCCCTAAAGTTAAAGGAGTTTAATAGAAATCTTAGGAATTGATCTCTCCAAATGACTGTCAGAGTTAAATGGATCTAAATTATTATCTAGATTATTGCTTCTGAAGTTTAAGGACTTAGAGACTTAATAAGGACATAGAGACTTATTAAATCATTGTTTTTGATAGAGTAGGTTTGGGATGGGGCCTGAGATTTTTATTTTTAAGAAGTTCCCAGGTGATAACAACATTGCTGATCTAAGGACGGCACTTTAAATAGTAACAGTCTGAAATGGCTTTTCTTAAACTTTTGTATTTATAAAATTAATCATACACAATTGTTAAATATGAAGACTTTAGAGCCCCAAGACACAGAGATTCCAATCCATTATGTCTGGAGTATGATATTTTAATAAGCTCCTATTTGCGAATTGAAATTAGAGAAATAGTTGCCTAGAGAAAAAAATGGATGATAGGCATTCTTATTGAATTGAGGTTTAGCTCTATTATCACATGGTTCTGTTTGCAGAATTAATAACATGAGGATGGATACTTTTCACTATCACAGCATTAGAAAGTTAAATAGTAAGATAATACCCTTTCCTTAAACCTGTTTGTACAGAGTAAATTTAAAACTTTCACATGCATTCCAATGAAAGAAAGTAACTCAAGTTACATGGACCATTTTTTAAATGTAATACATTTAGAACATTTTCAATATCACACTACTTTTAAACAGTTGCAATAAACATTTTCTAAAAGTACATTGAGTTAGAATTGCTCTGTTATTTCAAAAGAACAAAAGTTCAGGCTGGTTAAAGTAAAGATGCTCACTTTTAAATGTATATGTGAAATCAACAGAAAAACTCTCTTACGGAACTATATGAAAAATCCTCTACATAACTATGTTACCAAAAAAAGTGTGTGTATTATATATACACATATTTGTGTATGTATATTACATATATGCATATAAATCATATTTGCATTTGGCTACACATAAGGAATAAACAGGAAGTCCAAAGAAGAGTGGATTCAGAAAGACCATGTAGAAACTTCTTACATTAATTCAGATAAAAGATGATAATGGCTAGGGCAGGGTAGTGGCAGTAGTAGATGGAGAGGAAAAAACAGAATTATGAAATTCTGTTGGTAGAATCAAAAAAAGCTAATTTTTGTTGGTTGCAGAATGTAAAGGAGTTAATTTCTGAACTTAGTAAATTTGACATGCTAATAAAATATGCAAACAGACGGATAGAGGGGCTTAGAAATTTTGAGAGAAGACTGAGAGATGGTTTTCAAAGTGAGCAATATCCAAATGGAAATTGGGAACCATTATACAATGGATTCAATCATCTGGGGAAATACAGACAGCAAAACACAAAGAACATCTGACATGCAGCTATCAGTATTGTCAACATTTGTTTTATTTATTTTATTTATTTATTTATTTTTTTGAGACAGGGTCTTGCTCTGTCGCCAAGGCTGGAGTGCAGTAATGCAATCATAGCTCGTTTCAGTCTCCCAAGTAGCTAAGACTACAGGCACATGCCACCACACTTAGATAATATGAAGTTTTTTTGTAAAGAGGGTGTCCTGTTACGTTTCTAGGCTGGTCTCAAACTCCTGGCCTCAAGTGATCCTCCCACTTTGTCCTCCTAAAGTGATAGGATTACAGGCATTAACCACCATACCTGGCCCACTTGCCAGCATTTGAAGGGAGAATTGAGGTGAGCAAAGAAGACTGGGAATGTATTTTCAAATAAAGGATTTTTGTTTGTTTGTTTGTTTGTTTTTGTTTTGTTTTATTTTTTGAGACAGAGTCTCACTCTGTCACCCAGACTGGAGTGCAGTGGCACAATCTCAGCTCACTGCAACCACCACCTCCTGGATTCAAGTGATTCTTCTGCCTCAGCCTCCCGAGTACCTGGGACTACAGGCACCTGCCACCACGCCCAGCTAATTTTTGTATTTTTAGTAGAGACAGGGTTTCACCATGTTGGCCAGGATGGTCTCAATCTCTTGACCTTGCGATCTGCCTGCCTCGGAAAGTTTTTAAAAATTCAGTTGAAGGTTATGTTTTGCTTGGCAAGAGAGGGGAGTATGTGAATGAGGACCCCTCACCATTCCTTCTCCTTCAAGTGTTGGCCTAAATGGGAATTTAATTCCTTTCCAGATGATAAGTTTTTTTTTTCCTTTTTTAAATTTTTTCCTCTGTAGAGACTGTCATCATTTGACCAAAAGATTACTTCTTACCTGACTTAGGCATATTATTATTCTAGCTAATTTTTGAAAGGACTTTTACTCTAGCCTGTCTTCCAAGTTTCTGTCCTCACTAGTGTATATCTCTGCTGCATTCCAGTTTTGTTACAAGTAAAAGTAATTACATGTATTAGAAGTCATAATATTTTTACAAGTAACCAAGAAATTAGAAATGTCTGCAGCAAAGCAACCATCAGCAGAAAAGCAAACAATTCAATCATGCCTATCTTTGGTTTAATGGAAATCACAACTGAGAAGAAAATGAGAGATTATTACCCTGCCTTATGGAAGAACTCTTCTGCTTTTCATAAAATATTTCTCCTTGATGAAAGAACCAGGATACAGAAGGATACCAATAACACAAAGAAACCATAAACCTTTTGTAATTCTTGAAGTCAAATTCTCCCAGCAGAGGAACTGTATTTTATTATGGGTTAGTAATGGCCATGCAGAGAAATCACTCACAAAAAAATAGCAGTGCACTTGGGGAGGATGATCAGTTATTGCACACACTAAGTGGATCAGAAGTGCTTCTATCTGTTTCTGCCCACATCTGCTGCAAATTTCTGCATAAAATTTGCATTCAGACTCCTTACATAATAAGTAATTAAATTTCAAATGACTGTTCGTATTTTTAAGCTGCAAGTGGAGTTGAACATGTAGTTATTACTTAAACTATATTATATTTTCCATATAATTAATATATGCACACAGTTAAAAAGCTAATAGTGCAGACTTAAAATAAAAAGCAACAGCCTGCTTTGCAACTTAAGTCCCTTTTTAAAAAAGGCAGTCTTGTTTAAACCCTAGATAATTTTTGTTGTAGTTTTAAACCAAATATTTGTTTTATTTTATTTTATAATTTTAACTTTTATTTTAGGTTCAGGGGTACATGTGCTGGGGTTTTACTTGGGTATGTTGTGTGATACTGAGGTTTATGGTACCATTGATCCCTTTACCCAGGTACTGAGCATAGTACCCAATAGTTTTTCAACCCTTCCCCCTCTTCCTACCTCCCCACTCAAGTAGTCCTCTATCTATTGTTGCCAATTTTATGTGCACGAGTACCCATTTTTTAGCTCTCACTTTTAGTGATAAAATGCAGCATTTGGTTTCCTGTTACTGTGTTAATTTGCTTAGGACAATGGCCTCCAGCTGCATCCATGTTGCTGTTCATTCTTTTCATGGTCGCATAGTATTGCATGGCGTATATGTATCACATTTGCTTACCCAGTTCACTGTTGATGGCCACCTAGGTTAATTTCATGGTCTTTGCCACTGTGAATAGTGCCGTGATGAACATACCAGTGCATGTGTATTTTTGGTAGAATGATTTATATTCCTTTGGTGTATATCCAGTAATGGGATTTCTGGGTTGAATGGTAGTTCTAAGTTCCTTAAGAAATCTCTAAACTGCTTTCCACAGTGGCTGAACTGATTTACATTCCCACAAACAATGTATAGGCGTTCCCTTCTCTGTGCAGCTTTACCAGCATCTGTCTTTTGACTTTTTAATGATAGCCCTTCCGACTGGTGTGAGAGGGTATCTAATTGTGGTTTTGATTTGCATTTTTCTGATGATTAGTAATGTGGGGTATATTTTTATGTTTGCTGGCCACTTGTATGTCTTCTTTTGAGAAGTGTCTGTTCATATCTTCTGCCCACCTTTTAGTAGGATTATTTGTTTTTTGCTTGTTGAATTGTTTAAGTTCTTTATGGATTCTGAATATTAGATCTTTTCCAGATGCATAGTTTGTAAATATTTTCTCCCATTCTGGAGACTCTTTATTCTGTTATAGTTTCTTTTGCTGTGCAGAAACTCTTTAGTTTAAATTAGGTCCTACTTGTCAATTGTTGTTTTTGTTGCAATTGCTTTTGAGGACTTAGTCATAAATTCTTTGCCAAGGATGATGTCCAGAATGATGTTTCCTAGGTTTTATCCTAGGATTCTTCTAGTTTGAGGTCTTACATTTAAATCTTTTATCTATCTCAAGTTTAAACCCTAGATGATTTTTAAATTAAATCAATAATATGTATATTATTAGAATTATGTAGCTATTTTAGACATCTATTAATTTACTTAAACTACTCTTTTCTTATTTTTTTACACCTTTAGAATAGAGTTATTACCAATTTTGTGTTTCTACCTGTTAATTTTTGCAAATTTATGTAATTAAAATTTTTTTTAAAATATCAACCCTATGATGGGTGCAGCAAACCACCATGGCACATGTATAACTATGTAACAAACATGCACATTCTGCACATGTATCCTGGAACTTAAAGTATCATAAATTAAAAAAAATTAAAAACATGTCAACCCTAAAGAGAATTTTTTTTTTTTTTTGGTTAGGGAAGGATATTAACATACAAAAAGTTAGAATTCAGACTATTTAGCAATACGTAGAGAATGATACTATTTCGAATGAACTCGTCAGGACAGACACAGCAGTGAGCAGCCTTCTAGTGAGTGCACCCAGCTTTCTACAGCTTTCTTTGGCACACTTTGTCATTTCTGAACTCCCAGCCTCTGTCATCTCAATTTTCATCTTTAGTATTTTAAATTTTAATTAATTTTACCTTCTCTTCTGAAACCCTAGGGTTTATATTTATATTTTGTTTATATTACTCTCTATTGTGTTTTGTTTCTCAAACTTAGCTACATGATAGACAGTTCTGGAGCACTTTCACAGACAGGTATGCCTGGGCCTTGTTACCAGACATTTTAATATAATTGCCTTAAAATCAGGGTTAAGAACCATAGGTCTATAACTTGAATATGCATTGTGAAACCAAATAAACCATGTTTTCAATACCTTTATGTAAGTGATATCCACAACTAAAAATTATATTTCTTCATATGGAGAATGATGTGTCTATGTGTGTATGTTTTACTATATTTTCTACATAGTCAATGTGTCCTCTAATTTGCCATTATAATCAGCTACTCTGTTGAAATGTGTTTTGCCTTGTTTTTTTCTGAAGATCTCTATTAACTATTTGTGCCAGTCCTACAAGACCTCCCATGTAAATACATTTTTTGATATTTGGATTGATTCATCATATAATTCTTAGATGAAAGTCATTCTTATTTAGAAATATGAAGGCACTGTTCAGTTGTATGGTTTTGCTGATGAGAACTCCAATACATTAATGGTCTTGGGTAGGTAACACATTTTGTCCTCTGAAATTTTTATGGGTGTCTATACATCATTGATGTTATAAATTTCACAATTTATATGCCAGTGTGTATATTTGTTAAAAAGTTATTGGCCTGTGTACGTGGTGGTTACTTGAATAACTGTTGCAGCTTTAAAAGCTCCTTGGATGATCCTGTTCCTATTCCTCCCTTCAATTTTCTTTCGTCTCTATTTATCATTTTTACTGATATTATGTGGATGATGTAGATGGCGTGAAAGAGGTTGATTCATAGATCGATCTCTGTACTTTCAACTAAAGTTCCCTTAATAGACTCACATCTTCTACAACCAACTGCCTGCTGTTTTTGAGCCCTGAGCCTCAGGAGCTTGGTGGAGACAGCTCAAATTATCCACTGTAGTCTTCTCATATGTCCTGCAGAGCTTCATCCTCTTTTCTCCATGAATCACCCACCTTGCAAAAGCTTTCTGTGATACTCATACTTGTTAAAAATTTTAGTCACTGATCTCTCTCCCATTTTAATTGTTCTTTCTTTTCTTCTCTTCCTTCTTTCTCCTTCCTTCCTTTCTTCCTTTCTTTCTTTTCTTTCTGTTTCTTTCTTTCTTCTTTCTTTCTCTTTCTTTCTTTCTTTCTTTCTTTCTTTCTTTCTTTGTTTCTTTCTTTCTTTCTTCCTTTCTTTCTTTCTTTCTTCTTTCTTTCTTCTCATCATCCTCTTCATGCTCATCCTTCTTGTCCTCTTCTTTTTTCTTTTTTTTTTATTCTCCGTTAATGACACCTTGGAAAATTATTGGGAGTGAAAATGAATAAATCCAAATGACCAACTTTTAATGCTTGAACCAAAGCCAATTTATTCTAAAAAGCTTTACCCTATAATTTATTATATCTTTACTTTTAATAAAGTTATACAAAGGTAGTAATTATGGACTTGTTTAGAAAAACTATACTGAGCCAAAAATGCTGGACTTCTTACATATTGGACAATGTGGTAAACTATTTTTGTAAATGACTATAAAAAATATGGGATTCTCTCGGACTTCTTTCCTGTATTATCTTCCTTTTCTTCACTTTCTGAAGTTTCTGCCATACCATTTCTTCCTTGCTATTGTTTTTACTCAACTATACAAATTAGGCATTGCTCTCCTACTTATTTTGCAGATTCTACACATGAGATTTTACATTTCTTTTTCGG
Source organism: Homo sapiens (assembly GCF_000001405.40). Lineage (NCBI taxonomy): Eukaryota > Metazoa > Chordata > Mammalia > Primates > Hominidae > Homo > Homo sapiens. The sequence continues at coordinate 191,543,140 of NC_000001.11, read as the reverse complement.
AGTGGTGTACATATATAATTTTAAGATTCAAATGCATTTTCTCTCTTCAAGATGACCAACATATAGTCTATTTACTGTGTTCGAGGTACAATGTGACAGATGTATTTAATGTGCAAAAAGATTACTGAATATGGAAGGAGAGACATGGGATATCAGTTTAATCTACCATTTGGGCAAGTTATTAAAACCCTGATACTCACATCAATGACTTGTAAAATTGGGCTTAATATGTATTCTTATTGGCTACTATATAAAGTAGCTTTAGAAATTTTAAAACTGCATCAAATCTACAATGTTAACACCTGTAATAATTTTAGGGGAATATTATTTTTACTCAAAGAATGAATTTTTCACCTTGTGCTATAATGTCTAAAAAGATTCATTTGACAATCTTTCCTTTTGCTAGGAATCTATTATTTAAATTTGAAGGCACTTCCTATAAGAGTGCTTGAGTAATTTAAATGAGTTACTTTCATATACTGTGACAGGTCTGTAAATTGTTATATTGATCTGCAAAAGTTCTATGTATTCTACAAGCCATTAGATCAGACAGTGCATAAATATAAATCTTGAGAGTATTTTAAAGAGAAACACAAAAAGCCTTTTTTATATGTTTACTTCTATAGCCAGGATTGTTTAGTTGATTAATTAGGTCTTCAATATATGGACTTATTTTATTTATATACTCCAATTTTGAAATAGTATGTTCAATGGATATCTTCTCTTATGCAGATCAAATCATGTAGATAAAGCAGTGGTAAAGGGGGAAGAGCAACAATATTTCAGCTGAATGATTTTCAATTAATCAGCCCAGGAGGAGATGATATGAATTGGAAATTCAGAGGTTCAAAGAATATCTGATGAGTTTTGACAGGAGGCCCATTATCTACTAAATATTTTTAGCATCTAACTCAGATATTATGAAAGCAAATACTTATCACCTACATCAAATAACATGATCTTTTAATAACAAATAGAGTTGATTTTTATAATACTTTAACACTTCATAATTTTTTTCTATGTAATTTATTATATAGGTGACAGTGCAACTTTGAGGTTGTTAGGCATTATTGATATTAACTTCAAGTTCAATAGCATTATTGGTCCAGCAGTACTTTTACTTGACCTATGTCTTATTAAATGTAATGGCATCTGCTACTACCCATCACTTACATTTTTAATTGCACTCTTGGCAGCAGGCCAAGTGAGCTCAAACATCCCCTAGAACCCAATGCATCAACCAAACTACAAAATAACATTGTATGTGACACATGGTAAGATGTCTTTCAATCATCCTATAATTTTTAAAAAGATACGTGCCCTGAAGTCAGCATTATAAGGTCTAAATATGTTTTAATCCTCAAATGAATAGAAGGCCTTGATGAATACCTAAAAGTGGCAAGAAATTGTTGGAAATGAAGTTTTGATCCCTAAGTACTCTCTCTCCAACAATGGACCCAAAAAAGATCTGTTGAAGATTAGTTTGCTTTTCATTGTGCTTTTTAAGAAACACATATATGCATACACTTACAGATAATTTCATTGTTCCTAAAAGGATTGGCATACAAAGTCAATCAAAGATGAGTGGGGTAAAGTGTTCTCAGTTGAGGTAAGCCTCAGCTTCCCTGACTCATAGGCAGGAGAACAGAAGCTTGGCTTAGCTTAGCAGAAGTGTATTCCATAAAAAACTGTATCACCCTCTACCTTCTGAGGATGTCAGCTACACAGAAAAAAAGCAGTGAATATTTTGACTTTTTATGAAACAACTTTATATAGCTGTGATTCTTATTCCTCATCAACAGTGTGCCTGATTGTTTCACTCTTAATTCTGTCGATTGATATAACTTGTTTCAAGTCCAATCCAACACTTACATAATAATAATCAAATGCCATGAATTTAGGTTTTACTTACTTTTATCCACAGTCTAGTAACTATCTTACAGAGTCTCATTCACTCGATTGCATATCAAACAAAGGATAACAAACAAAGTCTTAGATTATCTGGGTATTTCAGTCTATTCAAGTAAGAATTTCACTATATAATGAGATAAAATTGTTATAAAATGATAACTGGAAAGGTCCATAATCACTGCATCTAGACTAATTTCTTTAAAAAAATTATAAAAAGAGCCTTTGGATTCAAGAGTCCAAGTTTGGTTCCAGCTCCACCATTCTTAATAATGTGTCCTTGGATAAATAGCAATCATTTTAAGCTGCATCTTCTTTATCTAAGAAAATTGAGTGGGGTGGGGCAGTTGGACAAATAGATAATGACAGTTATCCAGTATTATAGTAAAATACAGAGTATTTTCACCACCCTACCACCCTAGGAATCTTCTGTGTTCCTCTTATTTGTCCAAACCCATGGAATACACAACACTATGAATGAACCCTAATATAGACCATCGACTTCAATGATAATGATGTGTCGATGTGGGTTCATCAATAGTAGCAAAGATAACAATCTGGTGGGGGATGTTGATAATGGGAGAGGCTGTGGATATAGCGGGGCAGGGTATATACTGGAAATCTCTGTACCTTCTTCTGAATTTTACTGTGAAGTTAAAACTTCTCTAAAAAATAAAGTCTTTTTTTAAAAGGATGCCATATAATAATATTATTAAAATGGTTGTTATGATCATCTATTTAGTGCATTTTCATACTGTCCAGCACATAATAAATGTCCCATAAACATTTGCTTTCATTTCACCATGTCCTCTCTTGAAACCTTAAGCAGGGGCTGGGCACAGTGGCTCACACCTGTAATCCCAGCACTTTGGGAGGCTGAGGCAGGTGGATCCTGAGATCAAGAGATCGAGACCATTCTGGCCAACATGGTGAAACCCCATCTCTACTAAAAATACAAAAAAATTAGCTGAGCGTGGTGGAGCGTGCCTGTAGTCCCAGCTACTCAGGAGGCTGAGGCAGGAGAATCACTTGAACCCAGAAAGTGGAGGTTGCAGTGAGCCGAGATCATGCCACTGTACTCCAGCCTGGGAGACAGAGTGTTACTGTGTTTCAAAAACAAACAAACAAACAACCTTAAGCAAAATATCTATTCCATGTGATAGGACATGTATATGAAAACAATCACACAGTGCAGTTGTATAGTCCTAAATCCTCAGTAATCAGGGACTACTTTACAGGAAATAATTGCATCCTACATGCAAGGTTTTTATATATAAGATAAACTATTCATCAGCATTTTGGCACAAGAAACACATTCCTCTAAAAAAATGGATGCTGACCATGAACTTAGTGATGAATACTTTTAGAATGGTAGGTAAAAATGCCTTCACTCATAATTGCCTTTGATACTTGAATCTTTAGGAGATTGTAAACTAAATGGAAAAGAATAGAACATACATTTTTGAATATTAAAAAGACATGCATATGTAGTTATTATTGACTTGACAATTGAAAAACTGGGTATTGGAGAGATCAGCTTAAACAAACAAACAAAAGTTTTCTGTAAATCACCAAAAAGTACTTCTTACTATTTATACATATCTTCCATGACAGCATAGCTACATTAATTTGTAATGTCATGGAATCATTATTCTAATCCTAAAAACTGGCACTAGTTCTAGTGTGCCCTTTAGAATCTACATAATTAGGACTTAACAGTGCTTATTATATATGAAATATGCAATGCTATTTGTAATTTTTTAACCATAATACACTGGAAATACGTATTTCAAGGCAATTTTGGCCTACCTTAGGCTATTGTGAAATAAACTTTCCAAAAAACAGCCCATGACACAAGACTCAGAAGGTGTTAATAGGAGACAATTCAAATTTTCCAAGAATCTCACAAGATTATCACTTTTCTCTCTTTGCTACCCAAATGATTTATTTATTTGTCATACACTGAGAACTGAAGTTAATCCTACTGTTCTTGGTAATTTTTTCATGAGATCCTTGAAGATATAAATTTAAAATACAAACTCATCGAATTAAGCTGGTAGCAGGTATATTCCACTTTATGGTCATCAGATGTGTTCAAGGAAGTTTTTCTGGTGCTCAAAGGAGATAGAAGACACTAAGCTTATTCCTTGGATTCATTTTGACTTCACTTTAAAGACAACTGAAATATTTTCTCATTGTTTCCAAGGGGATAAACTAGGGTCTACTTTGGACAACAAGGCGATTTATTTAAGTTCCCTGCATATATAAATTCTATATATATATAGAGAGAGTATATTATATGTATGCAGGCATTATACATTTGTATAGGTATTATAGGTACAAATTCAACTATAGTAAGAGTCGGTTTCTGATTATACTCTAAGAAAATGTTTTTAAGGAGGAGAAGAATATCACAGATGGCTTTGTTATATTTTGTATGTAAAAGTAATATAAAGCTTTTATAAGTGCACAAAATGGAATTTTGAAAGAAACTGGACACAGAAAAATTAAGTGGAAGCTTTATTAAAACCTAAAATCATGAAAATCTCTAAGCTCTTATTTCTATGCTCATTCTTCAGATTTATATCACCTTCTCTGTATCAAAAACTGCTATTATAAAATTAGTTTATTTTTATTCTATTTTTTATTGTAGAGTACTAGTTAAATATACAAATACATATATATATATATATGATGATAATATTAGGGTAATGTGCTTTTTACCATTTTATTTTCTAAAAAGGAAGAAAAAGATAATAAAGTTAAGTCTGAAACAGTACAGATTATAAGGTATTAGCATAGTGTTTTCCTGCCCCAGATACACACACACACACACTCACACACACACATGCACACACGCATCACTTCAACATCAAGGAGAAAACTTCTTATGGGCAGAGAAGCTTGAGTCTGTTTTCCAAACCCCAAATTCAAGTGCCTACAGCATCACATGCTAAGAGCCAGGTGGCACTGGCATGGTGAGAGGGGCTTGCGCCAGAGGAGAAGACCTCTGGAATTATGAAACTCAGGGTTCATAGAGAATGTGCAGGCACATATATCCATCCTTGCCTCTGAAAATGAATAGCCGTTGTCTTTTACTCTGAAATGTGAACATATTTTCTCTTGGGGTGGGGGAAAGGGCTCTAACTTGGAATGTAGGCAGTGGGCACTGGGTAAGATAAAATATTTATCTAAACTATATTGTCATTAGAATAGAAGCAACTGGCTCTGGGGAAATTCATCATCTCTAACTCCCAAGCCTAGTTAGTACTTTGTTATCCTTGAGGTCCAGGAGGTCTTTGTTCATAAAGCCGTAAGCATGGAGAAACGTAAAATTACTCATGGAGCATCATCTTCTTAAAAAAGTTTCTATGAGGAGGTCATATTAGTGCAATGAATTATAAACATATTGACATTGCATTTACATTATGAAATAATAAAGTGTAATATAAACATAGAAAATAATAAATATTTCAGAAACACAGAATCTGTAATTAAAACAAAATGAAATATATGTCAACAATACACTTCAATCATTTCCAGTCCATATGATTGGCAATAGATACATATTCCCAGTTACATCTTATTCATATTCAAAGAAAAGTACAAATACAAAAATTTGGAAAATAGGCAAAAGTTATGAAGGTGAATCTCAGAATAAGAAACATAAATGTCCTTTAAAAAATAAGACATAAGCAAAATTACTAGTAGGCTGAAAATGAAAATTAAAACAAAATTCAAACACTTCACTATTACAACACAAAACAAAAATTTAAACTATTGATAATATTCAATGTGAATAAATATGAAAGGGAAAATGCACTCTCATACATTGTCACAGGGGATGGAATTTGTTACAACTTTTAGGAATACATCAATTACTATCTATTACATTTTGAATAGCTCAATCCACCAACATTTTTATCATTGTTACAGGACCAACATGTTCCTATGCCTGTTGTGCAGTAACATACCAATATACTTAGACAGCAGGATTTGCAACAGAGAAAGAGTTTAATGATTTCAGGGCAACTGAGCAAAGAGATAGGAGGAGACTCTCAAAGCCATCTCCCTGAGGAATTATGGGCTGGGGCTTTTAAGGGGATCATGGAGGGCAAGGAGCTGTAAAATTGGGGTTGTTGATTGGTTAGGGGAAAGGACATAAAGTCATCAGGATATGGAAATTATGTTCTTTGGTGAATCAGCTTCCCTGGGGTGTCATTCAGATCAGCTGACATCAGTAGTTTCATTGGTATGCAGGAGCTGAAAGAATATCTCAAAGGGAAAACTTAAGATTTTACAATGTTTAAGTTGTTATCTTTAAAGCAGTTAAGGGGAACGATAGTCTTGTGATAAGGTCTCTGTGAGTCTGAGGCAATAGGCAGTGGACCGCTCTGAGGAAGCAGGTTGGAGAGCAAGCTGCCTAATGATTAATGCTGAACATGCTGCAAGCATGATTTCTTTTTGTTTCTCCTCTTCCTTCTTCCCTGATTAGTTTTATAAAATTTATAGGAATAGTTTCATCACCTGTAGAAAATATTACAAATTTGTATACCTTGTTACAGAAGTTGTTTAGAGTGGCTGTCAAAGGCTGCATTTCTCTCTTTCCTAGTTAGTAGAGGTGTTTCTGTGACTGAGGCCTAGCCATGAAAGGAAGTGCTACTTCAAGCCTAATATGTGAATATCTCCTACAAGTGATTCTCCATGCTCTGTCACCTCTGGCTAACCTATAATAGAGAATATTCTCAGAAAGATTTTGGAAAACATATGTAGAAGATAGCAGAGCTTTTGTAACTCTGGGCTCTGAATGAGTACATAGAGGAGGCTGCCCTCTGTTTTGTTCACCCACCTGGTATCATTAGATAAGTGAGATATTAACTATGATTGAGTTAAGCCACTAACACACAGTTTGTTTCTTATAGCAATTAGCTTTGCCCTAATTCAATCCCAAAAGGTGAAGAAAGAAAGAAAACAAAGTACAGAGCATACATCAAAAAAGATACAATTAACAATTTAGGCAGTGTCAAAACTCTGGACACAAAATTATATTCTCCAGTAAATTATGTAATATCAATGTCTTATAAAAGGTCATTAAACATAATTAGATCAAAGATCTGGAAAATAGACATACTGTATTTCTAATTAAAAAAGACAACATGTGTGTATAGAGGTTGGTTTATGAACCACCACACTCTTGAAACCATCATCTCATCGAGAAAATAAACATCTTCATCAACTCTAAAAGTTTCCTTTTGATGTTTGAAATTCCTGACTCCCAACCCTTTCTGTCCCAGGCAAAAATGACCTAATTTCTGTCACTATAGATTAGTTTTCATTTTAAAAAAATGTACATAATGGAAATACACAGTATTTAGTTGGGTTTTTGAGAGAAAGGAGAGGTGGAAACCTCGCTTCTTTCACTCAGCATTTTCTTTTGTGATCCATCCAGGTTGTAATATATATCACTTGTTCATTACTTTATTATTACATTTTATTATGAAATTATACCACAATTTGTTTATGCTTTCACTTGTTGATGGATATTGGTGTTGTTTCTAGGTCTCAACGATTACAAGTGTAACTAGTAGTAAGTCTATTTACAGCTCTTTGAATAGGCATTTGCTTTTATATCTCTTTTACAAACATCTAGTGGGAGAGTGTCTGGGTTTTATGGTAGAAGTATATTTACCTTTTTAAGAAATGGCCAAACTCCTTTATTCCAAAGTCGTTTTACCACTTTACATTCACGTCTTATGTCTGCCTTCTCTTGCTATCTCCCTTAGTGATTTGATAACTTATTATAATGGTATACTTTGATTACTTCCTCTTTATCTCTTCTGTATCTACCACAGGTTTTGTCTTTCTGGTTACTATGGGGTTTACATGAAACATTTTATAATTATAACAGTCTATTTTAATCTGATAAAAACTTAAATTCACCTGCAAAAACTTTCAGTTCAACTTCTCCTTCCCCCACATTTTATGCTATTTTACATCTTTTAAATATTGTGTGTGCATTAAGAAATCATTATAGCTACAGTCATTTTTATTTTATTTACCTTTTAAATTTTTATTTTATTTAAATAATTTTTATTAATACTATTTTTAAGTAAATGATTGTATATACTTATGGGGTACAATGTGATGGTTCAACATATGTATGCAATGTACAATGATTAAATCAAGCCAATTAACATATCCATTACCTCACTTACCTATCATTTTTTTTCTGGTAAGACATTTGAAAGTTAGTCTTAGTTATTTTGAAATATATACTACATCATCATTGCCTGTAATCAGCCTGCCTTGCAATAGATCTCAGAACATTCCTCCTATCCAACTGAAACTTTTTACCCTTTGGCAACAAGCTATAACTACTGCGAATACTTTTGTTTTTTTAACTTTTATACTTGAGGTTAAAGTGATTTATACTCCACCACTACAATATTAGAGTATTATAAATATGACTATATTCTTACCTTTACAGTGAGTTTTATACTTTCATATGTTTTCAGATTGTCACTTAGCTTTTCATCATTTCACGTTCAAGAACTCCCTTTAGCATTTCATATAAGGTAGATCTAGTTGGGCTGAACTTCCGCACCATTTTTTTTTTCTTTTTTTTTTTGTGGAAGGGGTCTGGGAAAGTCTCTGTCTCTCTTTCATTTCTGATGGACAGCTTTTCTAAGTACAGTGTTCTTAATTGGCAGCCTTTTTTTCCCCCAGCATTTGAAATAATATTATCCTGTTCTCTCCTGGCCTGGAAGGTTTCTTCTGAAAAAAAATTCACTGATAATCTTTTGGAAATTCCATTGTTTCTGATGAGTTGCTTTTCCTTTGCTGCTTTCAAAATTCTTTTTACCTTTGAGATTTTAGAATTTGGTTATGAAGTGTCTCAGTGAAGGTCTCTTTATATTTAAATTAGTTGGTTTTCTTTGGGCTTTATTGAACTGAATGTTCGTTTTCTCCTGTAGATTTTTTTGTCATTATTTCCTTAAATAAGCTTCCTGCCCTTTTTTTCTTTCTGTGTTCTTTCTCATACTCCCATATATTTATGCACTTGGTGATGTCCCATAAACTATGTAGTCTTTCCTTCACACATTTTCATTCTTTTTTCTTTCTGATCCTCGGAATGGGTAACTTCAAATGGGAAGTATTCAAGTTCAATGATTCTTTCTTTACTTAACTGAGTCTGCTGTTGAAGCTTTTTATGGATTTTTTCCAATTTTGTCATTGTGCTCTCAGCTCTAGAATTTCTTCTTTATGGTTTCTATTGCTGAACTTCTGAAATTTTTCATGTATTGTTTTACTGATATTGTTTAGTTTTCTGTGTTCTCTTGTAGCCCAATGAGCTTCTTTAAAAACATTACTTGAATTATTAGTAGATAGTTTATAGATATTTATTTCTTTACGGTTGGTTAATGGTGCTTAATTTTGTTCTTTTGACATTGACGTTTTCCTGATTAGTAATCCTTGTGATCTTGTGTTGTTATCTGCACACTAGAAGAATCAGTCACCCTGTCCAGTATTTACAGATTGGCTTCAGTGGAAGCAGATTTGGGCCTGTCTATGCTGGGGCAGACCTTGGTTCTGGGTTAGCAGGGGTATGGCTGAATCCTGGGTCTGTGTGGGTTGGGTTGGCGGTGAGGTGGGTCTGGAACATATGTCTACTGGGTCCAGCCAGAAACCCGAGTCTGCAGGGCTCATCTTGGAGTCTTGGTATGCAGAGGCTAGGCTGAAGCCTGAGACTGCTGGTGCCAGCCTGGCCCTGGAGTCCATTGGTGTGGTCCTGGGATCTGTGTTCGTGGAGGCAGTTCTGGAGCCTGGGGCTATGGGACTGACCTGATGCTGAGGTGGTCCTGGAACCTGGGTCATTGGGTGCTGACCTGGCAATAGGGACTGCTGTGGGGAGGCTGGTAATGGGGTCCGTTATAAGGTTGAGCGTTCATTTTACTCTCCTTTTCCATTTGAATGGTCTCTTTCTCCACAATATCCTGTGTAAGATTGGGGAAGGAATAATATGGATAATGTGAAACTACCCTCTTGGATGCACCTTTTCTTATCTCTGTGCCAGACCCAGGTGCTGTAATCTCTCATCTGAATTCTTTAAATTGTGTGAAAGTATTTTTACATATGGATAGTTGTTCAAATTTATGCTTCAGTGAGGTGACGAGCAACTCCTATTCTGCCAGTCTTGCTAACATCACTCCACCTGATATTGATAAGAATCCATTGATCATACATGTGGAGATCAACTTAGACCGTCTCTATTCTCTTCTGTTGATTTCTTTATATACTTTGACACCAATACCAAACTGTCTTGGTTACCATGTACTATAAGTCCTCCAACGTAATTCTTCTTTTCAAAGATTTTTTTTTCTAAGTTCTTTCAATTTTCATATACATTTTAAAATAAGCTTGTCAACTTCTATAAAGAAGCACGCTTATATGTTGATTGGAATCATGATAAGTTTATAGAATGATTTTTGAAAAACTGACAGAAATATTTAGTCACCTAATCTATACCTCCCTATTTATTTAGGTACTTTCAAACTTGTATCAGCCATGTTTTACAGTTTATGCAAATCTTGTACATCTTTTTTCATATTTTTCCCTAAGTATTTCATACTTTCAGTATAGTGAAAAACAGTATTTTAAAACTAGCCACAAATTCTTTTCATAAGAATGTAACTAATGCCAGAAAATCTGAGGTGGAACAGTTTCATCCTAAAAGCATGCCCCCACTCCCTCTGAAAAAAGTCCCTTGTGCCAGAAAGGTTGGGGACCACTGCTATAGTTGATTCCTCAATGACAGCTGATGAATTACGTCTATATATTACTGGATTGTATCACGGAAAGAATGCAACTGTTCAGTTGTCACTGCATTTAAAGAGTGTAAAATATCAAAGCTAATTTAAGATTACGTATGTCTGGATGTTGAATCATAATATGTTAGGTGAAAGCTACTTCAATATTTCATATCTCATATCTGGATTACTTCTCGTGAAGTGTTATTAGCTATCAACAACAGGCAGAGGAGAATGCATTAACTGGTAACCAAGAGTCTTAACAATATTCACGATGTTACATTAAGAGAGCATATTAAAAACAGTGCTTTTTAATTCTTAAAATGCAAAGAAATCACCTGAAAATCTTGTTAAAATTCAGATTCCAATTAAGTAAGATTCTACTTGATTATGATGGTTCTGGTCTATAAATCCAGCTTTGAAAGGCAAGGGCTTAGGTGTCATTCTAAGCATAATAACTCTTACAAGGTTAAGAGTTATATAATTCTCCAAAAGATGCTTTAGTAGTTAGTGACTATATTTAAAAACGTACTTGCAAACCAAAAAATATAAATACCAGAATTTCTGGTGTCTGAGTAACCTGAGCTTCCAGAGACCATGATAGAAGATATGCAGCATATTTTAACATGTTTTGCAATGTCTGATGATGTGTTCTGTCATTTCTAGATAAGTGCAAAATATTATATCCAAATAATAATCTCTCATAAGTCCTGTAGAATAATTTCTAAGTTAATTTTCTAAGTGATATCCTATTTCCTAAAGGATACTGTTTGCTCTAAAGTTCTATTAAGTCGGAGTTATATTATTTTCTCCCACACCAAATTTTCTACAAGAGTTGGAGGTGAAGCTGATGTTCTCTTTGATAATCACTAGTTGCTCAACAATATTGTTATTCCCTTTGCCTTGTAAAAATAACTCTTTAAAAAGAAGACGATCTCATAGTACCTTGGCTACTTTTACTAACCACAGTTGTCTATAGTCAGTTTTCTATTTCTTATTATTAGATCTTATGATTTGGCTCAAAGTATATGTGTGTGTGAGTGTGTGTGCATGTGCATGAATGTGTGTATACATGTGGCATGTTTCCTTCCTCATCTGCATTGAACTGCTCAGACTTCCAGTTTCTTGAACTCCTCTTCCCTAATGATTCATTTACTCATCCCAGCAACCTACTTTAGTGTCATACTCTAAGCCTTATGACTGCTGATAACTATACTTTATCCCAGATCTTATTTTCAATTCTTGCTCTCTCTGACTACTATCTTCCATGTTCCCAGCCCACTTCTTTTAATACTGTCACCTCAGCAAATTTTCCCCATCAGGATATCCAGACACTTGATCTTATAATTTTGTCACTGTCCATTATCCATTATGAAATCAAGTTCTCATTTCTTTATTATACAGCTTAGGTTTTCTGATTAACCCTTAATCAGTACCCTGCATTAAATCCTCAGCTCTATTGCCACCCTCCCTTTTTTTATATCACACTTGGCTGGAAAAACTCTTATCTCTAGTTTAATTCCAACTGTCCATCAGCTATGTACCTGTAAACATGGCTGAAGGAAACTCTCTTGAAATATATGACTCCAAACTCAAATAATTGTCCAGAACTCCCTGGTATCTGTGTTTTTATAGTTGAGTAACTTTCTCACTCTCCTTGATGACTATTTCAAAACTTCTCACTTCTCAAATCTCTGAAGTGCTTCTCCTTTTCTTTTTTAAGGCTGAATTGTTTGGCTACTCATTTGATGAGATATTTAAAGAAATCTCAAATAAAATTATTTTCTTTTACTGATAGATAATAACAACCCTCTACAACTGTAGCCATACATTCTATCTTCACTTCTACTACAATCAGGAATTTGTACTGGCTCTTAACTAAAGACCCCTTTTGCCTTTGTGCACTTCCTTGCATTACCTCATGCATCTCTAAGTTTGCCACTACACTTGCCTGGATTCAAATGTGCCATGTGAAAAATAGTATTGTGCCGTTTGAAATGTCCAGGATAATTTCTACCTTCTTGACCTCTCCTTGGAACTCCAGGTTCTTATATTCAAAACAAATTGATATTAGTAGTAGATGCTTAATAGACATCACAACATGACACTAATTCTTGATTTTTCTCCGCCAAACCACTTGTTTCTCATTATGCCAGTATCAGTAAGTGACATTACTACTCACTTGATTGCTCAGATAAAACACTGAGGAGTTATATACGAGTTAAATCTGCATTTCACATTATGTATCCTGATACTTAGTAAATCTATTTGCTTTTCCTTCAGTGCATTTTCTTCTTGCCACCACCAGTGCTACCATCTAAGTTTACTTGTCTCTTCCCTGTACCATGATAGTGACTTCTTAACTTGTCTTTTCAGTGTTTTTTGTTTAGAGCCTATCCCTACAAAAAGCCTGGCTCAATTTTTTAAATATAAAAATACAATTTTTCTTAAACTTAGAAAATAAAGTATAAAGAACAAAATATAAATATAAACACAAATGGTTACATTAGTGCTGCAGAACCCACTAATGACTTTCTATATTATATAGCTCCAAATCCAATGCCATTATGGTGACTTAAAGATGATTTGGTGGCTATCAAGAAGGAGCAATCCTAACATTTCATAATGTATTTGGAGACATGTAGGGGCATTCGTTTGCAGTGTGAGGTCCTCTGCTATCATTTAGTGAGCAGAATTTGAGATAATGAGTATACCATAATGTATAGGATGAGGTGTCCCAAAATGGAAACATCCTATCTCCAATGCTAACTGCATCCCCAAAATGTGGCCTTGGCTTCCTAATCATCCTTGATTCTCCTGACTTACTGTACTCTAATTATAGTGACATTGGTATTCATCTAGCATGACAAACTAATTTCTACTGAAGATCATTTATACTTGTTACTCACTTGATCTGGTACAACATTACAAATGTACCCAGTTTGCACTTTTTATTTTCTCATATTCTGCTCAAATTACATCTCCTTAGATAGGAATTGCTTTGCCACACATGTTTAAAATAGTCATTAGCATTACTCTCAATTCCCTTACCTTACTTTATTTTTCATCATACAATTATTCCCATGTAACATTTTATATATTTGCTTTTAAATTTATTTGTTGCCTGACTTTCCCATTAGGATGGAAACTGCATGATATAAACAAATTTGCATTTTTAAATCATTTTTAATAAAAAATAACAACAATGACTAGATTATAATATAAACTTGATACTCATTTATTGAATAAAATAAAATAATTTACAGAGTAGATTTGTTAAATAAAAATATTTATATGAATATTGGGAATGTAAATAGTGATTATCTGGGCATTTAAAATTATAACTCTAGATCTAATAAGTAGGTGCCCATGAATAGGTTCCACTGAGTACAAGAGATGGGGGAATGGTTGGTTGATGGAGCAGTCAGAACACATATATTTATTAAATTTGCTGTCCTACATGAGTGTGGCTTTTGGTACCCAAAAACAATTACATTAGTAATATCAAAGATTACTGATCACACATCACTATAACAAATATAATAAGAAAAATATCTGAAATATTACAATAATTACCAAAATGTGATACAGAGACACGGAGTGAATACATGCTGTTGGAGAAATGGCACCAATACACTTACTTGGCACAGGGCTGCCACAAACCTTCAATTTGTGAAAAATACAAATCTTCAAAGCACAATAAAGCAAGATATGTCTGTTTTAGGGTAACTTAGAGAGTGTTGCAGATATCCTCACAGTGGGCTGCAGACAAAGGGACGTTCTACCTACATATGTTCCCAAAAGGGGGTCATAGTATGGAGTTTATATGAGAGTTTAAATAATTTGGCTCAAGGTCAGTTTCTTTTGGTGTTTTGGGCAGTAACCTGGATACCTTTCTCAGTGCCTGGGTATGTTTAAGGCTTTGGCTTGGGTTCAATCCCATGAGAAAAATGCAGCTGAGCCGGTTTACAAGGCCGTTAGGACACTCCTTGTTTCATCTTCAGGGCGTAGAAAGAAAGCAGGGGAAACTGGTGGACCACACGGTATGGGTGTCTGCACATGTGTCTAGATGTTTGTGTGTTTCTTCAATCATAAGTCATTCAGTAGATCCAAGGCAGGTACTTCCCTCCCTGAACATTGTTTCTCCCGCCACCTCATGACTAATTTAGTAAAACTGAATATCATTGTAAAGCAAAGACTAATAAAAATGCAAAGTAATGTTTCAAGGTTATTTAAAACATATGCACATCTAATCCCTTAAATATAATTGAGGCCAATAAACTCCTGAGAGACAGAGAGTGAGAGAGAAAGAAGGAAAGAAATACAAACCTTGCACACATCTTTTTTTTCTGGCTAATATAAAATGATTTCAAAGAAATCTATAATTCCGGAGACTCAGAAACAAGAGAATCAAGCATTAATCTTTTATTAATGATCTTTTATTAAAATATCAATTTTCACTATTAAGATGCTGTTTATTTTCATACAAAACAACAGATTAAATAAGTGAAAATTGATATCATTTTTAAGAATCTAATTATTTGTGATCATAATATGCAAAACAAACATGGCTTTATGACAAAACCTTAGGTTTTTCCAACTATGACAAAACACTAGGTTTTCCTAACACATTGCCCAGTGAAACCACACACTTTTCTGTAATGAAAAATAAAACACACCAAAACCTTTAGTTGTGTTATCAGGAGAATGCATCAGCTAGCTACTATTTTGACTGAAGATAAATTATGGTTGCTAGTGCATCATATTTGTATGATAAAATAAGCAATGTATTTCATACTTTTAAGGGAAACATTTCTAAATGTCAGCTAAAGTACTGTGAATGCATTTTCTTTTCTAAACTTCTGAATGTCTTTGTCTTAAAACCGGATTTTCTATTAAGTTTAACAATAATTTATGGCATACTCCTACCTAATTAGCTTAGAATTTGATTTTCTCCACTGAAATGACAGGAACCAAACTATTAATTATGGGCTTAGACCCAAACTGATAGGAACATCAATAATTTTACTGCAATTTTCTCAGTAAATTTCAAATAATAAAACCTTATGCATGCATTATGGATGTGGAACAAGTTTTATGTCCATTAACATGGAGACAATACATTGATTGCTTGCTGTGACATTATGAAAATGAACTGATGAGATAGCTCCAGGGGAAAAATATTCAACTAAAGGGGGCATTCCACTGCATTAATTCATCCTTTCCAAAATTAGGATATATAATGTTGAGCCAAATTATACATATTTAAATAATATATTTATTTTGATTTGAAAACCCCAATATACACAAATATTGAAAATTCAGCAATAAATGTTAACACTCCTCTATCCATTTTATTAACTGTAGATTATAGCCAGTAAGAATTACATTCATTTGTTCAAAAATATTCATTATGAGACTAAGTGCCACTCTTCTTTGATTGAGGAAGGGGAAATCTGCTAAAAGCCTATTATTGATTAAGTGAGAGAAAGAATCTAGATCACCAGTGTCAGGTTTTGCTTATGAGATTAAAAAAATGTGCTAGTTATATGTAATATTTGGAGAGAAGGCAGAGTCCATAGGTGTGTATGAAAGTAAGCACACAGATTTGCTCGTGCTAGCTTTGGAGTGCTCTTATATGAGGGTTTCTACTTTCCTTATAAATTGAGAAAAATGTTATCATTTGATAGTATACTAATCAAGTCAGGCATGAAGTTAGTGGTTTTAAATTTAACACCCATCAAAAGTTATGTGTTTTTGCCCAGCAAATACATCTGCATTGATGCAGGAATACAATAGGTGGAAAGTTTTTTTTTGGTAAGATTTGGGATCTTTCCAGACAGATATCAAGAAGAGAGAATAGCAAGAGGGTTCATTGTACCAGCAAGAGTATGATTAGAAAGATAAACCCTGGGATCAAATTTGAGTGTGGTGAGATATGAAGATATGAGGGTGGTGGGTAATGATGGATGGGTGGTAAAATGCATGAGATATTTTTGGAGGATTGCACAAATGATTGCTGAAGTGGTAGCTATAATGGGGGAGTGGGCTGGAGAAGCAAGAGTGGAACACTTCCCACTGAGATTGTAGAAGAGATGCAAATAAGAGCTATAAATATATTATTTAGTATGTTTTAAGATCAATTCAGTGGGTCATGGCTAGCATTTTAAAATATAATGGAACAGAATATTGTTGAATAGAATATTTAGTACATTGCAAATTTAAGAACAAGTGTTTTTGTTTGTTTTCATAAAGACTTTTTTACAGCAATTTTATTATTTATTTATTTATTTATTTATTTATTTATTTATTTATTTTGAGATGGAGACTCGCTCTGTCACCCAGGCTGGGGTGCAGTGGAACGATCTCGGCTCATTGCAACCTCCGCCTCCCAGGTTCAAGCGGTTCTCCTGCCTCAGCCTCTTGAGTAGCTGGGATTACAGGCACATGCCACCACTCCTGGCTAATATTTTGATATTTTAATAGAGATGAGGTTTCACCATGTTGGCCAGGCTGATCTCAAACTCTTGATCTCAAGTGATCCGCCCGCCTCGGCATCCCAAAGTGCTGGGATTACAGGCATGAGCCAATGCGCCCGGCCATTTTTTTTTTTTTTTACAGCAATTTCAGATACACATTAAACTTAAGAGGAAAGTGCAGAGGTTTCCCATATACCCTCTACCCCTACACATGTAAAGCTTCCCCCATTACCAACAATTCCTACCAGAATACTATATTTGTGACAATTGATGAACCTACATTGATGCATCATAATCACTCCAAGCCAATAGTTTACATTAGGGTTCACTCTTCGTGTTGTGCATTCTATAGTTTCGGGAAAATGTGTAACAAAATGTATCCTACATTAAAGCACCATAGAGAATACCATCACAGCCTTACCAGTCCTCCGTGTTCTGCCTATTTATTCCTCCCTTCCTCCCAACCCCTAGCAACCACTGATCTTTTTACTGTCTTTATAACTTTGTATTTTTCAGTATGGGACATAGTTGAAGTCATAAAGCACATAGCCTTTTCAGATTGCCTTCTTTCCCTTAGTAATATGAATTTATTATTTCTCCATTTTTTACATGTCTTGATAGGCTCATTTCTTTTAGTACTGAATAATATTTTATTATCTGGATATACCAGTTTATTTATCCATTCACCTATTAAGGAAATCTTGGTTGCTTCCAAGTTGTGTTAATTATGAATAAAGCTGCCTCAAACATCCCTCTGCAGGCTTTTGTGTATACCTAAATTTTTTCTTTCTTTTCTTTTCTCCTCTTCTCTTCTCTTCTCTTTTCTTTCAGACAGTTTCACTCTGTTGTCCAGCCTGGAGGGCATGATCTAGGCTCACTGTAACCTCCACCACCTGGTCTCAAGAGATCCTTCCTACCTCAGCCTCCCAATTAGCTAGGACCACAGTTGCATGCCATCATGCCTAGCTAATTTTGTTTCATTTTTGTAGAGAGGAGGTTTCACTATGGTGCCCAAATGGTCTTGAACTACTGGGCTCAAATGATCCTCCCAACTTGGCCACCTGAAATGTTGGGATTATAGGTGTGAGCCACCATGCCTGGCCTACAAGTTTTTAACTTCTTTGAATAAATAACAAGAACAATTGTGGTTTATATGGTAAGACAAATTTAGTTTTGTACAAAACTGCGAAAGCTGAGTGCTATGGGTCACGCCTGTAATTCCATTACTTTGGGATGCTGAGGTGGGCAGATTGCCTGAGCCAGGGAGTTCAAGACCATCTTGGGCAACATGGTGAAAACCCATCTCTACAAAAGATACCAAAAAAAATTAGCGAGGTGTGATGGTCCGTGCTTGTAGTCCCAGCTACCCGGGAGGCTGAGGTGGGAGGATCTCTTGAGCCTGGGAGGCCAAAGCTTCCATGAACCGTGATCATGCTAGTGCACTTCAGCAAAGGTTATAGAGTGAAATCCTTATTCAAAAAACAAATAAACAGAAAAGAAACTGCCAAAGTGGCTATACTATTTTGTATTCCTATCAGTAGTGAATGAGAGCTTCTGTTGCTTCATATCCTTGTCAGCATTTGGTGTTCTCAGTCTTCCACATTTTGACCATTCTAATAGGTGTATCGTGGTATCACATTGTTGTTTTAATTTGCATTTCCCTGAAGACATATGATATAGAACGTCTTTTTATATGTTAATGAGGCATCTTTGTATCTTTTTGCTGAGTTGTTTGCTAAAATCTTTGACCCGTTTTTTAATTGTTTGTTTTCTTACTGTTGGGAGTGTTTTCGATGAACCTTCTTTCATATATATGTGCCTATGTAATTGCGTATGCATGTATAACCTGATCATGATGTTGTCTTAGCAAGAAATCTAGTAACAAAATTGAAACCCATTTCTCGGTATAACAATGAAGTGGATAAGGCAGGTTGGAGGGAACTAAGGAAAACTAGAGAACTAGAAAAATGTTCAACCTATTATTTTAAGTCTTCTCTCTTTTATTTATGGTCAGTAAGACTAAGCAAATTATTTTTTAATATCCACGATAATTCCTTCTTTGATACATGACTTATTTAGAACTCTACGGTACATTTAATTAATTTATTTGTATTATTTGTCATTGCATAGTGGTCTAAGAATATATTATTTGGCATAAAAATCTGATATTTGTAAAGAAGATTTTTGCATTGTATACTCTTACACAGATAAATATATAGATTATCTAATTTTTGATTTCAGAATTCTATGGGTATCTTTCAGTATTTTTTCCAAATAACTCATGAATGATTGATAAATTATGTTGAAATTTCTTGCTATCCTGATAGGTTACACATTTTCTCTTGAGTTCTATCAATTTTTGCTTTATGTATTTTGAAACTACTCTATTAGATCCATGAAACTACTTTATTAGATGCATACCAGTTAAGAATTATACATTTTTCCTGACAAATATTATCATAATTTAGTAATCCTCTTTATAACACTATTTTTCTATTTTATAGTTTATACATTTAATTAATGTAGTTTACCTCGTGAGCTATACAATTTGGATTGCATTTGCTTAATGCATCATCTTACACTTTAGAAATTCTCTTTGTTCCAATGATTTGTGTGCTCTAAGTATTATATTATTGAAAGTATAATTTCTTTAAAAAAATTCTGAACATCTTTGATATTGGCCTTTGTCTTCTCGGAAACCTCACTTTTAGCGTTTCCTTATTTCACATTGCTTCTGACTCAAGTTTCTCCTCAATTTGTTTTTTGCTGTTTGTTAGATTGCTGGGGGTGGAGGTGATTCTTACTGGGTTTTCAAAGGGAGACTTGTAATTATTTTTACTTAATTCTATGTTATTGCATTGTGATCTAAGGTTTTACTATGATTTCAATACAAGTGCATCAATGCTTTACTATATACTTTATGTAGAATCTACATGTTTTTCGATGTGAAGGCACTCTGAGTATTTACATTGTACTGTGAAATGCAGACATCGTCTATTCCCCTTTTTATTGTGTGACCCAGGAAAGTGTACTATATCTTAGCTTTTCATCTCTAAAATGAACAAAATGATTAAAGTAATACCTACCTTATAAGGTGTTGTAACTATTAAACAAGTTGCCACATGCAAATAGCTTGCTTAAGAGCAATAACTATGCGTGCATTCTCACCGAATCGGAACTCTAAGAAAAGGAGAATGTGGTCGGATTTGTGGAATTTCAAAAAGCTTTCTATTGCTATGGTTGTTTCTGCGCCAACTACCACTGCACAAATTTGCATAAATGTTGAAATTTAGAAAGGTATAGCTCTTCTTCAAGCCATGACCTATAAAATATCTGCTTCACATATTTGAGAATCTCCATCGCTTTCCTCTATCTTCTCTCCTACTCTTTAAAGTACTATGCTGGTTGTAGAAACAGTTTTTATAGACCGCTTTAATCTTGGCTGATAGGGAACAATTTTCAATTGGGTAACTAAAATAGGCTACCCTGCTGTTCTAAGGGAGTTTTCTATGTTATTAACAGGTTTTTATTGTTAAATACTTCCTAACATCCTGAGTACCCGAGGGTTTTCAATTTAAGTTCTTCGTGTCTATTTACGCACTGACTCTAGTATGCATAAGCTCTTTGTCTTTATCCTTTTAAAGATTTAGTTGATATTTAACCTAAGGGAGAAGTTCTGTGATTTTATGGGAATGATAGAATTAAACTGCTTCCCACAAAGTCCCTACAGGTATAAGACAAAAAAGGATGCACTTGGAGAATATATCTCAGGAGGATCCATTGTTACATCCTGTGGAAAATAACAGAGAACCAGACTAATTGAAATTAAAATGCCCGCTGTCATTGTGATAGATAAGTATCAAAACACATTCCCAGAATAAAATATGGAGAGAATGATAGAAGAATGTTCACATAATAAAAAGAAAGTTGATGAAATCCTAAGCACCTGGGCACATTAAATATAGTATCACATTTTTATCATGAGCTTCTCTCTGTAATTAAAATTTTAAACCTCTGATAAGCTTAAACACTAAAATGTTTTTCAAAATTTCTCTTTTATTTTCATTTTTTAAATCAGGTATTAAGATATTCTGATTAATTAAATATTTTTTATGTCATATATTAAATATAAATACTCGAAGAGAATGCTCCTTTAACACTAACATTATATGGTATATTGATTGACCATTTATGATGATTCAGAAGAAATTTTTGAATTTTTAAGGTTATTAAACATTGAATATTATTTTACTATAGTTAAAAACCTACATTTCTTAGAGGGTTTAAAACAATGGGAAAATAATATTCAAAAAATACTAAATGAAAAGACTCAAAGTTCTAATGTTCTTCTATTAAATAGAAAAAATTTTAACAAATTCTTAAGCTTAATAAGATGCATTTGGTTGAAACCTTCTCTAGTCTTAAAAACAAAGAAGCCTATATTACATTTGTGCTTCAATTAATTTACGTTGGTGTAAATGCTAATTTAGGTAATCAATCAAAAGTATCATCCAGTACATGAAAATTCTCTTTAGAGTAGTGTTTATTTTTAAATATGAAAAATGTTCATATACTTACTGCATGTACTAGCACATTTAAGCAAAAATTACAATGAATTTTGCTGCATTCATGTTATCTGCTAAACTCTCTGGCAGAGTAGAAGAGCTTTCTGGAATAAAATAATCTGAATTAACATAATTTTAAGTGTCCATACAATGCATAGTTTTGGTGCTGATAATAATAAGCATGCGGAATTTTATGTTTATTTTACCTATGTGGATCTGCCTTGTAAATATTTAACTTGGGCTATTCTAACTTTTTGTTCTTATACATCTCTGGATATCAGTTTCTTTTATGAACAATGGGTCTAAGTTGAGTGGTTTAACTGTTTTTTTCTACATCATAAAATGCTTGAACTTATTAAGAATTAATTAACAATGATCAAAATATCCAGCTTTTGTAAATATAATTAAGCATTTTTAATGTTTTATAAAATAATTTTTAAGAGACAATTATTCCTAGTATTTTCATATTTCTGCATAGTTAGAGCTTATTTAGCAAAATAAATGGTCAGATATTTAAAGAGGAAACATTTTGGAAGAAATAGATAGTAAATTCCTCTAGAATATAAAGCATTATCTCTCCTATCCTTATTTACCAAAAGGGTAATAAGAACCTGGAGACCTTCCCATCTTTTCTCCAGATGATTTGTGTATATTTCATGGCTAAGGTCTCTTTCTCTCTAGAAGGAAGAAGGAGCAGATGTGACAGTTTCTCCAAATAAGCTTTGGATCTCATAATCTGCGGTTCCTGTTCTGTGGATCGACTTCAATGCTCATGCAGGGTAATATCAAGCTTTTATCACATCACACTGCTCAGAGAACTGGCACTACATTGCTCTGTAAGTAATAATGTTTTCCCTGATCCAGAGACCTTGTGTACCCTTTCAAGATAAGTAAGTAAATATAGATATAAAAGCCTAATACGGAATAACAATTACTTAATAATTCCTTTGGTGTCTATCTTTGCTTAAAATAATAAATTTAACATTCAATTTTTACAGAAAATTTCTGAGTACTTTTATGTGTCAGATACTGTGTTAAGTTCTTTCGCATACATTATCTTAAGTAGTTTGAATCATTATTTTAGTGAACTTGCTCTAAGATTCAAGGTCATAATTTAAATAATGCAGTAAATTTTCTATTAATTTACACTGCTTACAAATAAAGTTTAGAAATCATAAGCATGTTTATCATAAGAATCTTATGTTTAAAATGTATAATTCATGTATCTGTACCCACTTTTAAATCCTCAGTCTTTAAATAAGTAACACGCCAGATATTTCTTCCTTTTGTCTATAGAAAAAACAAAACTCCGTAAGAATGCCAGAAACATTTTAAATAAGTAATGTCATTAACTCATATTGAACAACCAACATAAGAGTGAGGAAGTATGTAGAAAGCAAACATGTTATTTTTAAACCAGTGAGCTTCCCTGAAAATTTAATGTGAATGCATTACTAGGTTGGAGCTCTAACAATATTCACATAGTGAATCATACCTTTTGATGATCTTAACCTTAATTTATGTTATTTGAAGAATTTAATGGTGCTTGTTTTCCATAAGTTAAGAATGCCTTAGTTGCTAGAAATAAAGCATATTCTTGGAGGAATAATTTAAGACATGCTGTATCCAGTTTGTATTTGAGTACTTTGGCTGAGCTAAGCTAATGATTGACTTGATATTTAGAATGCATGTATTTTGATGATCTCACCCACCCTATTTTAAAGTAAAACATGATAAGTTACAGGCAGTGAAAACATTGATCAGTGGTCCCTTAGCAGTCAGTAGAGTTAACACAATTTAGATATAAAGTTCTTAGATGTTACTTTTTTAATAGACAATTGGTAATACTGTAAATAAAAACAGAAATTTAGAAACACACATGACTTAATACATGAGCACATTCCATTAGCTTTCAAAGCAATGATGTAATCACATGTTGTGTAATTTTTAAAAAATCTACATTATGCTCATTAGAAGATGAGAGTGAAAAAAAACCTGATAATATTCTCAGTATTGTTAAGAAAATATTTCTCTTGATTCTGTGGTCACCTGATAGGATCTCAGAAATCTCCAGAGGTTCCCAGACCACAAATTAAGAAGTGCTATTTTGGAATATAACTGTAATTTTTATTTCTCTATAGCATTTTATTATATATAAAAGCAGAAATTATTTATTTTTTCTACTCTGGATATATATTTGGTTGTTTCTATTTTTGTTAATATAAATAGTCTGCTATTATTAATGGCATTTGATTCCAGGTGAATATTTCAAGAGGTTTATTCCAGTAAATATTGCTAGCTGTGGAATGCGTAAGTCATAAAATAATGGTAATATAATTTACCTTAACTTTTCAGGGTAAAGAAAAACTGTTTTCTGACTGGACGCCATGGCTCCTACCTGTAATTCTAGTACTTTGGGAGGCTGAAGCAGGCAGATCACTTGAGGTCAGGAGTTTGAGAGCAGCCTGGCTAATATGGTGAAACCCTGTTTCTACTGAAAATACAAAAATTAGCAAGGCGTGGTGGTGTGCACCTGTAGTGCCAGGTACTGGGGAGGCTGAGGTGGAAGGATGGCTTGAACCCAGGAGGTGGAGGTTGCAGTCACTCGAGATCTTGCCACTGCACTCCCGCTTGGGTGACAGAGTGAGACCTTATCTCAAAAAAAAAAAAAAAAAGGATAAAAAAGAAAGAAAAACTTTTTTTCTAATATGGTCATTTGATTTACACACCCCCTCACTGCAGACTAAGGAACATCCCATTTGCTGACATTCTCTACAACATATTCAGAATTTATCATTTTGCTATTAGATAAATGTAAAATGGTTTCCAATTGGGGTTTCAATTTACCTTTTCCTTATTCATAAGAAAAAGATTTAAAAACAGACATTCAATGTCTTTTTAAAATTTGAATGTCTTTTTAAAATTTGTTGAGTTTGTTATCTATTTGTAATCCTTGTTCTATGAACTATAGCTTCTTCTAGCTAGTATTTTTTATACAAACATCTAATATGTTTGTTACTAATAAAGCTATGCTATTTTCTTTTGGTTAGTGTTTACATATTTTACCCTCTTTTACTTTTACACTCAACTTTTTTCTCTGTCCTTATGAATTAGGGTGTGGTTTTACAGAGAACTTGGATTAATTTTTCATTTATCAGTTTTTTAAGTGGAATTTTAGTCCATTTAATGTAAGTAGATATTTGAAGGTCATATTTACCAACTTATTTTTGGCCTTTCAGTTGCCTCACATGTTCTACTTTTTATTGCCCTGCTTTTTTACCCCTTCAGGGATCAAGTGAGTTTTTTTGTTTGTTTGTTTGTTTGTTTGTTTCTATTTTTCTCCTTTACTAGTTTGGAATCTTTATACTCTGTTTCTGCTCTAGTGGTAACAACAGAAATTACATTATGCCTATTTAACACATAATCTAAGTTAATCAATATATTTCATGTTCTCCCCAACATCAGTCTCTCAGATCACTTTGCTTTTAAATCTCTCATCTTATGAAATTTTACTGGGTAATATAATTTTATTTTTTATAATCTAAACATATATTATTACTTTTTATACAGTCAGCAGCCAATAGCCATAGGATGTACTCACATATTTAACATATACTTTGCCCTTGATTACATCTTTTACTTCTGACTTTTTAACAAAAATCTTGTTTGCCTCAATATACATATGCTCCTATGTAAAATATCTGGCTTTCAACAAGTAATTATAAGATTTGCTAAAGAACAAAACAAACAAAAACAAACACAGTCTGAAAAGATGAAAAAAAATATACTATAACCAGAATTGAGTATGATATAAATTTTAAAAAAAGAAAGTTATTTAAAAGACTGAGAATTTGAAATATCTATTTTTAGTGTGTTAAAGACCAATAGTAAAGGTCTGCAATATGCCAAATCAAATAGATAATTTAATCAAAGAGATGGAAACTATAAGAAAGAATAAATAGAAACACTAGTTATAAAAACACAGTAAAAGAAATGAAGAAGTCTTTTAACAGGCTTGTGTTAGTTCATTAGCACACTGCCATAAATAAATACCTGAGACTGGGTAATTTAGAAAGAACAGGGGTTTAATTGACTCACAGTCGCACATGGCTGGGGAGGCCTCCAGAAACTTACAATCATGGTGGAAGGCAAAGGAGACGCAAAAGCATGTCTAACATGGCAGCAGGCGAGAGTGAGTGTGTGTCAATGCAGAAAAACCTACCATTTATAAAACCATCAGATTTCCTGAGGACTCACTCACTATCATGAGAGCAACATGGGGGAAACAGCCCCCATAATCCAATCACTTCCCACCAGGTCCCTCTCTAAACACCTCAGAGTTACAATTCCCAGTAAGATTTGGATGGGGATGTAAAACCTAACCACATGAAAGCTCATCAGTAAATTTGACAAAGCTCAAGAAATTCAGTAAACCTGAAGATATATCAACAGATTTACTGAAATTGAAATTCAAGAAAAAAAATGAGTATAACTGGCCAGGCACAGTGGCTCATGCCAGTAATCCCAGCACTTTGGGAGGCCAAGGTGGGTGAATCACTTGAGGTCAGGAGTTCAAGACTAGCTTGGCCAATATGGCAAAACCCTGTCTCTAGTAAAAATACAAAAACTAGTTGGGCATGGTGGCACACGCCTGTAATCCTAACTATCTGGAGACTGAGGGACAAGCTTCACTTAAACCTGGGAGATGGAGGTTACAGTGAGCCGAGATTGTACCACTGCACTCCAGCCTGGGTAACAGAGTGAAACTGTCTCACAAAAAAAAAAAAAAAAAAAAATGAGTATAACTAAAGAACAGAACATTCAAGGGCTATGAGACAATAATAAATGACATAATGTGTGTAATTAGAATCTCAGGAAAAAACACACACACACAAACAATAAAATGTGAGACAAATTGACTCACATTTTATATGCCTGAAAACGTCTTTATTTCTCCACTATTGAAGGATATTTTCTTTATATGTAAATTTCTCTATATCTAAGTTTCATAGCAGTAGGTCTGCTGTGGTTTGAATATTTGTCTCCTCTAAAACTCATGTTGAAAACTAATCCCCAATTTTATAGTATTGAGAGGTGGAGGCTTTAAGTGGAGATTGGGTCATAAGGGCTCTGTTCTCATGAATGAATTAATGAATTAATGGATTTATTGGTTATGGGTTATCATGAGAGTGGGTTAGTTATCAAGAGGCTAGGTATGTTATAAAAGTCAGATTGGCTCTCTTGTGAGTCCCTTTGCTTTGTGATGCCCTCTCCTGCCCAGGGACTCTGCAGAGAGTCCTAGTTACCAAGAAGGCTCTCACAAGATGCAGCTTCTAGACCTTGGACTTCCCAGCCTCCAGAAGGATAAGATACAAATTTATTTTCTTTGTAAATTACCTAGTCTGTGGTATTATGTTATAGCAACAGAAAATGGGCTAAGACACCTACCGTACAAAATGGGTTAAAGTTCTGTTGGCAAGATCATTTTTGTAACATCAGAATCCTGAATATACACAGAGAAATAAAGATCATTTGGAGTGGAATAAGTGAATGTCTGAAGGTTATACATAATTTGTGTATGTTTACATATGTGTATATACATATGTCCATGTATATATATATACTCATACATGTATCTCTACATAAGTTTATATGTAATATATATAATATAAAATAGTGCTCTTAAAATAACTAACTTTAAAGATAATTTTAAAAATTACTTAAAGATAGCTAACTTTAAGGCAATAACAGTAATGATGCCTTGGCTGTTTCTTTCTCTCTCCATACACACACAGACACACACACTTATACGATGTAATGTAAAAACTTGTTTACTCAGTATGCATTCATATTTACTAAAGAAGATGTACTCTCCTTTTCTTGTACCATTTATTCATAATCTCCAGAAGATTGGGGGATGAGTGAAAGCAGAAGAATCAAATAACATTCAAGTACTTGCATAGGTAGTGTTTCATTTTATTTAATGTGGATTATAATATTCGTCCTATACTATAAACCTGGAGACTATTCTAGCACCAAGACATCTTAATCTTCCTCTGGGACACTCTAAATTATTTGTTTGATTACATATAATTATGCACTAGTGTAGATTCTCAGATATAATACTGAGGAGAATTTGGTTTTCTATGTCTTGTCATGTGATTAATTTTATGAAAAAGAGAATTATTTTATAATGTTATAAAAGATAATGTTAAAACAGGAAAATGACAAATTATTTGGGTAATGCCATCCCAAACATCTATTTTAAATCAAAGTTACCTATAAAGGCTTTTCTAATGAGATCATAAAAATCTTAAATGTAATGTGTGCTATGTACACGGAAGTGTAACCTAGGTGCAGCATGCTATCAATTTGCAGAAGCAACCCTAAATAATAAACTATATTTTCATATAAAATCATAGAAAAAATTAGTCAATAATGGACAAAATTCCATTTCTCTGGGTAATTATAGTCATTATCTTTATAAAATAAAACTTCAGAAAAATTATCCCTGCCAAAGTTTCTATTTTTTCTCCACTCCAGTGACTTGCTAATAACTAACATTGTTATATGCTTTCATCTAATTTAATAAAGAACATTAATCATCTATTAGTTGGTTCTTTAGCTTAACTTTATTTGCTCTAATCCACAAATAAGACAGCTAGAGCTTGAAGTTGTTAGCATTGGGATTCTATTAGGATATAGCATTTATCTTGTCCCTTCATATTAGTTCAGTTAATTGCATTTGATTTTTTATTATTCTACTTAATGAAATATATACACTATTATATGTAGTGCCAGCCCTAAGCAAAATAGTTAAGCAAATTAATGTGCCTTCACTTTTTCCCTGTATATTGCTCTTCCCTTATATTTAGGAAGAAACCTATAGAAAAGTTATTAAACAAAATGATTGATTAGGTTGGCTTGTCAAGCATCACTGCAAGTGAATGGCATGAGAGTTTGGGACATTTGAACCTTTTGCAATGTTGTTGTCTAAAGAGTTTGTACATGGAGTGATCACATGTATATAATAAATGAAATATGCTAACCTAAATAATATGATTATAGACAAAACTGGGTGTACACAGTGAACACATGAGAATGCAAAAGTAATGGAAGAAATCAATGATTTCTATTATACATTATCTAGCAGAGCATATTATATGAGAATGAGTTACCCATTAGTGACAATATTATTAAAAATAAATCATAAACTATTCTCCTATGAATACATTTAAGTGCAGTTTTATGTTGTCACAAAAGAACAAACTTGCAGGGGCTAGAAACATTGCAAAAGTAGGAACTCTAAGAGGTAATCAATTATCAAGACAGTTTCTATCAGAGATTCCCTATGGACCTTATGTCTTAGTCAGTTTGGGCTGCTAAAACAAATTACCATAGACTAGGTGGCATAAATGACAAGCATTAATTTCTTAGAGTTCTGGAGGCTGAGACATCCAAGAACAAGGTACCAGCATATCCCCTGTCTGTTCAGGGCCCACTTCCTGTCTTATAGACAGCCACCTACCTACTCACTGTATCTATTGGGGGAACCCGCCCCAGATATTTCAATGTAGGTTATTTCTATTTTTCGTAAGTGTTGGCTGGCTGAGAAATAAAGAAAAAGTGTACAAAGAGAGGAATTTTACAGCTGGGCCTCCAGGGGTGACATCACATATTGGTAGGACCATGATACCCACCTGAGCTGCAAAACCAGCAAGTTTTTATTAAGGATTTCAAGAGGAGAGGGGGTGTAAGAACATGGAGTATGTCACAGAGATCACATGCTTCAAAGGGCAAAAGCAGAACAAAGATCACATGCTTTTGAGGAAACAGGACAAGGACAAAATCAGAACTACTGATAAGGGTCCAACAAAGATCGCAAGGCAAAGGGCAAAAGCAGAATTACTGATAAGGGTCTATGTTCAGTGGTGCATGTATTGTCTTGATAAACATCTTAAACAACAGAAAACAGGGTTTGAGAGCAGAGAACCGGTCTGACCACAAATTTACCAGGATGGAGTTTCCCAATCCTAGTAAGCCTGAGGGTACTGCAGGAGACCAGGGCTTATTTCAGTCCTTATCTCAACCGCATAAGACAGACACTCCCAGAGCTGCCATTTATAGATCTCCCCCCCAGAATGCATTTCTTCCCCAGGGTATTAATTATTAATATTCCTTGCTAGGAAAAGAATTTAGCAATATCTTCCCTACTTGCACATCTGTTTATAGGCTCTCTGCAAGAAGAAAAATATGGCTCCATTTTGCCCAACCTCGCATGCAGTCAGACCTTATGGTTGTCTTCCCTTTTTCCCTGAAAATTGCTGTTATTCTGTTCTTTTTCAAGGTGCACTGATTTCATATTGTTCAAACACACATGTTTTACAATCAATTTGTACAGTTAACACAAATATCATAGTGGTCCTGAGGTGACACACATCCTCAGTTTACAAAGATAACAGGATTAAGAGATTAAAGTAAGACAGGTGTAAGAAATTATAAGAGTATTATTTGGGAACTGATAAATGTCCATGAAATCTTCACAATTTATGTTTCTCTGCCTTGGCTCCAGCTGGTCCCTCCATTTGGAGTCCCTGACTTCCCACAACATGTATCTTTACATGGCTGAGAGAGAGATCATCTTTTTTTTTTTTTTTTTTTTTTTTTGAGACGGAGTCTCGCTCTGTCGCCCAGGCTGGAGTGCAGTGGCGCGATCTCGGCTCACTGCAAGCTCCGCCTCCCGGGTTCACGCCATTCTCCTGCCTCAGCCTCCCGAGTAGCTGGGACTACAGGCGCCCGCTACCACGCCCGGCTAATTTTTTGTATTTTTAGTAGAGACGGGGTTTCACCGTGTTAGCCAGGATGGTCTCGATCTCCTGACCTCGTGATCCGCCCGCCTCGGCCTCCCAAAGTGCTGGGATTACAGGCGTGAGCCACCGCGCCCGGCCGAGAGATCATCTTTTTATAGCTCTTCTTATATGGACACTAATCCCATTTGTGAGGGCTCTACCTTCATAACCTAATCACTTCTTAAAATCCTCACCTTAAAATATCAACACTATGGGATGAGGTTCCAACACGTGAATTTTGGAAGGACACAAAAACTCAGTCCATAGCACTGAAGATACAATGAAATTCTGTTTTGAGGACTGCATGAGTTACAGATGATAGAAACTATAGCTTAGTACCTGTACAATGCAGGAAGTCTAATAGCAGATGCCCATGTAGATACAATTTTTCCTAATATAACATTCTCAGTATAATTGTGAATGAAAAATAAACATAACTTGCAATACAAAACTTGCATCTTAACTTTAGTGTTGGGAGACCACACAGAAACAAAGCAAACAAATAAAATATCTCCCCAGCAAATCATAAAGATGTAATGGCCATTGTGTGATTCTTAAAAATTTCAAGTTAAAATTTGTATCTGAAATATTCTTTTATTGTAAGTCTCTCAGGTAATTGGAAGAAGCAAGCACACATCCTCTTTGGAGGAATGACTTTTTAAATCCAGACTTCAGAGCATTTCACTTATAAAGTTCAAGGAACATAGACTCACAATTAAAAATAAAACAGACAAGCAAACAAAGAAACAAAAATAGATCACAGTGGCCAGATGCAGTGGCTCACACCTGTAATACCAACACCTTGGGAGGCTGAGGTGGGTGGATCACTTGAGGTCAGGAGTTCGAAACTAGTCTGACCAACATGGTGAAACCACTAAAAAGACAAAAATTAGCCAGGCGTGGTGGCAGATGGCATGTAATCCTAGCTACTCAGGAGGCTGAGGCAGGAGAATCACTTGAACCCAGGAGGTAGAGGTTGCAGTAAGCCAAGATTGCACCACTGCACTCCAGCCTGGGAATGACACTCCGTCTCAAAAAAAAAAAAAAAAAAAAATTAACAGCACCATATGTAAGAACCAGTAGGGGAAAACAAACAAACAAACAAACAAACAAACAGTGGGGTATAATAGATAAGAATTTATTGAACTTTGAAATTCTCATATATAGACTGAAATGTATCTAGAATTCCGTGTTAAAGAAATGGAAGGAAAGCAAGTTATGTAAAAAAGAAACAAAGACTTACATCAGTTAGATTTTACTGACAAACAAACTACTTGAAAATTTAGTAGAGTCGATGAACTATATTCAACAGACTGTTTTTCTCAACAGTCTGTTGTCTAACTTCCAGCAGAATACCTTCAATTTATTCACATGGCAGAATTTTAACAAGACTTGAAAGAGGGACTTCTCAAGTCTCTGCTTCTATGATGTTTGTCACTGTCTCACTGGCCAAAACAATTCAGAAGACCAACCCATTTTCACATTTTGGAAAAATAGATTACAATCTTTGATGAGAGGTTCTTGAAAATCCTGTTACAAATCCTGAATATCCTGTTACAGATATATATATCTGGATGGTGCAAACTCATGGTCATTTTTGCTTTTTGCCTCTTCTTGCCACAAACTATAAAACATGGCCATGTAAATTTAGGGATAAATGACAGAAAAAAAGAAAAGATACAATAATGAAAACTAAATATATCAGTGGTCTGTTAGCTACATTATAGACACAGCTGAAAAAAAGTATCTGTAGACTGTAACATATCCCATAAAAATTACCTGAAATGCAACCCCAAAAAGGCTATGGAATGCACACTATGAGAAAATGTTAAGATACATCAAGGATAAGAAAAGAGAATTTATGACTAGCTGGTATTTATGAGATAGATATTAGATATTAAGCGTTAAAGGCAATATCTGAAAGGGTAATGGCTGCTAATTTTTTCAAAATGGCTTAAAGACACCTATATTCATGTTAGAAGACCTCACGAATCTGTTACCATAAAAGAGGTCTTGAGCTAGACCCCCTGAAGAGGGTTCTTGGATATCACACAGGCAGGAAATCAAGGTGGGTCACAGAGCATAATGAAGGAAGCAATTTTTTTTAGAAGCTACTCCATTACAGAGTAGGGCTCCCTCAGAAAGCAAGAGAAAGAATGCCTGGACTTTGTTTTAAGTTTTTCTTAGATAGGGGTTTTGTCTATGTAAAGACTAAGCTAAGCTGTGTCGGCATGCAGGTCAGCCAACATCATGACAAATTGATTACTCTATTGATTTAAAGAGAACTAGTTTTGGCAGTCTAGTTTTTGAGTACATTAAAGCATAACTATTACTATCTCAAAAACACATATGGTCATGGGTATTGGGACATCTGGACTCTCTGTTGTTGTAGAAGTGTGTCTTTGCAAGTGTCTTTAGGCTGTTTTCTCTACTGTAAATGTCCCATGAATGTGGGTCATGACCATCAAGCAATGTACTTTGCTAATTTCAAAATGAGGTTGAACTTAAAATGGCATTACTCTGGCTCTCCCAGGCTCCTGTTTCCCTAACAAATTTTTACTAAGAAAAATAAAGGACTATAAATAAAATAAAACTCATTATAGACAAAATTCTAGGCCATGAAATACTATGAATCGATTCTGAAAGAAGCTAAAGAGTAAAATATAGATTACCTTTAAAAAAAAGGATGTATAAATCAGGTTGGCTACTAATTTGTTAACAGCAGGCATAAAATCTAGAAAACATTGAAATAACGTTTCCCTGTGATAATCTAAAATAACTGCTATTCTAGAGTAACAGTAAAATAAAGACATATTCAGAAAAAAAAAAGAAACTACAGCACGAAAAGCTTATCACCAATAGACTATAATAAAAGAAAATGCTAATGGATGTATTTGAGAGGAAATGAAAATTACCTCAGGTGAAAATTCTGAGAGACAAGGAGGCAATAAGAAAAAAAATTTGCAAATTTGTGAGTGTATCAGAATAAACATCAACAAGACAATATATATAATGTTTGATTTGAATTTTTCCAAATTATTTAAATAATTTGAGAGGAATCATCAAAATTAGAGTATTTTGTATTTCTTATACTTTATTGGGAGTAAGCTAACAATGATTACCCTTAGAGCTTGCTATCTAGAGTGAAAACAAAAAGAGTAGAGATTGCAACTTCAAAACCGCAAGAAGGAAAAAATACAATGAAAAGAACAAATTTGAAAAATTAGACAAAAAGAAAAAGACAAGAACAAGAAAAATAAGAAATTAAGAAAAAAGAAAACAGGAAAACAGAAAAATAATACAAATAAACAGGGAAACGTTCATAATAATCTGATTAAAATGCATTTTTATATATTTTTAATCATTCTGAATAAATTTTGTCCTTTATTTTTCAGCTTATATAGAAAATAAAAGCACAATTTAATAAATTCTATATTGAGACACATCTAAAGCATAATAAAATAAAATTAAAACTAAAACATGGAAAAAGATATGACAGGATAATATACATAAATGAAAGTAAGGATATGTCTGTTACTATCTGATAAAATATACCGGTTTCTAAGTATGACTAGCGATAAAAAGAGTTACAAAAATAATAAAAGCTTGATTTTATCAGGAAAGGGTAATGATTTTTGTTTTGTATTCAATTAGTCTTATGCCTCATAAACAAAGGATATTTGATACCATTAGTGTATTAGCCTAAGTTTTCCAGAGAAACAGAAGTAATAGGATGTATTTATTGGCTCACAAGATAATGGAGTCTGAGAAGTCCAAAAATCAGCAGTCGGAAAGCCAGAGATTTAGGAGAGCTGATGGTGTGGTTCCAGTTCATGACGGAAAACCCGGAGAGCACATAGTGTAAATTTTAGTCTGAAAACTGGCAAGCTGGAAACCCAAGAAGAGCCAATGTTTTCAGTTTGATTCTGAAGGCAAGAAAAGACTAATATCCCTGCTCAAGACAATCAGGCAAAAGTTGTTTGCTTTTATGCAAGAAAGGGTCGGGCTTTTTGTATTATTCATGCCTTTAAATGATTGGGTGAGGGCCACCACATTAGAAGGACAATCTGCTTTACTCAGTCAACTGATTCAATGGTTAATCTCATTAAAAAACCCCCGCAGACACAACCAGGATAATGTTTAACCAAATATGGGTACTGTGGGGCCCAGTCAAATTGAGACATAAAAGTAACCATCAAAACTGCAAAGGTGTAAGCTTACAAAAAAACTGGCAAATCAATCAAGAAAATAGACTATTTTGGCTTATCTCTTTCAGTAATTGATAGACCATTTAAAAATGAATACTAATTAAGAAGACCTGAAATGCAATCCTGTTAACAAGCATGATCTTTTTAGATGTTTTACTCATCACAAGAACACATTCTTTTCAAGTATGTAATGAAAATTGTGCTGGAAAATGTACATACAAATTTGCCATGTGTCAGCCTGTTCCAGTCCATGAAGTAAGGGTCAATAAATTTGTAATTAGAGTACAGTAAGCACAATATATTCTGGTACTGATATTTAGCATTTTACATTTGCCATATTATTTTATATTTTTAAATATTTCAATATATAGCTAGATCATTGACCTTCAAATGGAGTGATTTTGACAATGCCTGGAGTCAGTATTGGTTGTCACAACTAAGGGAAAAGTTGCTACATTTGTCTAGGGGGTAGAAGATAGGATTACTGCTTAAACATCCTTCTAATGAATAAGACAGCTTGTACCATCAACAAAAAAAGCTTTGGTCCAAAATGTCCATAGTGTGAATTTTGAGAAACTCTGATATAGACAGATAGATAAATAGATAGATGAATGAGAAATATAGAAATATAGATAGATGCAGAGAAAAATATATAGATATAGTTATATATCTAGATATATATCTATATATAAAATATTTTGTTTGTTAATTAAATAAAATTAAATTGCAGACAAGCAGATGCTTGGCTTTAAAATACTGTATATCTTCCCTATTAGGAAATCATCTTTCATCAATGCAATAGTAGTAGCACTCTAAGAAAATACAAAAAAAAAATTCCAGTGTAATCAAATATTCCACTTATATTCAAATTTATCCAATTTTCTCCAAAATGTATTTCCTACCAGTGTCTTTTAACCAGAATTTAATTAGATTTAACACATGTTTTGTCGTTATGGATATAGTATGTTCTAGTCTGAAAAAATGTCTCAACATTTGAATTTTTATACGGTACTCTCCTACCAGTGAACATAACCAAAACAAACAAACAAAAAATTAACTCATTCTATAGGAAAATACTTGTGATGGTCTCTTAATTAGGAGTATTTATGACCACAGAAAGATGCCATGCCATGCCATTAGTGAGCAGGGAAACCCTTTTGCTTCGGGGGAGGGGGTATGCTAAAGAGAACCACTTAGGCATTTCAGGCAGCAATGGAGTGTTTATTTTTTATTTATTTATTTTTTTGAGATGGAGTCTCGCTCTGTCGCCCAGGCTGGAGTGCAGTGGCGCCGTCTCGGCTCACTGCAAGCTCTGTCTCCCGGGTTCAAGCCATTCTCCTGCCTCAGCCTCCCGAGTAGCTGGGACTACAAGCGCCCACCACCATGCCCGGCTAATTTTTTGTAACTTTAGTTGAGACAGGGTTTCACCGTGTTGGCCAGGATGGTCTCGATTTCCTGACCTCGTGATCCGCCCGCCTCAGCCTCCCAAAGTGCTGGGATTACAGGAGTGAGCCACCGTGCCCGGCCTGAGTAAGTGTTCTTAAGTGTTCTTATCGTTAACTTTCTCCAGTGAGAAAAAACTTTTTTCTCCAACTAGGTATTTCCTTACATCATTAAAACAAATGCATATCTCTATGTAATCTCTCCTCTATGAAAGACATGGTTTCAAATGGCCTTAGATATTTTCACATTTCCACTAATCGCCCATTTTATTTCAATTCCATTTTTAACCATACAATGTTGGATAGAAAAAGAAAAAACAACTTCAGAAATTATACTCAGGCCACCAACATATCCAAAGTATTCCATTTTAAAGTAAATAAATCCACTTGAATCTAAATCCTGTTTTTGAAATCATATTGTATGAATGCTAGCTATGCTAGTATTTAACATTTACTGACAAAATAAGTTAGTTTAATGAATGCTAATACTTCATAAATCAAGTATTAACACTCAGTTACTGAAAAAATACAACACTGAACTGTATGTAATCTGATTCCTAAAAATTATTTCAAAAGATACTAAATAACAAAATAATTATGTTTATAATAGTACAAAAAATTACAGAACAGTGTTCACACTATTTACTTTCCTTCTAATTTACCACTTAGACATCACTAACTCCTTTTTCCTAATTCATTTTACATTTTACGTTTGAATTTATACCCTGTCTCAAATTTAATGTGTTCAAGTAAGGGTGCTGTGATTTTTTTTCTACAGTTCTGTTTGCCTTATTTTGCTTTTTAAATTTTTTCTTTATAACTTGTTTCTACCAAGTGATACCAGAGATTGGATTTTCCAATTTTACAATAAGGATGCCTAACTGGTTAGTCTGCAGTTCTCACAGTAATCACTGGCCTTCAGTTACTAGATGTATGTAATCATATTTGTGGCTATAATCTTCTTCTAGAAAGTGTTTTCAATAAACCAGATGCTGTCTAATAATCCGTCCAAGTGGATTTCCTAATCTCATAGGGAAGTCATATTGCCAAGCCTACATTTTGTTTCATTTTTGACAATGTTACCTTCAAAAGTACAAGTAACCAGACCTCTTTTCCTTTCCCTCAGGAAATACAGTTCTGTGTGATGTGCTAAGTCAATAGGTCCCTCTTCTCAGCTTAAGAAGCTGATGGGAATACTTTCCTCTTACTGTTTTTGCTTCTTTATACTGATCATTGTTTCATTTGTTGTCTCACACTGATCAAAGTTTATAATTTCTAGTACTAACAGACCATATCTATTTGTCATAAGAACAATTGTTATTCTTTATACCTCAATAAAATGTAGCATTTAATCTTATGTCATCTTATTTCGTAGTTGCAGATTCTGCTAACTGACATTTGCTCTTCTGATTTAACATGCATACATGTACTTTTATGTATGTATAAAGGATTAATGATTACTATTATTTGCATATATTATACCATTCATCTTAAACTTTTAATTACTTCTTTGATTTTTAACTTATGGTAGGATTTTTCAATTATTACTTTGTAATTTACTAAATTTCAGTGCTGTAAGGTTGTGGACTCAAAGTAAAGTAAATATAAAGGATTAAGGTTGTAAGAAGGTAACTTTTAATTTGATTTTTTAACTTTATTTAGGGTTATCATACCTAGATGAAGTATTGCACAATTCTTTTTTTATTATTGCTCTAAAAAGCTACCTTTTAAAGATATTCCTGGGTAATCATACCCCCTCACCCTCATCAATAAATATGATCTATGCTGCTTATGCTGTTTATGTCCTGTGGCCCTTTAGGGGAAGACAAGCAGCTGTAATAACAATTTTTCCACCATCCCAAACCAATTTTCACCTGCTTGTTGCTGATATTTACCCCCATTGCAATAGTAAGCCTGAGACAAAGAGTTCTAACATGTATCTTAAAATTGTCCGTACATGGGTCTTTTCAGGATTTTCATGAAAGGTGAATTCTTCCCTTCATATCTTTTTACCAATCCTCTTCCTCATAGATGTCTTGTTATAACAGTTATCACAAATGTTTTCACTACAGTCAGCCAAATGCTTAAAATACCAATGAATTACTCTCTTTCACCATATCCTAAGAACACCAGATTTTAATAATAGTCTACCGAAGGTAAAATGTGGTAATTAAAAGTTGCAGTGAACACATATTCTTAATGTATGCACCTGGGGAAAAGATGCACACACAGATATGTTCCTTTTTGGCTTTTGGAAATTTTGATTATATTATTTATACAAAGTTTCATCCTATTCATGCAAGTACCCTACTAATACTTCTGTTAAAGTCAAGTTTTTTTGTTTGGTAATTTATAGTAATAATTCATAAGGATGGTAATCCTTACTCTGTAATATATGTTCCTAGTCATATTTCCTAAATTCATTTATAAAATGTGACAGTGGGGAAGTGTGGGGTGGGGAAGTGTGGGGTTCCTTTCACTGAAATATAATTAAGGTAATTAATCTATTTCTTTGGAACTCTTTTGTTAATCATTATAATTTTATATCTCATTTCTAAATCAGATAAGTATTTATGTTCTATTTTGCATAGCCTTAACATTTTGCAACTTTGAAGATTTTATCTAGCTGAAAATTATTTTGGTTTATGATGTAACTGTGAGAGTATCTAATTCTGTGCTCTGTGGTATTTAGGACAATGGTGGGAGGATAAAGCAGGACAACATTTCTTGTGATATCATGTAAGATTCCACTTTTTAAAGAATTATACAGGACCGGCCGGGCGCGGTGGCTCATGCCTGTAATCCCAGCACTTTGGGAGGCCGAGGCGGGTGGATCGCAAGTTCGGGAGATCAAGACCATCCTGGCTAACACGGTGAAACCCCGTCTCTACTAAAAATACAAAAACTTAGCCAGATGTGGTGGCGGGCGCCTGTAGTCCCAGCTACTTGGGAGGCTGAGGCAGGAGAATGGCGTGAACCCGGGAGGCGGAGCTTGCAATGAGCCGAGATGGCACCACTGCACTCCAGCCTGGGCGACAGAGTGAGACTCCACCTCAAAAAAAAAAAAAAAAAAGAATTATACAGGACCAGTTAACAAACACCTTTTTATCAAAAATCAAGCTATGGTGCATGTATTTATGTTCATTCATTTGTACATCTATTTATTTATTCAACAAACATTGGTCAATTACTCATTGTGGATAGAAATAAAGACTTTAATTAAATATAGCACTGACTGTCAAGGTATACATCGCTTAGTTGGAGGGATGGATATGTGTATATTTAATGACAATACAACCTGATATTAATCTCCTAATTATTCTGCACAATACCCAGGCCAAGATGTATTAAAATACAAAACTAAAGTATAGATTTCATAAAATTCTGAGTGTAACTTTTTGTGACAATACAAATCACTCTTTTATGTGAATAATATTTTCCATATATTCAGAAATCTTACATGACCTATTAATTGCAATTGTCAAAATATCAAATAATCATTTTCAAAATACCTTTAGATTTGGCTGGTTGTGGTAGCTCATGCTTGTAATGCTAACACTTTGGGAGGCCGAGGCAGGTGGGTTGCTTGAGGTTAGGAGTTTGAGACCAGCCTGGTTAACATGGTGAAACCCCGTCTCTACTAAAAATACAAAAATTAGCTGGGCATGGTGGCACATGCCTGTAGTCCCAACTACTCAGAACGCTGAGGCAGGAGAATCACTTGAACACAGGAGGCAGAGGTTGCAATGAGCAGAGATTGTGCCATTGCACTCCAGCCTGGGCGACAGAACAAGACTCCATCTTAAAAATATACATATATATAAATATATATATATATATATATATATATATACGTATTTTTTTTTACTACATGTAGAAATGCTCTTCAAGTATAATCTGACATCGATATTATATGCACATGTTCTTAAATCTGCCTTTATAAGAACTGGAATGAACTCCATTTTTCAGAAACAATCTCCTGTAATTTTAGTCATACTTCTTTCCAATCATTACCACAAATCTTAATTTTACTTTATGTTGCTAAGCATTTAGAACATTAAATATTTTTAGTTGTAAGAAACATTTAATCTTGAAAAACAAAACTTTTTTTGTTTAACAAAAACTGACTTTGGCAAATACATTTTTTGAAACAAAAGGAAAATGTTAACCTGGGCAACATAGGGAAACCCTGTCTCTACAAAAAACAACACAAAACAAAATTAGCTGGGTGTGTTGGCCCATGTTAGTGGACCCAGCTACTTGGGAGGCTGAGGTAGGAGGATCACTGGAGACTGGGAGGTTGAGGCTGCTGCAGTGAGCTGTGATCGCGCCACTGCACTCCTGCCTGAGCAACAGAGTGAGACTCTGTCTCAAAAATAAATAAACAGATAAAACAAAAATATGAGGAAAACCCCATAGCAATAGGTATGTACTGTGAATATATTCAATCAAGAGAAATGTCAGGAATAATTTTTGTTGGCAAAATTTAACAAAACCTCCTATAATACCTTTTATATTATAGGTAGTTTTGATCTTATTACAAACACAGTAGATAGAATGCTGTACTTTTGAGTGTATATTTAGGAAGGGTTTGCTTCAAATGTAAGTTGATGTTACATTAAAACTAAAAGTGGTGATGAGGGTCACTAATGCCTGTAATGGTTGGATACCCTTCATATTTCAGCAGATTTTACAAATTCATAGACTAGAATTCAGGAAAAGAGACTATTTTTGTTATTAATGCTACCAACTCATATTTTGGGGATGCCATCTCACTGAATTTCAGTTACTTTCTTATTCAAAAACACTTTCTATTTATCTCCTGTTATGAACATAAATGAAAGTAAATCACCTCCCAAAACTTTATAAAGAGACATTTTATAACCCATTGCTATACTACTTAGAAAACTGAAAGTATTGACAGATATACTGTGAAAGAAAGTAAAATATTAGCTTGAGATAATGTCAGAGTGAAGTAAAGAATCCACATCAGGAAACCAGTTCCAAATTAAGAAATCAAATATTATCAGTAGCATGACGTTCTCACCATTCTTTGTACTCTCAGTATTTACCACTCCAAAATGATACTGACCTTGACATTTGACAGCATACAGGACTATGACCTACTTTAGGATTTTTATATAAAGGCATTTTCCGTTATGTTCTCCTCTAGGTCATGCAGTTGTTGATTATTCTCATGGCTGTGTAATATTCTCTGGTATGAATAACCACAATTTGTTCATCTGTTATACTGTTGATGAGCATTTGTTTATTTTCCTTTCAGGGCTTATTTAATGTAGTGCTGCTATGATCATTTTACTATATATGTTTGGTAAACATAAAATTACATTTCTTTTGGAATTATATCTAGGAATGGAATTATTGGATCATGGAATTTGCACATGTTCAGCTTTAGTAGAGAATGCCTAATAATTTTTCAAATGACTTTAGCAAATCGCGCTCACTAGCAGTGAATGAGGATTGTAGCTGCTCTTAATCCTCGACAACACTTGACATTTTCCCACCATCAATGTTTGTCGTCTTATTGCTTTACTCTCCTTCTAACTGATGTTTACCTGAAATGTTTTGTATTTTCTTCTGTAGTTCCTTCATCATAAATGTAAACAGGTACTTTTTCCATTGAGTTAAATCCTATATATGTTTCCTTGAAAAATGACTCATATGATATACACTCAAAGAACAGCTGTTGACTGAATAAATAAATGTACAATAATTTACTTGTTTATATAGATGCAAA
Source organism: Homo sapiens (assembly GCF_000001405.40). Lineage (NCBI taxonomy): Eukaryota > Metazoa > Chordata > Mammalia > Primates > Hominidae > Homo > Homo sapiens. The sequence goes on along the minus strand of NC_000001.11, from coordinate 191,501,124 downwards.
AAGATTGGAGGGTTAAACAGGACATCTGTCTTAAATTATATTGTTAATTGTCCTTCCTTTGTATGGTTTCTAATATATGAAAAAACAATGAACATATACAGCATCATGTTAACCATTAGAACCTTAGTATTTTACACATATTAGCCTTCCTCCTAGCAAGTTCTTAAGAAAACTGGAAAGAAAATCAACATATTTGAGTGAATCACTTGATATAAAATTAGTTTGTTCAGGTTAAAAAGATTAACTTTAAATCTAGGGAAAAATAAAAATATAATAAAAATTTGACTTATTTTAAAAGTATATTCGTATTTAACAAAAAACCCACATAAAGTTTATTACTAAGCTCATATTCTTTTAAAGTACTGATCTTTTCCTGCTCTGTTTCATCTCTGCTAGAGTTATAGCATAGCGTTATGAAGTTGTAGGTACAAAGCTGTATCTCTCAGGTCCTTGAGTTTGACAGTGATTACCCTGTTTTTACCCCTAGAAGATGTTATTCTGAAGTTTGGCAGCTAGAGTTACCCAGAATCTTGCTCAATTCAATGTAACTCTGTTGTCAAATCTTAGAATTGTGCATGCTGAGAGACGACACAGCTAGTTCTATGTAAGACTCAAATGCTGGCATCAAGAAGGACTCAGCCACTGTAACTTTCATAATAAAATATACTATTGGCTTAATTTACCCACTGAAGTTCAGGATTCTAAGATTGAAGCACTTTCATCAGAATATATTTACCTTGGCACATGCAAAATTAACATGTTGGATCTAAGGTGAAAGAAAAAAATTCTAATGTATAATAAGCTACAGCTAGATTTGCTACTTATGAAAACTTTCATTTTGACAATAAGTTTAAATAACTAGGATATAAAATAAAACCCTAGGTTAACTCAAGCATAAATACAACTCACTCACTTTCTATTTTCAGTGCTACTTTTCTCTGCCTTATTTGAGTAGTGCTGAAATATAATCACTTCAATGTAATATTTAGACAAAACTTGAAACATGTACAACATGTGGAAACTAAGGAAGTTTTACTAAATATAGTAGTAGAAAGTATTTCAGGTTTACTAAAGAATTGTGTATTACAAAATAGGAATTGCCTGCATTTTCTGATTACTTTAGCCCTCAATTTCAGGATGAAAATTATATGTGTAGATGCTCAGCTGCAAGGATAACAGGGAGGGTCCTCATGGTACCTAAGAGAATCATATTTGTTCTTGTTTTTTGCTGTTAGTAATCAGCCTAATCTCTGATTGGCTCCCTGTGTCTTTACAACTCTGATAACAAAAGTCCCTATGTATTTATTTAGAGTGTTGTGTGGTAGAAGAAAAAAAATTGATATTTTCTTTTATTACGTAGAAATAAAATATCTCTGACAATCTGACTGAGGCACTTTAAGTCACATTAATTGCTGCATATATTTCGACAATCTGTAGAAGAAAAATACAGAAGTCGACAGAAGAAAAACGGGAATTGGATGTTTAAGGAAGAGAGGAAATCTTACATTGTATTCTAGATAACAAATGGGAATGAGAGGAGTGTATGGGGGTAATGGGAAAAATGCAAGGTAGGAGAGAGCAAATAAGTTAGAGAACAAAACGAAAAGAGAAGAGAGAAAGAGAAGGAAAGGGTCGGGAAAGGAAGAGGAGGTAGAGAGAGGAGAGAGAATTTAATGGGGACTCAGAATGCTTCTGGAAATCCATATGAAAGACCAGACCTTGATTTTATTTCTTCAGCTATTTTAATGACATTAATAACTTTTATGAGACACAGTAAAAGACAATACTACTAGAACTGCATCATTAATTGCTTAGTAGGTTTGAAGTCCTTTCCCATTATTGCTATCTATTAAACTCAACAGCGAGAAGTAAAGACTATATTCACCAAGCTGATTTATCTTAATATCATTAAATAAGAGTTTAATACTATTCAAGAATATCAAAGATTCTGATATTGTCAAATCAAATCGTTTCTTTTTTTATATTATTTGGCCTATTAGTAACATTCAGTAACATTGGCCACTATCTTTGTTTTGAAAGACTTTCTTCTTCTGGTTTCTATTGCAGCTCACTTGCCCATGTTTCCTGTCACTTCATTGACTGCGCCTTCATAGTTTCCTTTCCTGTAACTTCTCTCTCTTCAGATCACAGTGTTTTAGTCTCTAAACATGTTCTTAGTCCTAGTCTCTTCATTATCTAAAAAGAAGAATTGCATGAGTTTGACTAATTCCGGTACTTAATACAGCATTTTCCTACAACTCTCAGATCTTTACCTGTAATAAAGAATGATAGAACTTTACCCAAAACTTGAGACTTGTTTATCTAATTACTCAGTCTCTAGTATTGTATTATCTAACCAGGGTGGAGTGTTGTTCAATTACATAATTTTACCAACTCAGAGTGATTACTATGGGGTATATCTAGCTCTACAAATGGAGGATTTTTTAATGTATTTTCCTAATTGCTAAGGTTTAGCCAAAATAGCTAAGATAAAACAGCAAGAGTCATACTCTACATTTTTTATATTTTTCTACCTGATAGAATACATGGGGGAGTGAATGAGACAACATAGCTCAAACACACTCATTCTTTCTTAGAATAACTAGATTCTGTTTCCTCTGAGACTTTGATGAATCATTTCACAATGGGATTTGCTGCATCACCTCCTTCTTGGCATTAAGCCACTTCCCATATTCTTTAAACATAAAAGGAAAATTAGTAGATTGCAGAACTAGTTTTCTTAGGTAATAAGAAATATCCACAACATTAAAGAAGAAAAAATAAAAGAAACATTAAGCATAAAGAAGGGGAAGGGCAATAGAATTCCAAACAGTCATTAATAATCATGTCTTTGAAGAATATTCAATAGTATTAAGCATTTTTTGTTGAAATATTACATTATAAAAGCATACAAAAACTGCATTAATTATTTTCAGCAGTAGCACATATCCTAATATTGGAATAATAGTGAAGAAGTTATCATGGCCCCTATGTAAATATAATAAAATATTTGTGATTTCATATAATTTATTGAATGTATGTGAAATATGTATTTAAAGTTTTACCCATACAAAGGTGAAATATGTATAAAATATGGAGAATGCCAAGTACAAATTTTGATGCATGATAAATGCATTATATGTATATTTTCATCCAGTACTTATATGCAAATTCATCCTATATTTCCCCTTCTCTCTTTCCATGACTATGCATTAGCTATCATAAATACAGTATCTGATAGGGAAGAACATTCTTAATTATGTTGTACTCAAGAATAGAATATTATTTTGTAAAGGATGGATTAGGCAGATTTTTCAAAGGAAAACATATGTTATCAAAATAAAGTCATGAGTGGTTTTACTGTGTATTCTCACTTATGTTATTTTAAATACAATTTTAATTCTCTATTAAACTTTATTACAAGTTGTACACATAAATTAAGACAATTAGCCTATTCTTTTTCACATTATATCTTATACTGTTTTTATTTGAATACTATTATATATGTATGTATGTATATATATACACTACATATCATGGAGATACATATACATGTTAAGGTATATATTATTTTAAACAATAAAAGTAAACCCTTTTGGAGACTTTCAGGTAGTTCACAAAACAAAGGGGATATATACATATGTATATATGTTTATTTATAAAATATTTTCTTTTTAAAGCGTTCTTATTTTCATTAAATACTCAAATATAGCTTTTATACTTCCTTTCATAAATGAATGGGATAAGGCACTATATCTTTTAAATAAACTTTCTCTTACCCCATCCCCGCAAAAGGGATATAAATACGAAACAAGTAGTTAATTGATGTCCCAGAACTCAACCTATTTTGTAGGTAATATCTTTTTTTTCTACACTTTCCACCATTATTACGAATTTTCTTCTCATTTTGTTAAAATGCTTCTGATCTGCTATTTTGATAAACAAAAAAATAATAATTTGATAGTCATACCGTAAGAACTCTGAAATTATGTTCCTTATTATTAAAATTTTTTTACAGCATACACTTTTTCTTTAGACTTTTACAAAACATTTTAGCAGAATATTTTAATATAGAGCATTATTGCTACAAATTTCACTAGTCAATTCAAAGTTTTGAAAAAAATATGTGCATGTAAAATATCAACTTTAATATCAAAGTTTATTTTACAGTGTACTTTTTATAATAAATATAATTAGAAATGAAATGAGTCATCTAATTATTTGAAAGTGTGTTCCTTAAAAATGTTTATCCTAGACTTCCTAGAATTAGGTTTTTAATAAAATTGCAAAATAAAATAAAATATTACCTATGTTTTGATGTTATGTCTGTTTTTATCTTAAACATTTTATTTAGGAAGTTTGTGGTGTTCATTGACATAATGTCTTTTCTTCCAGCAGTGTAGCTGGGGTTTTTATTTTTGTTTTTGGTTTTCATGTGGCAGCTTCAGGAATCCCAAAAGCAGCAAAGGTGTCCTAGTATGATGGTACACACACACATTATAAATCTCTTCTTGCATCACATTCTCTAATGTCCTTTTGGACAAAACAAATCAAATGGCCAACTCAGAATCAAGGGGCAGAGAGATAGATTCATTTTCTTAATGGAATAATCTGCAATGCCACACTATAAAGGCATGAATGCAGGAGGGAAAGAACATTTGGCCATTTTAATAATCTATCACAAATGTGTATGGTAGCAATGAAAGATTAGCTGCAATTAGGAGAGTCCATAGCGGGATGTACATAAAATTCTACATAGTGGTAGATGATCTAAAGACTTAAATTTTTGGTGTCACCTAGGTATGCAGGGATGTAGGGTCTAGGAACATTAGTTTTGATATCCTCCTAGAGAAAGTGAGTGGGCAGTTCTAATTATAGCCTCCCGTGGCACTTGCTCTTAGACATATTTTCACGATAATGCAGGCAGCATCATTTTGGAGTGATTAGGAACAATGATATTACCAAGAGCATAGGAAGCCTTGTGAACTTCTGCAGCCTAAGGTTTTTATCCTGGAGAAAGATTATTTTTCTTAGCTTATATTCTCATTTTCTAAGTTTCTTTAAAACTTGCAGCATTGAGACTCTAAGAACACTGGGAGCTAAATTCTGCCAGGTTTAACTGCAGAATATAAAAACAGGTCCATATGTGTTGTAAGGCACAGTTATGACAGTTTGTGTATCTATCTGGCCAAAGAGTTAGTAAATAATAAATATTATACATATGAATTATGATGAACTAAGGCTATCAGTTTAGATGGTGTACTTATCTCTTTGTCATCACAAAGAACTAATAGCCACCACAATATTCATAGTGATTATTATAGATTGGCAATAAAAAGTTATTTTTTCTTTAGTTTATATTTTTAAATTTTTTTATAATTAAAACATGTTGCTTATGTTAAAAGAAAATTTTGAGTTTTCAAATGTATGATTCATAGTAATGAGCATTTATCAGAACTTTAATCACATAATTTTATATTGTAAAAAACTATGAGTCATGATAGAGCTCTATTAAAATAAATGAAATAAAACATTTCATTGATAAAAAATGTTCAAATGTATAATTCAGATTAAATATTTAAATAATGTTATAACTATTAAATGCATGTATCTCATATGTATATATATCCATAAGCCTAATAAGAACAGTTAAAATTTAATACCAACTACTTTTCTGAAACCGTGCCAAAAATATTATAATTTCTTTGTACATTTGCACTGTAAAATTTGCTTGGTTATAGAAACAAATGATTAAAATTTAATATGTAATATATTCACGTAGCAAAATGTAAAACAACTACCTAGGTTCTCCAGCTGAGGCCTTGTAAACTGAACTGACAAAAGATTAATAAGAGAAAAACAAACAGAATTTTGTTAGCATGTGCATCGTGCTTACAAACTGGAGTACCCAGAGATGAGTAATTCAAAGGCTTAGTTAGAACTTGGGTTTATACAACATCTTCCATTTTTAGAGCAGTGACAAGAAAAAGGAAAATGACTTGGTTTCTAGGCCAACAAATTATGAGAAGGCAAATATATGGGAAATGAGTAGTAGATGGCTAGTTAGCAAAGTTTGTTGTATAGATTCCTTCGGTGTCATCTTCGGGCTCATAGGGTGTAAAGTTGTCCCAGTAACTGAATTTTTTCCTTCTTGGTCTTTGCAAATTTATATCCTGCTTTTAGGCAAATATGAGACAGCTGAGAGCTTTTCTTGTATTTGCCTCTGCTCAAGTGTCTTCAGCTAAAAATAATCCTTATGCCCAAAGTGGCATATAGTGGGGTGGCATATTTTGCTACCTCTAAAAACGTAACACATTAAAAATTTATTTACAGCTTTAAATAATTTTATTATTAAAATAATATTATTAATATAAATATTTTTAAATTTTACATTAATTATTGTAGTTATACATCGATAACAATACATTTGAATTATATACCACACTTTTAACAGTTAAATTAACAATGTTTTTACTTGCTAAATTCTTTATGAAAATCAAGTAAATATTTACAAAATGTATAAATATTGAGAAATACCTTTTAACATTATCACTGAAACACTGCTTTTTTTATACCACATTATTCCTTGAGTTCTCAGTTCAAAAACATACAGTTTATAATGCCAAAATATCTATGTCCTGGTAATCAACAAATATGTAAGTGATTCAATAACCTCCAAATTGAATAAATATAAAATTATTTTAAAATCTCATGTGTTTTAGCAGCAGAATCTCAGAAATATACAGTTTTGTTTTGGTGATAGTAATGGCAATGTAAAGTTGGAAAAATAAGAGAAGCTTATAGGAATAATTGAGAATTATATTATTTTTAAAGTCATGTTAGAATTTTTCAATAATAAAGCACTTTTCCAAACATTTGATGTCAGCAAAATAAATAAATAAACCTTTGTCTGTTTGAATTCACATGGGATGTCATTCATGAAAGAATCAAAAGAAATGTGACATAAAACATTATATTTATATGCTATAAACCAATAATATACAAATAAAAATTTAAAACTATGTATGCACATAGTGGTATTTTACCTTTGCAATATTGGCTGTGTCTTTCTCTTCTGGATGACTTTTAAAATAAGTTGTCTTTAACAGTCAACAAACGTTGTTACTTTATTACATATTCAGATGTAGTGTTTCACATACTAAGTTGAGTATGTTTTGTTTCTTGCCCTCATTGATATATTTTAAGGGAAAACAATGACATTTATGTACTATAGAACACAGAGAATGACATAGGCTTTTATTAGAATTATGCAGGTCAAAATATATCAAGGATGTGGCCGGGTGCGGTAGCTCACGCCTGTAATCCCAGCACTTTGGGAGGCCGAGGCGGGCGAATCACGAGGTCAGGAGACCGGGACCATTTTGGCTAACACAGTGAAACCTCATCTCTACTAAAAATACAAAAAAATTAGCCGGGCGTGGTGGCGGGCACCTGTAGTCCCAGCTACTTGGGTGACTGAGGCAGGAAAATGCCTTGAACCCAGGAGGCAGAGCTTGCAGTGAGCCGAGATGGTGCCACTGCACTCCAGCCTGGGCGACAGAGGAAGACTCGGTCTCAAAAAAAAAAAAAAAAAAAAAAAAAAAAAAATATATATATATATATATATATATATATATATATACACACACACACACACACACACACACACACGCATACATACATACATATATATCAAGGATGCTAATTACTGACCTGAAGAAATGCCCACAGAAAAGATTACTTTTTTAGTGTAGGTCTAGAAGGAAGGGCAGACTTTCCATGTGGAAGGGCCATGTAAATTATTCCAGGAAGTGTTGGAAGGAGGTTGTCAAAATGTAACCCACAAAAATAGATACAAAGTATAAGTTAAAAGAAAGCCAAAGTTTTCTTCTGATTTGATCTCAATAACTGCAGAGAATATGATTACAATAATATTTAAGTGAACTGGGAACAATACTATTTTTAATTTAGAAAGTCATACATTACGTTGAATAACAGGCTTTGTTTGTAACTTAGGTTCTATATGCCATTTGTTTTCTGGGGAGCTTGTCTTTCTCCTCTAAGGCATGGACATTTTCCAAGCATTAGGAGACAGATTCCAGCACCAAACCAAGTATTAGGATACATCTTTTCAGTGAAGATCCTAAAAATAGCATGAAGGGAACTAGTGCATCTCTGGAAAGTGAGGGCACAACGGGAGTTCAACGAAGAAGCAGAAGTGGTACTAGGGGATTAGAGAGCATTGCAGGAAGAAAGCATAGGTATAAAGGGAATACAATGAGAGGCCTCAGAGGAAATAACGAGACAGCAGAAAAAAGCAAACTGCAGAGCAGACAAGAAAATGTACCTCAACACATAAGAGACAATGCACGTGTAAGAAAGAATGGAGAAAAACGACCGAAAGAGTATGAGACTTTTCAGAGGGGTTATTAAATGTCAAAAGACATCATGATTGCTGAACGCTGGGAAACTACAATATGGTAACAGAGGGAGATAGAACGACACAAATCAAAGTGGGCATGAGATCAAGAAAACTTGCCTGTGTTGAATTTCATGCTATCCCTGGCTACAGAATATATTCTAGGAAAACAATGACAAAATTTTCATGGAAATCATAAATATATACAAAGTCTGTCTATATTAAATTCTTTCCATCTACTTTATATATTTAGAAAATGATACAGTTATACTAAATAGGCTCTTGAAAATAAATTTTAGTTAGGAACTCAAATACTGGCAAAAATATAGATCAGAGTTATTCAGTTATTTAGGGTTCTTACATGCTTTACAAAATATACATAAACTCTATCTCCAGAAGAAATTGTATGTTAACATTTACAGATATTTAGGTTTAGTTCATTGTCTTGGAATTAATGTATTTCAGAGAGAAAGACTATAAAATAACAATTAGAAGTTGTCTCTTTTATTATATTTTTACACAAGAGTCAATGACCACATTTCTTAAGAAAATGTTGAAAGCAGAATCTTTTAAAAAGATGTTTTAATTTTACTCAAAAATAAATTTCAACATCAAAACTGTGAGTAGTTTTAATAAAACTTGAAATTTGAACTGATACTTGGCTTAGCAAACTGCATGGGAGCTGAGCCTTTAATCAATTTCTACAATGTATTTTGATGACAGAAAATGCTTGTGTTTTAGAGTGGATATGTACTACTGCCCAGAATTAGACATTGGGTGTCTCACTTTAACAAACAAAGGGAGATTTGTGTCAACCACGATTGAAATTCACCAAGATCCTTTACAGTTTACTCAGTCCAATGAAGCCACCTCTGTCAAGTTCAATCATCATGGAGTCTGTATTTGTCAGCATTTAAATGACTGTGAATGAACACTGAAATTATAAGCATATCATTTGCCTGCATTTCACCTTTATTTCATTATATGTTTTTTTACCTTTCATTGTTCTCAAAATTATCTAAAAGTGTACTGCATTACTTCTGGGTTTCTGCAGATGTTAGATTTGTATGAAAATGGCCTAGCTTTCTAACACTTTCTTGAAATCTGTGCAAGCTCTGCCTCTGACAACAAAATGTTCGCTTAACGTTCCTAATGTTAGAAATTGCTCAACACAATCTAATTTTTCTTCTTCTTCCTGGCTATACCTAGCATTTCCCAGCATTTGGTATAGTTAACTATAGCCATGGGACAGTTTCAGTCAAGGGGGTTTGAACACTGAAATAATCTGAATTATTTCTGGTCCTGGAGGGCTCATAATAACTCCCACACATGCTCTATTATATTATTTCTCCTTCTGGCTGACTGGAGTGCAGATGATTCTAACGACAACTTGGAAGCCATATTTTGAAGAGGGTGGAAGAGCCTTGGTAAGCCTTTATCCAATAACAACTGAGCATAAGCAGGCTACCCCAGCAACTTCTTTACCTGCTCAGTATTGTTGCAAGAGAAAGAAACATAGTCTTATCATGCCTTAGCCTGCAGACATCCTGGTACTTTTCTGTTGTAGAAATTCGACAATCTAAATGATGTAGAAATGTGTGCCTTGATATGGGTGGTTGAAGTAAAATAATTTAAAACATGTGCCAGTGGACCTGTAGACTGGTGGTGAGAAAATAGACAAGGTATGTTAGAAAGATGTATATCCTTGTTATTCACCAGTAAACATTTGGCAATATTATCACACATGGTGGAAGTGGGCCAGGTTCCTACTGATCCTGTAGTTTCAGGGAATTGTTTGAGAAGATTCAGTAAATGTATATTAAAAGAAAGAGATGAGCTCTGGGGGAAAAAAAGAGTCCAGTTTCAGGTATAAATTTAAGGGAATACAAGAATTACAGAAATTGAGGTTTTGCTGAGTTGGAATCGGTTTTAGACACCAAAGAGTAAGAAATTAGACTGTAAACAGCTTTCCATAACAAAGCCTTCAATACTTCTCAGATAAATTGAAACATACCCGTGTCACTCCTAGGTGGGCTGCAGTCCTGTCTTCCTTTTCTTTGTTATCTGTGGGTCCAGTTGTTTCCTTGATTAGTCCCAGTGCAAGTACCAGGAGGTTTCAATTGAAGGTGCTGTATTTACTCTTCCCTTTCAGTCCTTTCTGTAAGAGCCACACACTGTAGCTGCTTCTAGTCGGCCATGCAAATCAAAACCACAATGAGATGCCATCTCACACCAGTCAGAATGGCTATTATTAAAAAGTCAAAAAATAACAGATGCTGGTGAGGTTTGGAGAAAAAGGAACACTTACACACAGTTGGTGGGAGTGTAAATTAGTTTAACCATTGTGGAAGGAAGTGTGGCAATTCCTCAAAGACCTAAAGACAAAAACATCATTTGACTCTGCCACCCCATTACTGGGTATATACTCAAAGGAATATAAATCATTCTATTATAAAGACATGTGCATGTGTTTTTTCATTCCAGCCCCGTTCACAATAGCAAAGGCATGGAATCAACCTAAATGCCCATCAATGATAGATTGGATATAGAAAATGTGGTACATATACACCATGGAATACTATGCAGTTATAATAAAGAACAAGATTATGTCCTTTGGAGGTATATGGATGGAGATGGAGGGCATTATTCTTAGCAAACTAACACAGGAACAGAAAATCAAATACCACATGCTCTCACTTACAAGTGGGAGTAAATGATGGGAACACATGAACACGTAGAGGGGAACGACATACACTGTGGCCTATCAGACAGTAGAGGGTGGAAGGAAGGAGAAGATCAGGAAAAATAAATGATAGGTGCTAGGTTTAATACCTGAGTGATAAAATAATTTGCTCAGCAAACCCCCATGACACACATTTACCTGTGTAAAAAACCTGTACATGTACCACAGAACTTAAAATAACAGTTAAAAAATTACAAAAATAAAATTAAAAAAAAGTTCTTGCAAATGATCCAACATCATGTTTTAAGAAATTACATTGTGAAATGTACCATACGTGCAAAAAAATGTCTCAAAGGTATTTACAAAAACAAACCAAACAACAAAAATACTAGCCCCATCACAAAACTTAGAGTTCAGATGTTATTTACATCCAGGCCTATTATTTCAGTTGGCTTCTGATATGGTTTGGCTGTGTCCCCACTAAAATCTCATCTTAAATTTTAGCTCCCATAATCCCCTGGTGGGAGGTAATTGGATCATGGGGGCGGGTCTTTCCCATGCTGATCTCATGATAGCAAATGAGTCTCATGAGATCCAATGGTTTTTTAAAGGGTAGCTCCCCTGTACACACTCTCTCTTGCCTGCTGCCATGTAAGACATACCTTTGCTCCCCTTCACCTTACACTATGATTGTGAGTCCACCTCAGCCATGTGGAAGTGTGAATCCATTAAGCCTCTTTTTCTTTATAAATTACCTAGTCTTGGCGATTTCTTTATAGCAGTATGAAAGTGGACTAATACAGCTTTGTCCTGCTATCAATTTAAGAGACAAAGATAGTATATGGATGCAGGAAACAAAGAAATGAAGGATTTATGAGACATGTCTAGTAAAGAACTTTCAGTAGTGGCACATGAGACTATATGTGAGAAATCAGGCCAAATGCCTTCTAATATATTAAGGATTTGATTTGTATTTGTGAAGAAAATGAGAATCCTGAATTAATAAAGATTAGATTGTAAAAAAAAAAAAAAAAGGTCTAGGTTTACAGCGGCGGAAAGAGTACTGTAAAATGTATGCAGCACTCTGAGTCACAAAGGTGACTTATGTCATACCACAACAACACTTCCTAAGTGGCTGTGATGAAACGGAAAATAACATCATCCCAGAAACATACTGTGTTGCCACCAAAAAGCAGTAGACAAGGCATTGCCTTCTAGTAAACAGAATCAATTCAAATAAAAAAATGTTCCCCTCTGTGAAGTTCGAGACGGACATCTCAATGTTTACTGGGAAGTAGCGAGCCATCACCATGCACCATTCATTTCTATGTATTTCTTTTATCTTACTGAGCCCTTAATCAGATCACCCATTCCCAGCTCCACAATTGTATATTGTGTTTGGTATGCGTGTGTGTGAATGAGGTAGGAGGGTAGTTGCTTTGTCTACCTAGTTTTTTAGTTTTTGGACCAGAAGGAATCATATACACAGGCTGTAGAGGACAGAATATTCTTTAGCTTTTATAGCTTCACAGTCCTGCACATTTCAGTACAAGGAGTGGGAACCATTATAAAAATAAATAAATAAACATAAAATGTAGGTAAGTTCTCACAATGAAAAAGGTAAATATATAAGTCTGTTTACATGAAGCTAATAAAGACATATCCAAGACTAGATAATTTATAAAGGAAAGAGGTTTAATTGACCCAAGTTCCACATGGCTGGGAGGCCTCACAATCATGTCAGACGGCAAAGAAAGAGCAAAGTCACATCTTATATGGTGGCAGGCAAGAGAACATGGGCAGAGGAACTCCCCTTTATAAAACCATCAGGCCTCCTGAGACTTATTCACTTTCACGAGAACAGCACAGGAAAGACCCACACCTGTGATTCAATTACCTCCCACCAGGTCCTTCCCATGACACCTGGGAGTAATGGGAGCTGCAATTCAAGATGAGATTTGGGTGGACACACAGTCAAACCATATCATTCTGCCCCAGCCCCTCCCAAATCTTACGTTCTCACATTTCAAAACCAAACGTGCCTTCCAGACAGTTCCTCAAAATCTTAAATCATTTCTGCATTAAGTAAAAAGTCCACAGTCCAAAGTCTCATCTGAGACAAGGCAAGTTTCTTCTGTCTATAAGCCTGTAAAATCAAATGCAATTTCATTACTTACTAGATACAATGGGGTTCAAAAGTCACTTCCACATTTTCGAGTATCCTTGTAGTACCACCCCACTATACCAGTACTAATTTACTGTATTAGGCTGTTCTCAGGCTGATGACAAAGACATACCTGAGACTGAGTAATTTATAAAGGAAAGAGATTTAATTGACTCACAGTTCCACATGGCTGGGGAGGCCTCACAATCATGGCAGAAGGCAAAGGAAGAGCAAAGTCATATCTTATATGGCATCAGGCAAGAGAACTTGTGCAGGGGAGTGCCCCTTTATAAAACCATCAGGTCTTGTGAGGTTTATTCACCATCATGAGAACAGCACAGGAAAGACCTGCTCCCCATGGGAGCTACAATTCAAGATGAGATTTGGGTTGGGACAAAGCCAAACCATATTAGTAACTAGCAATAATTTTATTTCCTCTAGCATATCTAAATTGAACTATGTATAATAATTAATTGCTCTTTAATTGCTATCAATACTACTGATTCTGGATATTACAACATAAAATTTTTGACAATTGTACATTTACCATTGCATATTAAAATATGACCCAATAATTTTCAGACAAACTGATCTATGAAAAAAATTCAAAGACAACTATTAAAATATAACTAAGGAAAGAAATTTGCATATTATATTAATATATATTGATGTACAATTTATAAAGACAAGCCTCAAAATAAGTGGAAGAAAATTAAAATATATTTATATAGCTATACATATAAATAACATAATACATATAGGCATACTTCATTTTATTACGATTGATTTTATTGTACTTCCAAGATACTGCATTCTTTTACAAATTCAATGTGTAAACCCTGTATTAGCAAGTCACTTGTCAGCATTTTTCTCACTTCACATGCTTGTGTCACATTTTGATAATTCTAGCAATATTTCAAGCTTTTCCATTACTGTTATCTCCGATATGGTGATTGGTGATGAGTGATCTTTGATGTTACTAATGTAATTTTTGGAGGCACCATGAACTGCACTCATATAAAATGACAAATTTAATTAATAAATATTATGTGTGTTGTGACTGTTCCACCACCTGTCTGTTTCTCCATCTTTCTCCCTTTCCTTGAGCTTCCCTTTCCCTGGATATACAACAATATTGAAATGAGGTTGGTTAGTAACTCTACAGTGACCTCTAAGTATTCAAGTGAAAGAAACAGTTCCACGTCTCTCACTTTAAATCAAAAGCTAGAAATAATTAAGCTTAGTGGTTAGAAAGCCAATAAAGGCTGAAAGGTAGGCACTCGTGCCAAATAGCCAAGTTATAAATGCAAAGGAAAAGCTCTTGAAAGAAACTAAAAGTGCTACTCTGGTGAATATATGAATATTAAGAAAGCTAAATAGCCTTATTGCTGATATGCAAAGTTTTAGTGGTCTGAATAGATCAAACCATCCACAACAATCCCTTAAGACAAAGCCTAATCCAGAGAAAGGCCCTAACTCTCTTCAATTTTACGAAGGCTGACAGAGGTGAGAAAGCTTCAGAAAAAAAATTGCAAGTTAGTAGAGGTGGTCCACAATGCTTAAAGAAATAAGCCATCTCTATATCATCAAAGTTCAAGGCGTGGCAGTAGGTGCTAATGTAGAAGCTGCAGCAAGTTGTCCAGAAGATGTAGCTAAGATAATTAATGAAGGTGGATACACAAAACAAGAAATTTTCAATGCAAAGGTGATGCTATTTAGGATTTTAATAGCTAGAGAGGAAAAGTCAATGCTTCAAAGCTTCGAAGGACAGGCTGATTCTCTTGTTAAGGGTTATGCAGCTGGTGACTTTAAGTTGAAGCCAATGCACATTTACAAAAATCCTACATGCCTAAAGAATTATGCTAAATCTACTCTGCCTAAATCTACTGTGCCTATGCACATCTGTTTACTGCATTGTGTACTGAATATTTTAAGCTCACTCTTGAGACCTACTATTCAGAAAAAAAGATTCCCTTCAAAATATTACTGCTCATTGATAATGTACCTGGTCAACCAAGAGTCTGATGGAGATGTAAAAAGAGATTAATGTTGTCTTCATGCCTGCTAACACAACATCTGTTCTACACTCAAAGGTCAAAGAGTAATTTCAACTTTCAAGCATTATTATTTAAGAAATACATTTTAGAAAATGTACATTTTATGGTCATAGCTGCCATAGATAGTGCTTCCTCTAATGGATCTGAGCAAAGTAAAAAGCAAGTATCAATCAATGTGGCAAACTCCACTTGTTATTTTATTTTAGGAAATTGCCACAGCCACCCAACCTTCAGCAATCACCACCCTGATCAGTCACCACCCATTAACATAAAGACAAGACCCACCATCAGCCAAACGATTAGGACTTGCTGAAGACTCAAATGATTGTTAGCATTTTTTAGTATAAAATGTTTTTAATTTAAGAAATGTACTTTGGTTTTTCTAGACACAATTATGTGTCCAAGACTTAATTATCTGCAATATAGAATAAACATAACTTTAATGAACTGGGAAACCAAAAACTTCACTTTTTGTAGTGATCTGAAACCAAACCAGCAATATCTCCAAGGTATGACTCTACATACTTAATATATTTAAAATGTAATATAATTAGAATATTTAAAATATAATAATGCATTATCTAAATATATAGTCATCCATTATGCATAATTTATGTTAAAATTATTATAAATCATTTTAATGCATTACATAAATTTTGGTTCTGTTATTTTTCTTTCTTTTTTTTTTTTTTTTAGAATCAGGGTCTTACTCTGTTACCCAGGTGAGAGCACAGTGGCACAATCATAACTCAAGGTAGCCTCAAATTCTTGGGCTCAAGACATCTTCCCACTTCATCCTCCTGAGTAGCTAGGGGCTGTAGGCCTGTACCACATCCAGCTAATCATTTACAACATTTTAATACTATATATTGAGATCTTAATAAAGTTATATGCATATAATTATCAAACTGAATTATTAACTGAAAATTGCATGTATTTTTGCTAATTACTACAAATAGGGAAAACCATTATATACTTTATCCTCTGTTCAATATATCTTTTGTGCAAGTGATAAATATGTCAAAATCTTTTAAAGCAAAATTTCAGATAATATTATCTACAGCGATCATATTAAATGTATATACATTTTTTTCAACATCTATATTTAGAGAAAATTGACTAATTATAGTCAATTTATGAATTATAAACTAAACTTTTACCGATTCTTCATGAATTAATTTAATTCTTCTTGAAGTACATATTTGCATTTAATAATTAAGGGGGTATTAAGAAATATATTCACAAATATATTGATTTTGTTCAGTACATCTATACTGCTTTTGTATTCTATTGCTCTGCAACAACTTACTGCAAATTTAATGGCTTAACACAACACAAATTTATTATCTTACATTTTCATAGGCCAGGAGTCCTGGGATGGGTTCATAGGCCTGGGAGTCCTTTGCTCAGGGTCTCACCAGGCTGAAATGAAGATGTTAGCTGGGACTGTGATCTCATCTGAAGTTTGGGATCCTTGTCCAAGTTCAGTGATTATTGGAAGGACTCAATTTTTTTGCAGGTGCAAAACTGAAGTCCCTACATTCTTGCTTGCTCTCAGCCTGGGACAATTCATAGCTCCTAGACACTGTTCACCATAACCGGCCCTGTGGCGAATGACACAGCAGTTTCCTTCTTCATAGACAGGAGCAGAACACCTGCTGCAGCGCCAAATACCATAAATTTATACAAAGAAGAAGAAAAAAACAAAACTGTCTAAGTTTTTTCATCTGTAGCCTCCAGACATATTTTCAAATGGCCTCACCTCATCCTGGGACTCACCCAGGATGATCTATTTAACTTAACTGAGTAGGGATTTATACGTCTTCAAAATCCATTAGCAGCAGCACCTTGATCAGTGTTTCAGTAGCTGAGGGAATGTGTACCTCAGGAGAAGGAATCTTAGGGACCATCTTTGAACTCTACCTACCACACACACACAGGCAAATAGAATATGATAGCTTTGTAGAGAAGTCCACTTAATTAATTGGATTCAGATGCAGTCATATTTTGCAACTTAATAAGTACTACAATATCTTATAAGTAGTCACTATTCTGTTTATAAAATGTGTGTGTATATATGTATAATAATTTGGAATATTCGGTAAGATACAAAAATATATCTTATACTCTACCATTGTGTTCACATAATTGTATTCTATGTTTTCAGAAGAAATTAAGTTTAATTGTCACCTTTTTACTATTTCCAATATTAAAATATACTTAAGGCCAGGTGCAGTGGCTCACTCACACCTGTAATCCCAGCACTTTGGGAGACCAAGGCAGGTGGATCACTTGAGCTCAGGAGTTTGAGACCAGCCTGGGCAACATGGCATAACCCCATCTCTACAAAAAGTACAAAAATTAGCCAGGCATGGTGGGGTGTGCCTGTGGTCCTGTAGTCCCAGCTACTTGCAGGGCTGAGGTGGGAGGATCACTTGAGCACAAGAGGTTAAGGCTGCAGTGAGTAGCAATTTCACCACTGCACTCTAGCCTGGATAACAGAATGAGACCTTGTCCCCCCTACAAAAAAAAAAAAAAAAAAAAATCCCTTAATGTAAAACTTTTTACCAATTAGGTGGCACATCTCAGGGATTCAGTAATATACGTTGATAAAACAAATGTTCAAGATATAGATTTTGATATCAATAATTAATGATTTGTATTGAGTTCATTTTTGGCTTAATATATATTTCTGATGGAATTATCTTTTCAAGTTTAATATATGGCTTATGCTATTGATCTAGCTATACATAGTTATGATTCCACTGGATAATACAGTCTTATTTTAGACATCTACAAATTTTGATATGTACTTTATAGATCAAGCCCTAGTATGCATTAATCAAGCTGCAGATATTAGAAGCTCTAAGAGTTTTATTCTTTATTAATCAATATACACTTTTAGCATTTTCAGAAAAATGTGTTAAAGCTTTCTAATTACCTCTTTAATTTCAAGGCTTAAATTCCATGAATTATTTCAGAAATTTTAAGATTACAGCATTGCAAAATCTTATTGATACTTAATTATATTTTATCACAAACCATATAATTAAATGATCTCTATCTTCTGTTTTTGTGTAAAACTCCACTTGGACTTCTTTATTAATTATAAAACAAACCACTTACAATGAGCTATAATGTTAGTCACATGGAAAACACGTTAGGCAAAAATACTTTCTGCATATAGTTGTAATTCAGTAATTGTTTCACTATCACTCAGAAGATAATTATTTTATACACTGGTTGCATTCAGTCCAAAATTTAAATCATTTTCCCTCATTAGAGAATAGTAAAATGTAAGAGAAATATAAATTTCATGTTTTTAATTTGTTCAAAATTTTAAAACATTAAGTTTTGTAACACTGTCGCCATGCTCTGTTGACAGATATATTAGAAGAGGGTGGAACAAACTCATAAAGTATGAGGCCTCCTTGGTTCAAAGAAAGTAGAGACAGAACACTCAAATATATATTATTTCCATTTATTTGTTTTTTTAAAGGGGAATTTTGGGGTAATGCCAAACAATAATATTTATGTTTATAGTCTAGAACTTTGTTGTGTTCTTTTGTTAAAATTTCCCACCAATTTTATTCTCATTTCAGAGGGGAAGGTCATACATATTTTAAAACTTCACATATATAAAGGATTAAATAGCTAAATAACGTTTGTAAAATAAAATAAAATAATTCATTTAATTTTATTCTCAATACTAGGGAGAAAATAAGTGTCATATTTTTGGACACCTGATCCAAAATAGGATCAAAGGTAGATTCCAGATGGTCACATTATATAATTAGATGTTTTGCGAATTTCCTAATGCTTAGGTCACTTTCCTAGGAAATCTTCAAAAAATGTCCTTAGCTATGTGAGGTTGGGTTAAAAACATATCTTCTGCTTTCCGCTTCATTATTTGCAGAACTGGAAGTGTCTTTCCACTCAGCAAATGCTATGAAGTCTGAGATAGATGAATAAGTAGAAATTTTCCCCAGAACTACTGCTCTGAACTGCAGCTTTTTATAAGTGTTCACTATAGAGAATAGCATAAGACATCTCTATCTAATCTATCTCTCTCTCTCTATCTATCTATCTATCTATCATCATCTATTATCTACCACTCTATCAATAATTTATCTATCTATTCAATCAACTACTTACCTATTTATTGAGCCATATTATACTTTTCCAAATACAGTATCATGCTCAGGAAAATGCTGATAGTATATTATTAATCTTTCCTTTCTCTCAAATGACAACTTAAGATTCATCTCTGCATCTACTCTTGGACCTGTTGTTGTGGTCAACAGAGGTTATATAGTTTATATAAACTCGACAAGAAGATATGTACACTATTTTGCATTAAAATTAATGAGCTTAGGAGTTTAGATGGTACTTAAGAGTTAAGCTTATGTACCAAAACTCTCAAAGTAGTTGACCATTACGCCTCCAAATTCTTAAGGCCATCGAAAACAAGTAGACTTAATATTTTTATCCTTATTATAATGCTGTTTCTACTTTTTTAAAAAAATTACTTGTTCCTTTTTAAAATTTATTTAAAATTTAGTTTAATTTTTTTAATTAACAAAAACCCTATGTAACTGAGTGCAAGCTTGGCTGCTCACGGCTTGTAAAGTCAACGAAAAAGGACAAGATGCAGGGAAAGGAAAATGACTTTATTCCAAAAGCTAGCAGTTGGGGAAATGACCAAGCTCATGCCTTAAAGAAACCATTTCAGATTTTGAACTGAGAGCAGTGGTCTAAGCAAGGAAATTTGGCTTGAGGGGCATGCAGGAGTGGTGAGGAGGTGGCGGTCTACATATCCTTTTCTGACAACTATCTTGAGTTATTTTCCCACCGGGTGTTGGGGCTGGCATGATCGGGTACAGCCTGTGTGTAAAAATTAATTGAAATCTTGAGTTAATCTCCAGGTGTGATGAGAATTCCAAAGTTGACTAGATTGTCTCAAGAGTTAGACCTTGGAACTTCTCAGAAATCATTAATTAGATAAGAAAAACATTGTACAAGGGCATGTCTGGTGGAAAAAGGAGAGCAGGGGCTAATACATGACTAAGAGCAAAACAAAAAATGAACAAAGGAGAGAGTTTTTAAAATAGGATACTCTGATATGTATGTACTTATTGGGTACAACATGATGTTTTGAAATATGTGTACATTGTGGAATGGCTTGATAGAGCTAACTTATGCATTCATTCCCTCACACTCATCATTTTTGATAGTGAGAATACTTAAAATGTACTCTGTTAGCTATTTTCAAACTACAATGCATTGTCATTTACTATAGTCACCATTTTGTACAATAAATCTCTTGGATTTATTCCTTCAGTCTAACTGAAATTCTGTACCCTTTGACCAACGTCTTCCCAACTCCCCACCCTCCCAGCCCCTGTTAACCATCACTCTACTCTCTATTTCTATGAAATCAGATTTTTCACAGATTCCACATTGACAACATGGATGAATCTGGAGGACATTATGTTAAAGGAAATCAGCCAGGCACAAAAAAGAAAAAATTGCTGCTTCACAAAATTACTTGGCAAATAATTCTGCTTAAAAATGATCTAGAAATATGACAATGGGCAAAGTAACTGCCTTTCAAGCCAAGAAAATATTTTCTGAATTTCCATTTGCATCATATCTTTCACTGATATGTATTTATTCTAGTATCTTCCCTGGACTAGAATAATTGTAAAATTTTTCCCCCTGCTATCATGTAAAACATCCTTGTACTGTCAAAGGACAGTTTAGTTACTCAGCAGGTTCCAGCAAAGGAACTACTTTCTCTGCAAGCAACCATAATTTAGTTCTGCTTTGTTAGTATCTTTATCTGAAACATACAGTAAAAAGGTCTTCTTTTGAAACCATTAAAACGTGCCTATTCCATAATGTAACTTCAAGTTATATCTTGAATGCTTACTAGTACTTACAATTAAATAAATATTTCTTTACTTTTTAAAATAAATCCTAATACTATAATTTGTTTGCATTAATGTCTTATGGTGGTTATTTATGAAAATAAATGCCTTGATTACACAAATATTTGAGATTGCTAAAAATGATATTGAGGAAGATATTTAACTATTTATTTTTCCAATATCCAAGGCTGAAATTGGAGAGGCTAAAGACTACATTCTGATAAAATACTGAGGCTAAAGCTGTTTGTCATCCCTGCTTCCTTACTTAGTACCTCAATTTCTTTTTACTACATGCTATCTCACAATAATTATGCCTTTTTTAGTATGTTTCTCATGAGTTTTCCTTTATTGTTTTCCATTTAACTTTTGATAAATTTCTTTTGGTTTCTGTATATTTTTAGCATGTAATTGATCACACATACATCATATTTTGTGGATAAGCCGCTCCATATATTACTGGTTAGCATTATCTAACACAGTGAATATATGTGGAAGGATTTTCATTGTATGATTGGTGGGCATGACATGTATTTTTGCACTTTCAAGTAAAATATCATTATAAACAAAACTATAAAAACAAGTGAATTCACAATAAACACATTGATTACAATGTTTAAAATTTCTTGCAAGCTTTGTGGGGCTTTTTTCCCTCCAATTTGTTTGTGCTCTTATTTATCTTGTTTAGAACTGCATGGTACAGATAAAAGCGGTGAGTTTGTTGAGTGAGAGAACCATTTAGTCTCTGTGATGAGTGATGTGTTAAGTATTTCTACCTGTTGTTAGAATAATAATAACTAGAATAATTCTAAGAATAATAATGGTCATAAGTGGCATGCTTTAAAAAATCTACCTCAGTGAAAACAAGTATAAATAAATTATGTTAAAGAAGTTATAACTATAAATGAAAGAAATAATACTGTTACATAGAAAATTAGAAACTGCATCAGAATGTTTAGTATGTGGGATCTAAACAGTAAAAGCAGTGGTGTGGAAAGTAAAAGTTGTAGTGGAGGAAAAGGGAGGAAGACAATGACCTTTTATTGTCAATGTACCTCTATGTCCACATTAGATCTGTCACATCTTTTACCAGCGACTGATTTTTTAATCTAATCCACAGAGTTATTTTCATAGATTTGTCCATTGATAGGTATTAAAGATGGCTGTTTACTCTAAAAGAGATACTAAAGTAAAGAAAATTTTCATCACTGGGCTTCTCCACAGCTGACAACAAATAAAATTAGTAAAATACCATATTTCCAAAAAAAATTGAACTTTCATTTGCCTATGTGAAAAGGCAAAAGTACTTGTGTATCAATATATGAATTTACTTCTCTTCCTTCTGTGCCCTTCCTAAATTTCCTAGTTATCTGTTCTATTTTATTCGTCCATACAATGATTTTTAATTCAGCCAGCATTTCGTTTTCTCACCAGCCTATTTTTCTTGTATAAATTCTTAAAATTAAGTAATTTTTGTTTGAATATTTCAGCATTGCTTGTTAGTTATTATGCACACCTCTTACAACTCTTGGCACATGGCAGACTTTTAACAAAAATATATTGAATAAATCACACAATTACAAGTAAATTACATCACACAATTACAAGTAAACAGAATGTGGCAGTATTCCTAAAATAGTAGTACCCCAACAGCAGAGTTTTCTGCTATCAGGAAGCCTACTTTTCTTATTCATTTCATACATTTTAAAAATTGTTCATAAATTAGCTGAAATGATTTTAACATTTGAATGAGATTTTTTTTGTGTGGCACCAAAGAACTTATACAAATGTGATACTTTAACCTAAATATACTACACCCACAGGACACAATAGTTAAATACAATTTCAAAATAGAATTATATTTATTGACCATAGAAATCCAACCAAAGAGAAGCAGTGCTTGAAATGAATCAATACCATAAAAGGGAGAGAGAAAAAGGAAGCATTATTTTTCATCCCAATATGTATATACATTTTACTTTCTCATTAATGTATTCCATTGCAGTTATGAAGTTCTTACACACACACGCGCGCACACGCGCACACGCACACACACGTATAGTTCCCTAATAACTCAAGCTAGAACATTTTCCAGCAAGTAAAGAAGGATGGTCAAGCAATAAGGTATTTAAATCTGAGCAGCTGGAAAGACCCAGGAGAAAATATTAATCTTTATAGCCAGCATTTGGTTAAATTGCAGTATGAAACAGATTTATTTGGAATGTCTTAAATTCTAAAGTTGGACAACCTTTGTTAAACTCTGGAGAGGACAATATTTTATTTTGAGCCTAACAAATTAAAGATCAACCTGGGCCATCTGGGTCTGTAATAAGAACAAATAGCACTAGCATGGTTAGCAAATATCATAGCGTGGTTAAAGGGATGTTGCAAACATAGCTGTCTATAGATGCTGTAATTTACAGACATTTTCTATTTCCTCTGATAATAAATTTAATTTATTCTTTTGGCCCTTTATTTTGGATAATTTTTCTCCCACTTCATCAATACATTTCCAAGGAGTACAGAATCATTAAAGTTAGGTAGATGAAGTTCAGGGGTATGACACACTGTATGTAAAACAATTTCAATATCTCATAAATTTGCTACATATAGTTTTCTCTCCTAGATTTATTAGTTAACAAATAAAAGTTATTCAAGCGAATTGTAAATTTTCTATTTTTAGTTTATTCATTGTCTATAATATTAGCTAGGAAGGATTTTTAAAATAATGATTACAGGAATTTTTAGTAACATAACACTAACCATATGAAAAACTTCCAGAAAGAATACTTACTTTAAATTGCACCATAAAGTCACATTTTTTTACTCTCTCTCTCTCTTTGCACTAGCAATATTTTATTTTTCTCTTTTAGGTCAAATATTTCATTCTCATTGGCAATTCAAACTAATGTGTGAGTGTAAAGATGAAAATGAATGCAAAGAAATTTCATTTTGACAACAGCAAATTGATAATTAGTAGCTCATGCTTCATGGGAAACTATCATCTTCTATCTCAATGATTTTCAAGTATAGCTAATACCACTATATTTCAAGTATAGCTAATACTACTATTTAATGATATTTGGAAATTGATGAGGACACTTCTGATTGCTATAGACTTAGCAGTGCTACTGGTGGGTAGAGTATAGATGGCAGGGATGTTTAAATCCTGCATTGTGTGGGGGTAGTGTCAAATGTCAAATGTTAAACCATGAAGGTGGTTCCTGGTGATATTCACTTTGTAAAAAAAAAATATATATATATTATATATATATATATAATATATATATATATGCTTTGTTTATTTCTTTTGTTTTTCTTGTTTTTTTGTTTTGATTTTCTTTTATTATACTTTAAGTTCTGAGATACATGTGCAGAACGTGCAGGTTTGTTACATAGATGTACATGTGCCTTTGTGGTTTGTTGCACCCATCAATCCATCATCTACATTAGGTATTTTTCCTAATGCTAGCACTCACCTTGCCCTCCACCCTCCGACAAGCCCCTGTGTGTGATGTTCGCCTCGCTGTGCCTGTATATTCTCATTGTTCAACTCCCACTGATGAGTGAGAACATGCGGTGTTTGATTTCCTGCCGCTGTGTTAGTTTGCTGAGAATTATGGTTTCCAGCTTCATCCATGTACCTGCAAAAGATATGAACTCACTCTTTTTTATGGCTGCATCTTATTTCGTGGTGCATATATACCACATTTTCTTTATCCAGTCCAACATTGATGGGCATTTGGATTGGTTCCAAGTATTTGCTGTTGTGAATAGTGCTGCAATAAACATACATGTTCATGTGTCTTTATAGTAGAATGATTTATAATCCTTTGGGTATATAGCCAGTAATGAGATTGCTGGGTCAGATGGTATTTCTGGTTCTAGATCCTTGAGGACTTGCCACACTGTCTTCCACAATGGTTGAATTAATTTACACTCCCACCAACAGTGTTAAACCGTTCCTATTTCTCCACATTCTTACCAGCATCTGTTGTCTCCTGACTTTTTAATGATTGCCATTCTAACACACAGTGGGTATCTCATTGTGGTTTTGATTTGCATTTCTCTAATGACCAGTAACGATGAGCTTTTTTTCATATGTTTGTTGGCCACATAAATGTCTTTTGAGAAGTGTCTGTTCACATCCTTTGCCCACTTTTTGATGGGATTGTTTGTTTTTTTTTCTTGTAAATTTGTATAAGTTCTTTGCAGATTCAGGATATTAGCCCTTTGTCAGATGGATAGATTGCAAACATTTTCTCCCATTCTGTAGGTTGCCTGTTCACTCTGATGATAGTTTCTTTTGCTGTACAGAAACTCTTTAGTTTAATTATATCCCATTTGTTAATTTTGGCTTTTGTTGCAATTGCTTTTGGTGTTTCAGTCATGAAGTCTTTGCCCATGCCTATGTCCTGAATGGTATTGCCTAGGTTTTCTTCTAGGGGTTTTTTTTTTATAGTTTTAAGTCTTACATTTAAACCTTTAATCCATCTGGAGTTAATTTTTGTATAAGGTATAAGGGAGGGGTCCAGTGACTGTTTTCTGCATATGGCTAGCCAGTTTTCCCAACACCATTTATTAAATAGGGAATCCTTTTGCCATTGCTTGTTTTTGTCAGGTTTGTCAAAGATCAGATGGTTGTAGATGTGTGGTGTTATTTCTGAGGCCTCTGTTCTGTTCCGTTGGTCTATATATTTATTTTGGTACCAGTACCATGCTGTTTTGGTTACTGTAACCTTGTAATATAGTTTGAAGTCAAGTAGCATGATGCCTCCAGCTTTGTTCTCTTTGCTTAGGATAGTCTTGGCTACGAGGGCTCTTTTTGATTCCATATGAAACTTAAAGTCGTTTTTTCTAATTCTATGAAGAAAGTCAATGGTAGCTTGATGGGAATAGCTTTGCATCTATAAATTACTTTAGGCAGCGTGGCCATTTTCATGATATTAATTCTTCCTATCCATAAGCAAGAAATGTTTTTCCATTTGTTTGTGTCGTCTCTTATTTCTTTGAGCAGTGGTTTGTAGTTCTCCTTGAAGAGGTCCTTCACATCCCTTGTAAGTTGTATTCCTAGGTGTTTTATTCTCTTCATAGCAATTGTGAATGGGAGTTTGCTTATGATTTGGCTCTCAGTTTGTCTATTATTGGTGAATAGGAATGCTTGTGATTTTTGCACATTGATTTTGTATCCTGAGACTTTGCTGAAGTTGCTTATCAGCTTAAGGAGTTTTGGGGCTGAGACCATGGGGTTTTCTAAACATACAATCACGTCATCTGCAAACAGAGATAATTTGACTTCCTCTCTTCCTATTTGAATACCTTTATTTCTTTCTCTTTCCTGAATGCCCTGGCCAGAACTTCTAATACCATGTTGAATTGGAGCGGTGAGAGAGGACATCCTTGTCTTGTGCTGGTTTTCAAAGGGAATGCTTCCAGCTTTTGCCTATTCAGTATGACATTGGTTGTGGGTTTGTCAAAAATAGCTCTTATTATTTTGACATATGGCCCATTAATACCTACTTTATTGAGTGTTTTTAGTATGAAGGGTGTTGAATTTCATCAAAGGCCTTTTCTGCATCTATTGTGATAATCGTGTGGTTTTTGTCATTGGTTCTGTTTATGCATTTATTGGTTTGTGTATGTTGAACCAGCCTTGCCTGCCAGGGATGAAGCCAACTTCATCAGGGTGGATAAGTTTTTTAATGTACTGCTGGATTTCGTTTGCCAGTAGTTTGTTGAGGATTTTCGCATCAATGTTCATCAGGGATATTGGCCTGAAATTTTCTTTTTGTGTGTGTGTGTCTCTGCCAGGTTTTGTTATCAGGATGATGCTGGCCTCATAAAATGAGTTGGGGAGGAGTCCCTCTTTTTCTATTGTTTGGAATAGTTTTAGAAGTAATGGTACCTGCTCCTCTTTATTACCTCTGATAGAATTCGGCTGTGAATCCATCTGGTTGTGGGCTTTTTTTGGTTGGTAGGCTATTAATTATTGCCTCAATTTCCAAACTTGTTATTGGTCTATTCAGTGATTCAGCTTCTTCCTGGTTTAGTCTTGGCAGGGTGTATGTCCAGGAATTTATCCATTTCTTCTAGATTTTCTAGTTTATTTGCATAGAGGTGTTTATAGTATTCTCTGATGGTAGTCTGCATTTCTGTGGGATCAGTGGTGATACCCCCTTTATCATTTTTTATTGTGTCTATTTGATTCTTCTCTCTTTTCTTCTTTATTAGTCTGAGTAGTGGTCTATCTATTTTGTTAATCTTTTCAAAAAACCAGCTCCTGGATTATTTTATTTTTTGGAGGGTTTTTTTGTGTCTCTATCTGCTTCAGTTCTGCTGTGATCTTAGTTATTTCTTGCCTTCTGCTAGCTTTTGAATTTGTTTGCACTTGCTTCTCTAGTTCTTTAAATTGTGACGTTAGGGTGTTGATTTGAGATCTTTCTAGTTTCTGATGTGTGCATTCAGTGCTATAAATTTCCCTCTACACACTGCTTTAGCTATGTCCCAGAGATTCCAGTACATTGTGTCTTTGTTCCTATTGGTTTCAAGGAACTTCTTTATTTCTGCCTTAATTTCGTTATTTACCCAGTAGTCATTCAAGAGCAGGTTGTTCAGTGTCCATGTAGTTGTGTGGTTTTGAGTGAGCTTCTTAATCCTGAGTTCTAATTTGGTTGCCCTGTGGTCTGAGAAACTGTTTGTTATGATTTCCATTTTTTTTGCATTTGCTGAGGAGTGTTTTACTTCCAATTATGTGATCGATTTAGAATAAGTGCTATGTGGTGTTGTTAAGAATGTATATTCTGTTGATTTGGAATGGAGAGTTCTGAAGGTGTCTATTAGGTCTGCATGGTCCAGAGCTGAATTCAAGTCCTGAATATCCTTGTTAATTTTCTGTCTTGTTGATCTGTCTAATATTGACAGTGGGGTGTTAAAGTCTCCCACTATTATTGTGTGGGAGTCTAAGTCTCTTTCTAGGTCCCTAAGAACTTGCTTTTTGAATCTGGTGCTCCTGTATTTGGTGGATATATATTTAGGATAGTTACCTCTTCTTATTTCATTGATCCCTTTACCATTATATAATGCCCTTGTCTGTTTTGATCTTTGTTGGTTTAAAGTCTGTTTTATCAGAGACTAGGTTTGCAACCCCTACTTTTTTTTGCCTTCCATTTGCTTGGTAAATATTCCTCCATCCCTTTATTTTGAGCCTATATGTGTCCCTGCACGTGAAATAAGTCTCCTGAATACAGCACAACAATGGGTCTTGACTCTTTATCCAATTTGTCAGTCTGTGTTTTTTAATTCAGTCATTTAGCCCATTTACATTTAATGTTAATATTGTTATGTGTGAATCCAATCCTGTCATTATGATGCTAGCTGGTTATTTTGCCTATTAGTTGATGCACAAGATTATCAACACATTTTTCTAACACTGTTTTTGATGACTGTAATACTGTTCAGTTTTTATCGTAATGTTGTTTCTTTGCTTTGCTAGCAAAATGCCACTATGCAGTTCTTTTCAAATCTCATACCATTGAGATGAAAATTAATGTTGTTTGCTAATTTATTTATTTTGTAGTAATAATAATCTCAATTGATTTGGTTAAACAGTATTTTAATTTTACACAAAATATGTATCTTTGTCTCTAATGACTGAGATGAAATTTGCTTTTTTTCTTTTCCTTTTTTTTTGAGACTGGGTCTCTCTCTGTTGCCCAGGCTGGAGTGAAGTGGCTCAATCTTGGCTCACTGCAAGCTCTGCGTCCCAGGTTCACGCCATTCTCCTGCCTCAGCCTCCCGAGTAGCTGGGACTACAGGCACGCCTGCCACCACCCCTGGCTAATTTTTATTTTTTATTTTTTGTATTTTTACTAGAGACAGGGTTTCACCATGTTAGCCAGGAAGGTCTTGATCTCCTGACCTAGTGATCCACCCACCTTAGCCTCCCAAAGTGCTGGGATTACTGGTGTGAGCCACCGCGCCTGGCCAAAATTTGCTTTTATCATTCTACTTACAATTTATGAATTATTTGTAGTCATATGAGTTTCAAACTCATATAATTTAATTAATTTTTGACATGCTTCTGTCGTTTCAATATATTTAATTGCATTGTTTGATCATAATACGTTTGTGACATTGGGTAAGTGGGAATAAGTGTTATATAAAATTTTGCATAAAGTGTCTGTCATTCAGTTTCATTAAACATTTGTTTTGTAATGTAAATATTTCTACTTATGTAAATAAAAGATGCAACAAATATAAAGACATTGTCAACATGTTAAGTTAGTATATTATTATCAATTAGAATTCATCAAGTGATTTTTCACAAATGTTTTTAGAAATATTATTAATTGTTGCTCTTGACTTAGGGGAAAAGGCTCAAAATATAGATGCAGTTGACCTATGCAAATGTTACTTGTTCTTTATGATTACGAATAAGGTTTTATCTCCTCATTTTTGCATGTTTTGTCTTCTTTTTAACTTTTGTAAACCAAAAAGTATCTGAGACAAGTTTCAATCAATTGAGAAGTTTATTTTGCCAAGGTTAAGGACATGCCCGTGGCACAGCCTCAGGAGGGCCTGAGAATATGCGCCAAGGTGGCTGGGTTATGGCATGATTTTGTACATTTTATTGGGACAGATGATGCAAGCAGACATCAACTGATATATGTAAGGTATACATTGATTTGGTCCAGAAATGTGGAACAACTGGAAGCAGGAGCTTCTAGGTCATAGGTAGATTCAAAGATTTTCTGACTGGCAAATGGTTGAAAGAGTTAAATTATTATGTCAAGGCTTGGAATCAATATAAAGGAATGTCTGGGTTAAGGTAAGGGGTTGTGGATATCAAGGTTCTTATTATGCAGATGAGGACTTCAGGTAGCAGGCTTCAAAGAGAATAGATTGTAAATGTTTGTTAGAGGTAAAAAGGTGCCAGACTGTTAATTATTCTTAATTATTCTCTCCTAGTTCAGGAGAAAGGCCTGAAAAGGGAAGGAGAATTTTCAGTGAATGTAGATTTTTCCCTACAAGAGACAGCTTTGCAGTGCCACTTAAAAATATCTCAAGGAAATATAGTTTTGTGTAAAATACTTTGATTAATTTCAGGGCCTGCTATCTGTCATATGATGTATCTTACTGCTACAAAGAGTCAGCTTGGTCAGTCATAAGATCTTTGTTTTAATGTTAATGTTGGTCAGTTGTGCCTGTATTCAAAAAAAAAGGAGCATTTAATGATGCATGTCCACACTCCCTTCCCATCATCACCTCAACTAGTTTTTCATGTTTATTTTGAATGCCTTTGGCTGAGAGGGGGGGATCCATTCAATTGGTTGGTGGCTTATAATTTTATTTTTGTTCTACGCTTTAACATTGCCATCAAGAAAGTGGATGATAATGAAAACTAATGTTTATTGAACTATTTACCAGGGCTTCTGCAAATCATAGAAGATAATTTGCCCAAGTTCACAGAGCTAGTAATTACATAATTTACCGTATTCACAAGGATATGAACTAAACTGTTATTTGATGTAATATTTATCATTCTCTTTATGATGTCTGGTTAGTATATTTTTGACGGCATTTCATTCCTAGATCTAACTGAACCTGAACTCAGTTCAGTTGCATGATCTTCATGTATTTTTTATGTGTCTCTATTTTTACACAGTAGTCTGATTTTTAAAAATAATTTCATACTTGCATGAAAAACATTTATATTTTTACTTTATTGTCTTTTATCATGGCAATTGTATTAAATCCAAACTTGAGTATTTGAAGATACTTTTAAAAATGATTGCAGATTAATCCAAAGTCATTTCTTATAACTTAAGTATGTCTTAGTAATTTTTTTAAGACTTTTCTAGTCATTGTCTCAACAAATATTCAATAAATACTAATTTGTCACTCATTCTTTCACCTGATTTTTTTTGTATATATTTTAGACTATTTCTTACTTTTGCCCATCCAAATATTACCCTTTTTTAAAGTTTTATTTTAGCATCTTTTATATTAATTTTTCCTGGGGTGTCTTATCCATTGTTGATTTCCATATTTATAAATGTTGATTTTTTTTACATTGCATTTTATCTTAATATTTGCTTCACTGCTTGATATTGGCATTTTTAAATTGTTAGTTCTTATAAATTTTTTTCTGACAGTTCATTTTCTAACATCTATTAGGTATAATAATATTGCATAAAAAACAAATGATGACATGAATATTTAATAATAATTAAGGTAACATGTTTACATGAAACATTCATTGTTTAACTTCTATATTATTATACTTGAAATATTTTTTTAAATTACATATCACAGATATTTGAATCTCAATAAACTCTTATTCTTAATTTCCTAGTATGTAACTGAGCTGCTATCAAGAGAAGTAAAAATTGCAAGTTCTCACTTCTGATCATGAGTATTATATATGGAATACTGTATCATGAATTATGGTGTTATATCAATCTGCTAAATATTCTACTGTTGGTATATAAGCATTAAATACAAATTAGTCAAATTGCATGCTTTATTTTACTAAAGAGAAATTATAATTTTATATGAATGGAGGGAATAATGCAATAATAATTACAAAAGTCATGACTGCTAAACTCTATGGAGAAATTAGAATAAGAAAAATGCATGACAGATAAACGAGTATGCATTGGCATATCCCATATTGAATATCCCTTGTCAATGTTTCAGACAGAAAATAAAGCCTCATTTTAGAGGGCACAGTGTGTGAAGGTTTTTGCCGATAATGCTGTATATGTCAATTCAGCCTTCTCCATAATTTCAGGTTTTAACCAACCACTCATGAATATGTTGTTTTGCATGTACAGCTATAATTTTAGTAAGGCCATAATTTGAGGTACCCATGAGGGATAATTTTGTTATCTTTTATTTTTCCTGAGGGCATAACAAAACTTGTTCTTAGGCTTCACTGAAATAAAGCAATTTGATAATTATAAAAACACTTAAGTGTTCATTTTAATATCAATATATGTATGCATATATGCACATGCATGATAAATACCACCTAATGATATGAAATGTTTGTCATGCTTATTCAGATGCTCAGATTTAAAGACTAGCCTCATTTTACATTTTAGATGTCCCCGTATTTTGTTTGGTTTTTTAATAAGTGTAGAATCATTTACATTCTAGTCCTCCCTTTACACGTTCTTTCCAAACAGAACAGTCAATGCTTAACTACTCCGTGTAATGCTATTTTTTGCAACGTATTGCCTACAGCACAATATGAAGCCCAGAGCCACAATAGTATGCAGTAGATTGGAAAATGTGAGCATTGTTAGTACAGTAATTTCTCTGGGGTTAAAATTAGTCAAGTTGCTATCAGTGGCAGTTATCCAAGTTATTGGCAGTGAATCTGTACATGTCTGCAGCAACCTCAATTCTTTCCTCCTCAGAAGAAATATTTGACTGAGAGGCATAAAGCAGCAGAAGAAACTGAGGCAAGTTTTAGGACAGTAGTGAAAATTTATTAAAAAGCTTTAAAGCAGGAATGAAAGGAAGGAAAGTACACTTGGAACAGGCCCAAGCAGCAATTTGAAGCACAAGTGCGGGTTTGACCTTTATGAGTTGGGGTTTTATACATTGGTATACTTCAGGGGTCTTGCATCCCTTCTCCCTTGATTCTGCCCTTGGGGTGGTTTGTCCATATGCACAATGGCCTGCGAGCACTTGGGAGGGGAGCATGCGCAGTGTTTTTACTGGGGTTGTACACATGTTCACCTGAGGCATCCTTCCCTTTGAAGGTGGAATGTCACTGTACGGTCATATACCAGTTAAACTCCACCATTTTGCCTCTTAGTGGACATGCGTGAGCCCACTTGTCCAACTCTTTGGATCTTATCAGGAAGCTCATGATCATTGGTTTCAGTTTTTTTCTATCTACAGGGAGACTGCCTTTCGCCAGAGCTGGCTGCAACCAATTATTATTTTAGAGAGACAGTTAACAACTTCCAGACCATCACCTGATTGTCGCCTGAAATTCCTGGTTGTTAGTTGGGGTGGGGGGGCCTCTTCTGCCCTGTCATATCTGCCTATCTACTGTAACAAAGTTAGGCCACTTACATTTATAATTATTAAGAAAATTGTTGCCTTGTATTAAAGCAACTTATTCAATTATAATTTTGTATAAGTTCTTCCAGACAGCCTAAAATGAACTTAAATAGAACCTGGCACAATAATTTTTGGTTGAATGAATTAATAATATATTATTTTTCCTCAAATTATGACAAAGGACTCCTCTAAAATGGCATATGGCTGGCTGTCATTGGAGTTAAAACCCTGTCACCAAGAAGGACATTTAATCAAGACTTGGTGTATTGGATTACTTTAAACTCAGATTAGAATGATTGGCTCAGAGGTAGGCAGCACAGAGACATGAGTATAATCTTTTATTCTCTAAAATCATGACAATAATTTCACTAATTTTTATTACCAAATTATATTTTAAAATAAATTCAATGTTTATTTGGTGGATGATAGAATGATTAGATAGATAGATGATAGATCGATAGATGACAGATAGATATAAATGAATACCATTCTATAAATATTTGTTATATATCTTCTTTGTGTTATATACTATTTTATTATACTCACATGGCATGCACCAAGTTGACAATGCCACTTTCTAAATGGGGAAGAAATAGTATAAAAACAAATACAAATATTTGACTGTATTAGAGCATAATATCATCCTGATTTCTGATTGTTTCTTATATAGGAAAAAAATCAATAGTCATGAATAAATAACAGATAAATATGACCATATTAAAATGAAGAACTTAGTGTTAACCTGTAAATAATTTTAGGCAAAATAAATAGGCCAGCCAAAAAAATGGAAAGAATATATTTGCAAAACATATACCTAAGAAAGGTATACCTAAAACATATACCTAAGAATATAAAACAAACTAGCATGTGTTGATAAGCTAAAAAAACATGAGTAGAGGAATCAGCAAGAAATTCAAACAGCTAATTAATTTACTAAAATGGAAATTTAGGTGGCAAATAAGCAAGGGAAAAGGTGTTTGACTTTATTAGTAATAAGTAAGTCACTAGTGAGAATAAATATTGATACAATCATTGCAGAAACTATTTAGTTAATATCACTAATGCTAAACTACACATGGTCTATCATCCAGCAATTTCATTCTTAAGCATACATCTAACTGAAATCTATGCACATATATATCAGAAGACATGTATAAGAATATGCATAACTGTATCTTTAAAAAGAAGTACAAACAGGAAAATAAAACAACATGCAACAACAGGAAAATACATAAATTGTGTTATATTAATTTATACAGTGCCGTCAAATATATGCTTGAAAATAGATGAACTATATAGATAAATACAACCTGGATGAATTTCACAAACATAACACACATCAAAAGATACACAATACAGAATGATGTATGTTGCATAATACCATTTATACTAAGCTCAAAAACAGGCAAAACTAAATCCACTGTTTAGGGATACATATTTAAGAAGGTAACCCTAAAATGTGCAAAAACACAGTCAACATAAATTACAATATTGATTAAATTTAGTAAGGAGAGAATTGGTGGGGGGGGCAAAGTAAATGGAGAATTCTTGATTGTGGACAATAATTTATACCATTAGTAGGGAGAAGTTTTTATGGGTATTCACATTACAAAAAGTAAAGGTGTACAGTTACTTTTATACTCTTTCTATATGTGACTTATAGTTAGGGTAAAACTTTCATATGTATTTCAAAAGTTATCTGCATTAAATATATTATTCAATTTATTTAATTAATTTACTCACCAAGTAATTATTTGCTGAGCAGTGTTGCCCTGTGATAGAGAACTTTTTCAATACCTATTTATATAACAAATATTTTGGGGGATTTAGTATGGCTGTCAAGTACTGTTGTATGTAATCAAGATTCAAAGGTTAAGTGAGAGTCTCTGTCTTCAGAGATTTCATAAATATACTTTTTGCACATCTTAGTGTTTAAAATGTATATAGTTTGATGATGTATTCTTTTTTCATGTAGTCCATTACTAATGTAACTTTATTAAAATTATACTGATAAGATGACTCTTCTTGACCAATTCATTATTATTTACCCAGATTCAACATTATGTGATCCAAATAAATGTTACTATTGTCTATGTGTTTATTTTCAATCTCATATCTGGTGTTTTGAAGAAGTTTTCTCCCATACAAAAAGATCTGAAGGATCTCACACCTATTTGTCTCATGAAATGTTTATTTTCTCTGTAATCAAAGAAATAGGTGTATAGCAAAATTATCTTTTCTATATGTTACATTTTTGGTATAATAGTTTCCAAACAGTTTCTGGATATTATGTAAATTAGGACAGCATGAAGTACACTAGGAAATAAACTTGTGAATAAGATATATTTCAAATTACTTAATACCATTTTAACCTTCTTTTTTTATCCTTGCAAGGAAATGAGGATCTGTGAGAATGAACAGTTTCTTAGTTGCGAATGGTGCACATTCCATAAGATAGTCTGCTATTTTCTTTAAAAGAATATTATGAAAGTTTGAGTTCTCATTGCACTCCAATATGGAGAATAAAATCTTGATCATTAAGTTGCAATAATATTATGATTTTGAAATACAAATATTTTGTTTTTATATATCCATTAAAAATATTTGTTTGAACAGCAGTTTAATAAATTACTGATAATCCTCCACTGTTCTATTTAAGAGTAGACATAAGAAGAATATCAGCTTGGTTTCTAACTGAATTCACAATACATTATTAAAAACATCAGGATGCTCATATATGATTAACAACAAAATTCATAGCGATAAAAAAATCTAAGGATTTCTAAGTCAGATGGCTTGTGTGCTCATTTTTAATTTATTGTCTTCCAATATTTCTGGTGAAATATTCCCTGGAACAATGGGAAGGATTCTATTGTTTTCAAAAGTTATAGAAGACATTTGCACTGCTGAAACCTCAAGATATTTCCACTTGTCATAGTATGTTTTTGAGGTTAAAATATACAGCCAACCTCATTCTCATCATGTATTATTAACTTACTCTGAATAAACGTGGCACCATGGAGTTTGACACATATTTAGCTACTGGGAGGAGTGAGATCTTCAGGAGACCTGAGTACAGCCCTGTACTTTGAGATCCTTCCTGCTGCATGAACATGTGGCCTAATCATGCCCATAGAAACTTGAAAGAGATCTCCTGAGGACATCTAAAGGGGGATTGTTTATCCCCAAGAAAGAAACACAAGACATCCAGGGGTCCTTTCTCTGTCTATGGACATCATTGTGTATAGAAATGACACATACAACTACTTGAAACTGTAAGAGAAAATAACATTTGAATAAAAGCTTGCTGATGACAGAGGAACATTTTTCCTACCAGTTTAATCTTCACCAAGTTTGTCTAATGATATTGATCTTTAAATCTGCACCTTCCATACTATAAGTACTCCTTATATTCTCTTTATTGTGCCTAATTTGCCAATTTTGTTACTCTGACATACTAATTTAATTTTAGTTCCATTGCAAGAGGAATGGAGGCACATTTATTTACTTTTTATTCACTTGTTTTTAAACATATATTTATTGAATGCCTAGTATGTGCCAAGAACTCTTCTAGAAATAAAGAAAACAGAAGATAAGAAAATATACATGAATATCAGTTCAGATCTCAATCTAGAAACCACAAAATTATTATGTGACTTAATCCCTTTTTAACTTTTATTTTAGGTTTGTGGGCACATGTG
This sequence comes from Homo sapiens, assembly GCF_000001405.40. Lineage (NCBI taxonomy): Eukaryota > Metazoa > Chordata > Mammalia > Primates > Hominidae > Homo > Homo sapiens. The sequence goes on along the minus strand of NC_000001.11, from coordinate 191,464,095 downwards.
AAGGTTTGTTGCATGGGTAAACACGTGACACAGAGATTTGGTGTACACGTTATTTCATCACCCAGGTATTAAGCCCATTACTCAATAGTTAGCTTTTCTGCTCCTGTTCCTCCTTCCACCCTCCCCCGACAATAAACCCCAGTGTCTGTTGTTTCCTTCTTTGTATTCACAAGTTCTTATCATTTGGCTCCCATGTATCAGTGACAACAGGCAATATTTGATTTTCTGTTCCTGTGTTATTTTGCTAAGTATAATAGCTTCCAGCTCCATCTATGCTTCCACAAAAGACATGATCTCACTCGTTTTTAGGCCTGCATAGTATTCCATGGTATAAATGCACCACAATTTCTTTATCCAATCTGTCATTGATGGACATTTAGATTGATTCCTTGTCTATGTTATTGAGAATAGTGCTGCAATGAACATTCATGTGCATGTGTCTTTATGGCAGAATGATTTATATCCCTTTGGGTATATACCCAGTAATGAGATTTCTGGGTTGGATAGTAGTTCTGCTTTTAAACTCTTTGAGGAATCACCATACTGCTTTCCACAATGATTGAACTAACACTCCCACCAAAAATATGTAAGAATTTCCTTTTCTCTGTAACCTCATCAGCATCTGTTATTTTTTTTTACTTTTTAATAATAGCCATTCTGATTGATATGAGATGGTATCTCATTGTGGTTTTGATTTGCATTTCTCTCATGATCAGTGATATTGGGCTTTTTTTCATATGATTTTTGGCCGCATGTATGTCTTCTTTTGAGAAGTGTCTGTTTATGTCTTTTGAACACTTTCTACTGGGGTTGTTTTTCCTCTTGTAAATTAGATTAAGTTCTCTATAGATACTGGATATTGGAACTTTATCAGATGCATAGTTTGCAAATATTTTCTCCCATTCTGTAGGTTATGTATTTATTCTGTTGGTAACATCTTTTTCTGTGTAGAAGTTCCTAAGTTTCATTAGATCTGACCTGTCAATTTTTGCTTTTGTTGTGATTGCTTTTGGTATCTTTGTCATGACATTTTCGCCCATTCCTATGTCCAGGATGGCGTTGCCTAGGTTGTCTTCCATATTTTTATAGTTTTTGGTTTTACCTCTAATCTATCTTGAGTTGATTTTTGTATATGGTGTAGGGAAAGGGACCAGCTCCAATCCTCTGCACATGGCTAGCCAGTCAGTTATCCCAGCACCATTTTTTGAATAGGGGGTCTTTCCCCTTTGCTTGTTTTTGTCAGCTTTGTCAAGGATCAGATGGTCATAGATGTGCATCCTTATTTCTGGGCTGTCTATTTTGTTCCATTGGTCTATGTGCCTATTTTTGTACTAGTACCATGATGTAATTTAAAAGGTTTCATTCTATATTAGGACACTCTGACATTAGGGGAAACATTTATACCTCTAATATATTAATTTTTTTCTCTTTTGATCAACTCAATGTTGGGTAAAATGCGTTATAAGAATCCAGCTAGAATTCAGTCCAGGAAGTAGAATAAGGAAGAAGCAGGTCTTTGAACTTAGGTTAAAATAATCAATAGGAGAAGAGCAATCTGAAACGTTTTAATGAGAAACAAAGTATAATATTTTAAAGTGGCCGGGCAAGGTGGCTCACATCTGTAATCCTAGCACTTTGAGAGGCCGAGGCGGGCTGATCACCTGAGGTCAGGAGCTTGAGACCACCCTGGCTAACATGGTGAGACCCCGTTTCTACTAAAAATACAAAAAATTAGCCACATATATATATACACACATATATATATCTATATTTTATATATATATATATACACCCACATACTAAAGTTCACTAAACCAAAAATGGGGACATTTGAGTTTTTTTCCTGATTTACTAGAAATAAAATTTCCAGCAAGTTGCCTAATATCAGATGATTCAATTTTGTATAAAATATTTATTTCAGGGTGTTAATAAAATAAATAGGAATGCAGAATAAGGCCCTTTTTTTCCAAACTATAGAGAATTGTGTAAGTAAAAAGCATCATCAAGAAAACTACCAGGAGGACAAGAGGAACTGTCTAATTTAGAGCTAGCTATACGTGAATAAATAAGAAAAATGTTAAATACATTCATCTATGAAGGTGACAATTTTTAGGCCTCATTAAAATTACTTCTAACCTATGAGGGAAAAAAAAACCCATCTGTGCTACCATTTTCAATCATCTAAGGTTTGTGTACTCCAGTAATGAAGTCAGAGAAGAAGCTTCTGCTGTTGTTGCAGAGAGCTCTCTGTGTTCCTGATATAAACACTTGTAACCTTGCTCCGTCTATTGAGGTGTGAGAAAATATATTCGCAATTATATAACTTATTTCACTGGAAGAAAGTTCATTTACACACCTCAAAGCTATTCCTCATTTCATTTGTTTCTGATATTGTTTTTTTCACACACAGTGGTGCAGAGTGTAATAAAATAATCAAATGAAAAACTTCCAAATGAGATCGGTTAATAGAATTAGAGGCGGAAATGTGATACATAAGAACAGTAACAAGGAGTAGAAGAGAGGAAAGAAGCCAAGGGCAGTTATAGGGAATCCAAATAAAATCACCGAGAAATAAGTAAGATCAAGGACCAAAAACACAGGCACAAGAAGCAACAGGAGAGGGCATTGGGCAGGGCTGATGAGAAAATGTTGGCCTGGTCTAATTAATTTTCATAAAGTGAATTTGTTCAGGCTTGAGGCTAATTTTAGAGGTTCTGCAGTGCACTGGCATCCCTGGTTGTTCATATTTTTTACATTTTTCTAAATGTATGCATCCCATGAAGGCATACATCCTTAAACACACAAACTCTAACACTAGAGTTATGCCAGGGAATTTATATAGTCAGTACAATTGCTATTTTCATATTAATTTCTTTGGTTTTAATTGTTTATGGAGCACAAACAATGCTAAGAATTTTACAGCTATAATAATATTTTAAATCATATAAAATAAGTTATTAGTAGTTTGTAATTCAGTTGGCATATCATTAAGGACTCAAACATAATTTAAGAACCTTTAATGTACCAAAATTATTGTAATTGTAGCTTATACAAAATAAAAACATATAATGTTTTGAATTCAGGTAGAAGAAAAAAATAGAAGAGATGATAGCTAAATTCTATATTCTGAAGGAAAAAATCAAAAGAAATGTATAAATATAGAGTGTCAGAATGACAAAAGAAAGATGAAATACCAACCACTTATTTAAAATTAAGGCAATTTCACTGAAAATTATTTGTCATTAGCACAACCAGAAAAGATACAGTGATACATGGTGACATGGAATAATGAGTGTGACTTTAGGGATAGTAGTTATTGAAGGAATACATAAAATGGCCACAAGTACTGGCAAAAATGGGAGGCTCCCAGTGTAATATATATTTGGAGATTACTTGGCCTATAAATGTTGATTTCATGTCTTTTTATTTCTCACATTTTTTTACATATTAGTGTTAGATGGTAGAAGAGAGATAACATGGCAAATAAGGTCTAGGAAAATTGAAGACATTGTAATCCAAAATGGTTTGTCAGGGGTTTCTGTACATTTATTTTACAATATTCTCTGTAGCTTCAATTTCCATGGATTAAAACTGTTGACTGGACTATCTATATACAGGTTTTCATTTCCTCTTGTTTACTCTAATGAGTCACAAGGGCATCCTGGTTTATTAGTTTTACCAGCTATTAGAGACTTGATTACTTCCTTTTCCATTTATTTTATTTTCCCCCTTAGCCCTTCTGGGATATGGCTCTCTAAACAGTCTTCTATTTACATGGTACCTTTTCCCTCTGGATGTGATTATTTTTAAACTGGTCAAAATTACATTTTGCAAATCTATGTTACCTGAAGTTTTAATTTTTAAATTTTGTTTTGTTTTGTTTTGCTATAAGGACATGTCATGCAGAATCTCAGAGGCTTAGCTTCATGGTTATTTATGGAATTATTTTATGGGTATATAACTAATGCCACTATTTGGAAAGTTTTAAAATAAGTTCAGCATTACCCTTAATGTCACCATCAATTTTACTGTTTAAATCTCCCTAATCCTATCTTCCATATCTACAAATGAACCTTCAGCAGTTTTGCTAGCTTTCAACAATTCTTTAGTTGAAATAGAGACTATTTAAACTCTTCTTTAAGTAAGCATCTGCATGCTTAATCATTTTATTTTATCTGAGTGTAAAATTTGTTTTTATTATTGAAAGAGCTTTTCAATGATAAAATATGAAATTCTATTTTCTATACTATATTAAGTTTAATATTTTTAATCAAGTAATGGTATCATCTCATATACACTTTCAGTCATTCAAATTCACAATAAGAAGGGTGGTACATTTCATGAAAAAATGATGTTATACTTTTTCATAATTGAGAACTATATATATATACATATTATATATCTGTATATAGTGACTGAGAAATACATACATACATATATATCTGCATATTAATGCATATGTAATACCCATACCAGTTTCAATCATTAACAATACACAAGTGAGTTTTAATTTTCCTTATAGAGTCCATGAGTACAGAACAAAAGCACTGGAAGCAAAAGATCTAGGTTAATATTTTTATTATTCTAAACTTATTTTCTTGAGATGTTTTGAGGATAATTGAGTCACAGTTTTTAAAAATGCTTGGTAAATAGTCATATGCTGTATATATGTTATATTCTAATTAATGGAAACATAGATTTTAGAAAATATGTGTTTCATTGCAACAAAAATTAACCCAGTCTGTATTCCAGGCCCTAACTTAATCTTACATGCATATAAGATCTTTAGACAAGCACTATGAAATATATGTAGAAGTATTTCACTAGGATCAAACAAATAAACAAATGAGAAATAAAACAAAATAATTTGGGGGAAAATTTGTTTTCTCCTAAATGGCAGTGTGCACATAAAACTTAAACAGATTGAAGAAAAAGTTTAATAACCTAACAGTTTTCTCTGGGTACTTAAAGATTTTCATTTTAATTATCTTTCTCTTAGAGGACAGAATATTTCTTTTAGACTAAAATGATATATGATCACAAAATCCTTTGCTTTCTAGAATTATTTTTATCAAAGTCAAATGGTATAGCAATAATTATCAGACTTCACAGCTTCTGGAAGCACTCTGCAAAATAGCAGTGCAAACAAAAATATATACATGAAACTATGTATGAAATACTAAGGCAATGTTTGCTATTTATTTTATACTTATAGATTACTTTGAGAAGTAGTTTACTCTTTGGCATTATTTCAGATATTATATAAAACCATGCATATATACCATCAAATAAATAAAAGTAATATAATAACTCTATATAGTGTTGCTTAACAAAGCAGTATAAATGAGCCTGTAAGGATGGGTATGTATAGTATTTGCCAATAGATGGTAATCATAATTATTCACCCAAACGCTATGTCACTCCTCACATTTCCTGAAATGTAACAAAGATTTTATTGAAAATAGGATGTTGTGTTGTAATTGTTATTTGATTGCATAGCTAAGCAGTAGAAATGATTTTACTATACACCAAAGAATTTAGTTTAGAGAAAAAATGTGTATTTTTTAAATTTCTGGGTCCTCAAGTCAGGTTCAAATAGTAGCAGGGTTTACTGCAAAACATATGTGCAATGTTATTACAAGATAATCGTATTATGTCCAGAAACTTCACCCTAGATCTGCCACATACTGGTAAAGATTCTATCTGCTGTATATTTGAATTCATGTAATAATTGTTCACATGAGAATAGGATTATTATTGTGTATAGATAGCCTCCAATCTCCAGTCAATCCCTCACGTAGGCAGACTTGAAATAAATCACTTTGAATGTTGATAAACAAAATAGAGAATATAGACATTTTATTATTGTTGATGCAGCAGACTTATTGACCATAAAAGGCTGCTATTTGTGGGATAATGTCACGAAGTGAATAGTGAGAGAGCAGAATACATCCTCCAAGGTGAGAGAGGGAATAGCTTCCATTCCTTTGATTCTCAAAGCTTATTGCTGTGTCAGGAAATTTTCCCTAATTTTTATTATTTTTTTTCATGGCCTAGAGTACTTTCTCCGTGCATCTTTTCATAACTTACTCCACAGATTTAAAATAAACACTTCCTTAAGTCTCTATATCTTGTACTTTATATACTTCACATTTCTTCTCACTACCTGACATACGCTATATGTGTGTGTATATACAATACACACATATACATGTAAACATATGTACACACATAATGCTATGGTTTAGATATTTGTCACCTCCAAACTTCATCTGAAATTTTTTTAGTGATACAAATATATGTACATATTTATGGGGTGCAAGTGATAATTTGTTACCTAAATAGACTAAGTAATTATCAAGTTGATAACTTATTCTGTCTACATAACTGTATATTTGTATCTGTAACCAACCTCTCTTTATCCCTTCCCCAAACCACACATTCTTCCCAGTCACTAGTGTCTATCATTCCACCTTCTACCTCCACGAGATCAACTTTTACCTCCCACATATGAATGAGAACATGTGATATTTGTCTTTCTATGCCTGGTTTATTTCACTTAACATAATGACCTCCAATTCCATTCATGTTGCTCCAAATGACATAATTTCATTTTTATGGCTGCTTAGTATTCCATGGTGTATATATGTGAGGGGTGTGTGTGTCTGTGTAGAGAGAGAGAGAGAGCACTTTTTCTAATCTATTCATCTATCGATGGACACTTACATTGATTTTACATTATGCTATTGTGAATAGTGCTGCATGAGAGTACAGATACTTCTTTGATATACTGACTTCTTTTCATATGGATAAATACCCGCAGTGGGATTGCTGGATCATATGGTAGTCCTATTTTACTTTTACGCAAAATCTCCTTGCTATACTAGTTGACATTTGATACCCAATGTTGGAGGATAGCTCTAATAGGAGCTGTTTGGTTCATGAAGGCAAATCTCTCATTAATAGATTAATAACCTTTCTTGAGGGTTACTGAGGTCTCACTCTATTCCTTTTCTGCAGAGCTAGTTGTTAAAAAGAGCCTGCAACCTCCCCTCTCTCTTTTTCGCTTCCTCACTTGCCATATAATCTCTTCACAAAGTGGCTCCCTTTTGCTTTCCGCCATGAGTAGAATCACCCTGAGGCCCTTACCAGATGCAGATGTCCAATCTTGGACTTTTAGCCATCAGAATCATGAGCCAAATAAACCTTTTTCTTTATTATTTACTCAGCCTCAGATATTCTTTAATAACAACATACAATGACACAAATATATACTTACGTATACATACATGCATTCTTTTGAGTGTCTACCAGCAGAAATAAGGATTATGACCTTCTAGTCCTCATAAAGGCCCATTCTTTTACTCATTCAGCTGCTCATTTCCGGTCCCTCTAAGGATTCCTGTTTAATAGAAACTCTAGGAATATATGCTAAAATATGAATGAATAAACGAATGAGTAGAGCTGAGTGGAGGATAACACTTTATTCAATGCGACAAGAGGCAAGCCTGTGTAGTTATCTGAGAAAGCCTTCCACATTTCAGAATGTCTGATAAAAGGTGGGAGAAGGGGTGGTATGTCAGTAGTGGGGCATGCAGAATGTGAGCATGGGTAGAACTTAATTCTAGTCATTGCGATTTAGGCTTTACGTAATGTGATCTTAACAAATGGCAGCCAGTGAAAAATTAGGTAGGGTTATAGCATTGCAGATTTGCAATTCAGGAAGATCTCACTGCTAGAAGGTTAGATAGGAAATTATAGGTTGTGAAATTAAAGGCAGGAAATCAGTTAACAGAACATCGAACAATTGAAGCAAGAATTCATAAAAGCCTAAATTATGAGTCGAAAGATGTAGTAAAAAACAGATATCAATATTTCTAAATAATAGTAGCTTAAGCACGTGAACCTATCCCCTTCTACGTCTCAGCTCCCTACTGAGGTAACACAAAATTTGAAAGGATCTTTGGAGTCTTGGAAAATGATCAATTTATTTAGAATATTCAGATCTCATACTGCAAAATGAGAGTGAAGAACTGAAGTGTTGCCCACACCTAGGAAATGACTAATCCTCTCTAGGAGAATCTCAGGCAAAGACTGCTAATTTGATTGATGAGATCAACGTTGAACTTCATATTTAAAATTATAGAAGCTAGAAAACAGTATAAGAAGATATTTAAAGTGCTGAAGAAAAAAAATCAGTCAAGAATTTTGCATCAAGCAATACAATCCTCCAAAAATGTAGAGATGAGAAGGATATTTTCAGATGTGTAAAACCAAGTCCTTGAGAAGAGCAGATATGCACTAGAAAAAAATAGTAAAGAAATTTCAAGCTGAAGGTAAATGATACCAGATGGCAACTCATATCTATAGAAGGTATAAAGAACATAAAATATTATTTATAAATAAATCCATACTATTTTCTCACTTTCTTTAAAGACTTTAACAAAACATAGCACTCTACCAATGGGCTTAAGAAAAATTGATAGATACGTAATGCATATTGATAACAATAGTAAAAAGGATGGTGTGGGGAAAGATTAAAATATATTTTGGTAAGTTTCATCTATTTTACCTAAAGTAATTGAATTACAAACAAATAGCAAAATGCAGACCTTAATCCAACCACATGAACAATTATGTTACATTATTATATGTGAATAACAAAATACTCCAATTTTTAAAAGAATTGTTAGAAATGATTCAAATGCAACAATTAGTATATGAAAATTAAAATACAAAGACATGCAGACGGATATTCTTAAAATACAAAGACGTGCAGATTGAGAAAAGAAGAAAGGAAAATAATATATCATGCAAACAAACCCATAAGAAACCGGCTGTGGCTATAGCAATATCACATAAAATACAGTTCAATTCACAGGTGGTATTACAGTGAAAGACGGCAATTTCCTACTGAAAGAAGGGTCAATACATGAAAAAGATATAATGAATATGAATTTACAATCATGTATCACTTAATGGCAGCGATATGTTTTGAGAAATCTGTTCTCTGGTGATTTTATCTTGTGCAAACATCAATCACAGAGTATACCTACACAAATCTAGATAGTATAGCTTATAAACACCTAGGCTATATGGTATAGCCTATTTCTCCTAGGCTACAAACCATATAGCATGCGACTGTCCTGAATGCTGTAGGTAATTGTAACACAATGATAATATTTTGCATATCTAAACATAGCTAAACAAAAATGCTACAGTAAAAATATAGCATAAAAAGTAAAAAATAAAAAAAACACATTTAGGGCACTTTAACAAAATATTAGCAAATTAAATGGAGAAATATATAACTATGATTAGTGGGAATTTATCAGAGGCATGCAAAATCAATTTAACATCTGAAAATCCATTAATGAAATATACCACTCTAATAGAATAAAGGAAAATAAAACACATAATAGCAATAGATTTAGAAAAAAAATTCAGGACTTGATCATTAGAAAAACAAACAGTAATCTAGTAATGAAAGGAAACTTTCTGAACCTGATAAAGGATATAAAAAAAAAAAAGTGCTAATATCACACACAATGGTAAAAGAAGAAAGTCTTAAATGCGTCCCTGATCAAAAACAAACACAGTGGCTCACGCCTGTAATCCCAGCATTTTGGGAAGCTGAGGCAGGCAGATCACTTGAGGTGATGAGTTCAAGACCAGCCTGGCCAACATGGTGAAACCCCATCTGTACTAAAAATACAAAAATTAGCCAGGCATGATAGGGCACACCTGTAGTTCCAGCTACTCGGGAGGCTGAGACAGTCACCAGAATCACTGGAACCTGGGAGGCAGAGGTTGCAGTGAGCCAAGATCACGCCACTGCACTCCAGCGTGGTTGACAGAGCGAGACTCTGTCTCAAAAAAAAGAAATTAGGATTCTAGTTTTTATTTTTTTAAACCAGTTTGACCAGGCATGTTCTCAATAAAGTTTCACTCTCGATTAAATATTTTTTCATAAGAAAACCATATAGCAGAAAGAAACACATAAAAAAGGAAATGCTATAATTTTACAAATATGTAAAATATGTGTAATATAGATAGAAATAGGAAGATGGATAAAATGTATGCCTCAACAAGTCAGTGATCATTGCTCTTTTGTCACTAGTATATACCTATAAATGTTTGTTAAATAATATTGTATGTGATTTTTACAGTTATATGAATGGTAGACATATGTTGAGATTTGGGTGGATTAAAAGCAAAATTCTTTGTTACTTATACCTCCAGAGGAGAGAAGTCTATCAGGCAGGATCACACAAGATGTTGAACTCTGTGGATAGGGTAACAGCAAGCTGGAGCTGCAGGGGGCAGCTCATGTACAACACTTGCAGGATGGAGTTAGGAAAGTTTCTTGAGCTGCCTGTACACTAGCTCATTTGAATAATTTCGTAGGCACCAGGGACATAGGAGCTGTCTCTAGTTGTCTGGTACCTGAGTTTAAGGCTATGAGGGTGAGTGTACGGTGACAAAAAGTGAGAAAGCCCAGTGAAGGAAGTGGTTGGAATGTAGATTTAATCAACTCCTCAAAAATGGAAATAGACCAGTCTCTACCCAGAGCCATAAAACTAGGCCAAGACAGCACTAAAACAACAACAACTATTTTACAAATAACTATACATCAAGGACAAAAGTCTAAATAACAAGGGTCATGTATAGTAAGCAGAATTTTTGTTTTGTTTTGTTTTGTTTTTTTGAGGCAGAGTCTCGCTCTGTCGCCCAGGCTGGAGTGCAGTGGCACGATCTCGGCTCACTGCACCCTCTGCCTCCCGGGTTCATGCCATTCTCCTGCCTCAGACTCCTGAGTAGCTGGGACTACAGGCGCCAGCCACCACGCCTGGCTAATTTTTTGTATTTTTAGTAGAGACGGGGTTTCACTCTGTTAGCCAGGATGGTCTTGATCTCCTGACCTTGTAATCAGCCCACCTCAGCCTCCCAAAGTGCTAGGATTACAGGCGTGAGCCACTGCGCCCGGCAGAAATTTTTAAATAATAATCTGAACCAATATAAACAAAAGAAGTTAAAGCCGTGTTTGTTAAAGAAAAACTTTCTTACAATCATGCTACTATCCAATGTGAGATTCGTAGATTTGGAACATCATTTAATATTCATGATTTTATATACACCTCCAAAGTATTATTTATAGCATTGTTTTCAGCCAGTACAGAAAATAGTACATAAAACATTTTGCAGATCATTTCCTTGATTACTTAGTAGCATTCGGAAATATAAACCCAGCAGTTTGCCTGTATCTCCTCTAGCTAAGCTGTTCAGTCCAAATTGGCTCATCACAGATCACGTCGGAGTCCACTGCGTTTATCTGTGCTCTGAAGAGATGCTTGTTGTTTAGAGGGGCCCGACTACTGTATCAAATTTTTACCTGAGATTCATATTCTGAAAAAAAATCAATCACCATTTCAATCAAGTTTTAAAAAGAGCAAATCATTATTTTCCACTTCAGAAACACACACAAAACAAAAGGAAATAACTCAAAAATGTGTATTTCTAATTTTTCAATGCCATCTGAGCTACCTAAGTCTAGTTATCTGACATTATTCCTCAGGAGGTAAAATGTATGTTCTGGCCCTACCTAAAACAAAACCTTTATCTACCTTAAGCGCATTTCCCTTTTCTCTGTTTAAATAGTTTCTAACATATAATGATCATCCTTTCTTTTATTTAATTTCTGAAATCATACAATGCCTTATACTACGTGAGGTAGAAAAAATATTACACTCATTCATTATACAATAAAATTTTGGGGTAAAAAATTAAGTGGCAAATACAGTATTTTATAGTAAGTTTAAGTGATACAAACTATGGAATTTTACATACATTTTATAGGATGATATTTTAAATTGAATCTGGCATTATCAACTTTTAAAATTAATCCAATGGAATGTAATTTTCACATGGATTTTAAACCTGACAATATTTATTTAAAAGACACATGTTAGACTTTTTTTAATGTTTGAAAATTTACATGATGAAGAAGCTCAAATTTCCATTCCACTTCTTGCAAAGAATTTTATGCAGATGAATAGATATATAAAATATAAAGCAGTACATATTTAACATTAACTTTTGATCCTTACAACGCATGTTTGCTATAAAATATGTGTTATAAATTATCACATAATTATTTTAATTTCTTTAAATAGGTTCGGAGAATTAAACTATTTATAGACTTTATAAACAATTGACAAATATTGTTATTAGTTGTAACAATATACAATTCTCAAAAATGTGTATACTAATAATTTTGATTAGTTATTAAACATGAACATAATGTTTTATTAAAAAGACATCAGTGAATTGTGTGAGATTTACTATTCTGAATTACTTTATATATCTGTGGATGACTATCAGTTGGTAAAATGAGGAATTATTATCATTTCTATTCCTTTTATTAATTTATTTGCTGTGAAATATCTTATATAAATAAATAGAAATAAAATGAGTTTTGTTATAGAAATACTAATTATTTGCAGTCTTTCTAATTTATATGCCAAAGTTCACATAATTGTTGATCATCAAATGTGCTATGTGCTGACAGCTTGAGTAGATTTCCCTGTAGTTTTGTTGAAACCATGAAACAAAATGATCTAACTTGCACAATTTAAAAAATCACACTCTTAGAGAAATTCACATTCTAACTTATCATGAAGTAAACAAAAAAGGCTTTATGAGGAGTTAACAATAACTGATCTTAACTGATACTCTTTAACTTAGAGATATTTTGAGTTAAAATTAGCTAAAACAAGTGTAAAATGTTCTAAAAATTGGAATATGCACATTTCATATTTTTTCACAACTGTGATCAAAGACCTATACATCTATGCCAAATTTCAATTTCAATTTTATTTTGTGATGGTTCCCTTTACCAACCTGTCATCTAAAATCTTACTCGAGTCCTCTATTTTTCTCACTCTCTGTATCTGCTTCTTCAGCAAGTACTGAGAGCTCTGCTGTCAAATTATAGCCAGAAACAAACTACTTCTCTTCCACTCTACTATTAAAACTTGAACCCATTTGCCATCATTTCTAGCCTGGAGTATAACAAAGGTTACTTAACATGTCATTCTTTTTCTGTCTTTGTATCTTTTTGTGTTAGGAAGATCACAAAAGTCAGAATTATGCTGTTTAATTCAGAACAACTTACTCTGCAAAGAATCCTCTAATGTATACCTAGTCCACTCAGAGTAAAATGCCAATTATGTTGCCACTTTGAATTCCTGTCTTACTTTTTCTCTCTAAACTCACTCCTTTTCTGTCATACTGACCCATTTAATGTAACTGAAACGCTGCAGAGACAGTCCAAGAGCATTAAGTGAGATACAGTGGAATTTTTATTTGACAATATTTATTTTGGATATTGGTCAGATTCCATAATTATTACTTCTTTGCTTCATTGATAATATTATTCTGTCTTTTTCAGGCTTTTTAAAAAAATATTTATTCTGACTCATCATTTTCAGCAGTTTATTGTGATATACTTAGGTCAGGCTGTCTTTTTATGTATCCTTATTGAAATTTGTGGAAATTCTTATAGAAATTCTTGATTATGTATTTTGATGGCTTTCATCAGTTTAGGGAAATTCTCAGGAATTATTTTTTCAAGTATTTCTTATTTCTTATTCCCTTTGTGTTATACATTTTGTACAGCAATTACATGTATGTTAGAACTTTTTACAATGTCCCATTTATCTCTATCTTTCTATATCCCCCATGATCTTCTCTTTAGTTTCAACATGAATATTTTTATTTATATCACTCCTATTTCATTCTTCCTTGTACTACTATACCTAATATTTTATTAAACTTATATGTTGAATTTTTTGTTATAGCTTAAGAGTTTTAGCTCTAAAATTTTTATTTAATTCCTTTGGATTTATTTCAGTTTCTTAGGAATTCTACACATATTTAAACATATTAATACAAGTTATTTCATAGTCTATTCTTGATAACTGCAAGATCTGAATTGACTGTACATCTCTCCCTATTATTTGTTTTATTCTGCTATTTTTGTTCTAATTTTTACAGTATTAAAATTTTGATTGAATACCAGACATTTTTCATTATAACTTGTAGAAATTTACAGCCTCGCCAGGCATGGTGGATCACGCCTGTAATCTCAGCACTTTGGGAGGCCAAGGCGGGCGGATCACGAGGTCAGGAGATAAAGACCATCCTGGCTAACACGATGAAACCCCGTCTCTACTAAAAATACACAAAATTAGGCCAGCGTGGTGGCGGGCGCCTATAGTCCCAGCTACTCAGGAGGCTGAGGAAGAAGAATGTCATGAACCTGGGAGGCGGAGCTTGCAGTGAGCCAAGATCGTGCCACTGCCCTCCAGCCTGGGCAACAGAGCAAGGCTCCGTCTCAAAAAAAAAAGAAATTTACAGCCTGAAGGGAAAATTCTTCATAGAATATGAAGCCAGTCACTGAGGTTCCCTCTTTGCTGGGATTCTGATCCTCAAGTTCTAACTGCTATGGCATTCCTAAAATATAAATTCTGCCTCTTCAGCCCATGTAAATGTGATTTCTGTTTGGACTCTATTCAAAGAGTTAGTAAATATCCTCTTTGAAAAGTCCATGGTGAGTGGAAGGCTACAGTACCTTATTTTCTCATACATAGTAGCCCGTCAAGTCCTGCCTGTTTTAGTTGCCCTTCAGTGACATCAGATATTTTTGTTAGTTTTTATTTGTGTTTTTAACCAGATTTGGCATTTATAGATATTTTTTGTTTTTAGGTGGGAGAGTAAGTTCATTAGGAAATTTTGGTCAGAGCTGGAAGTCCTCAATCTTTCTCTGTAAGAAAATGAAGAAAGAATTTTTAAAAATGTACCAGAGGGAAAAAAAAATATATATATATACATATAATTTTTGAGGTGGAGTCTCACTCTGTCACCCAGGCTAGAGTGCAGTGGCGTGATCTCTGCTCACTGCAAGCTCCGCCTCCTGGGTTCACGCCATTCTCCTGCCTCAGCCTCCTGCATAGCTGGGACTACAGGCACCTGCTACCATGCCCGGCTAATTTTTCATATTTTTTTTAGTAGAGACGGGGTTTCACTGTGTTAGCCAGGATGGTCTCGATGTCCTGACCTCGTGATCTGCCCGCCTCGGCCTCCCAAAGTGCTGGGATTACAGGCATGAGCCACTGTGCCTGGCCAGAAAAAAATATTTAACATGGAGGAACAGCTCCAGTCTACAGCTCCCAGTGTGGGCGACGCAGAAGACAGGTGATTTCTGCATTTCTAACTAAGGTACCGGGTTCATCTCACTGGGGCTTGTTGGATAGTGGGTGCAGGACAGTGGGTGCAGCACACTGAGCATGAGCTGAAGCAGGGAGAGGCATTGCCTCACCTGGGAAGTGCAAGGGGTCAGGGAATTCCGTTTCCTAGCCAAGGGAAGCTGTGACAGACAGCATGCGGAAAATCGGGTCACTCCCACCCTAATACTACGCTTTTCCAACGGTCTTAGCAAATGGCACACAAGGAGATTATATCCTGTGCCTGGCTCAGAGGGTCCCACGCCCACCGAGCCTCAC
Organism: Homo sapiens; assembly: GCF_000001405.40. NCBI lineage: Eukaryota > Metazoa > Chordata > Mammalia > Primates > Hominidae > Homo > Homo sapiens. The sequence continues at coordinate 191,448,532 of NC_000001.11, read as the reverse complement.
TCATTGCTAGCACAGCAGTCTGAGATCAAACTGCAAGGTGGCCGCGAGGCTGGGGGTGGGGCACCCACCATTGCTGAGGCTTGAGTAAACAAAGCGGCATGGAAGCTCAAACTGGGTGGAGGCCACCACAGCTCAAGGAGGCCTGCCTGCCTATGTAGACTCCACCTCTTGGGGCAGGGCATAGCTGAACAAAAGGCAGCAGAAACCTCTGCAGACTTAAATGTCCCTGTCTGACAGCTTTGAAGAGAGTAGTGGTTCTCTCAGCAAGGAGTTTGAGATCTGAGAATGGACAGACTGCCTCCTCAAGTGGGTCCCTGACCCCCAAGTAGCCTAACTGGGAGGCATCCCACAGTAGGGGCAGACTGACCCCTCCTATGGCCGGGTACCCCTCTGAGATGAAGCTTTCAGAGGACCGATCAGGCAGCAACATTTGCTGTTCAGCAATATTAAATGTTCTGCAGCCTCTGCTGCTGATACCCAGGCAAACAGGGTCTGGAGTGGACCTCCAGCAAACTCCAACAGAGCTGCAGCTGAGGGTCCTGACTGTTAGAAGGAAAACTAACAAACAGAACGACATCCACACCAAAACCCCATCTGTACGTCACCATCATCAAAGGTAGATAAAACCACAAAGATGGGAAAAACAGAGAAGAAAAGCTGAAAATTCTAAAAATCAGAGTGCCTCTCCCCCTCCAAAGGTATGCAGCTCCTCACCAGCAATGGAACAAAGCTGGATGGAGAATGACTTTGATGAATTGAGAGAAGAAGGCTTCAGATGATCAAACTTCTCTGAGCTAAAGGAGGAAGTTCGAACCCATCGCAAAGAAGCTAAAAACCTTGAAAAAAGATTAGACGAATGGCTAACTAGAATAACCAGTGCAGAGAAGTCCTTAAATGACCTGATGGAGCTGAAACCATGGCACAAGAACTACGTGATGAATGCACAAGCTTCAGTAGCAGATTTGATCAACTGGAAGAAAGGGTATCAGTGATTGAAGATCAAATGAATGAAACGAAGCAAGAAGAGAAGTTTAGAGAAAAAAGAGTAAAAAGAAATGAACAAAGCCTCCAAGAAATATGGGACTATGTGAAAAGACCAAATCTATGTCTGATTGGTGTACCTGAAAGTGACAGGGAGAATGGAACCAAGTTGGAAAACACTCAGCAGGGTATTATCCAGGAGAACTTCCTCAACCTAGCAAGACAAGCCAACATTCAAATTTAGGAAATACAGAGAATGCCACAAAGATATTCCTCGAGAAGAGCAACTCCAAGACACATAATTGTCGGATTCACCAAAGTTGAAATGAAGGAAAAAATGTTTAAGGACAGCCAGAAAGAAAGGTCAGGTTACCCACAAAGGGAAGCCCATCAGACTAACAGCTGATCTCTCGGCAGAAATCCTACAAGCCAGGAGAGAGTGGGGGCCAATATTCAACATTCTTAAAGAAAGGAATTCTCAACCCAGATTTTCATATCCAGCCAAGCTAAGCTTCATAAGTGAAGAAGAAATAAAATCCATTACAGTCAAGCAAATGCTGAGAGATTTTGTCACCACCAGGTCTTCCCTACAAGAGCACCTGAAGGAAGCACTAAACATGGAAAGGAACAACTGGTACCAGCCACTGCAAAAACATGCCAAATTGTAAAAACCATCGATGCTAGGAAGAAACTGCATCAACTAATGAGCAAAATAACCAGCTAACATCATAATGAGAGGATCAAATTCACACATAACAATATTAACCTTAAATGTAAATGGGCTAAATGCTCCAATTAAAAGACACAGACTGGCAAATTGGATAAAGAGTCAAGGCCCATCAGTGTGCTGTATTCAGGAGACCCATCTCATGTGCAGAGACACACATAGGCTCAAAATAAATGGATGGAGGAAGATCTACAAAGCAAATGGAAAACAAAAAAAGGCAGGAGTTGCAATCCTAGTCTCTGATAAAACAGACTTTAAACCAACAAAGATCAAAAGAGACAAAAAGAAGGCCATTACTTAATGGTAAAGGGATCAATTCAACAAGAAGAGCTAACTGTTTTAAATATATATGCACCCAACACAGGAGTACCCAGATTCATAAAGCAAGTCCTTAGAGACCTACAAAGAGACTTAGACTCCCACTCAATAATAATGGGAGACTTTTAACACCCCACTGTCAACATTAGACAGATCAATGAGACAGAAAGTTAAAAAGAATATCCAGGAATTGAACTCAGCTCTGCACCAAGCAGACCTAATAGACATCTACAGAACTCTCCACCCCAAATCAACAGAATATACATTCTTCTCAGCATCACATCGCACTTATTCCAAAATTGACTACATAGTTGGAAGTAAAGCTCTCCTCAGCAAATGTAAAAGAACAGAAATTATAACAAACTGTCTCTCAGATCACAGTGCAATCAAACTAGAACTCAGGATTAAGAAACTCACTGAAAACTGCTTAACTACATGGAAATTGAACAATCTGCTCCTGAATGACTACTGGGTACATAACGAAATGAAGGCAGAAATAAAAATGTTATTTGAAACCAATGAGAACAAAGACACAACATACCAGAATCTCTGGGACACATTTAAAGCCGTGTGTAGAGGAAATTTATGGCACTAAATGCCCACAAGAGAAGGCAGGAAATATCTAAAATTAACACGCTAATATCACAATTGAAAGAACTAGAGAAGCAAGAGCAAACACATTCAAAAGCTAGTAGAAAGCAGGAAATAACTAAAATCAGAGCAGAACTGAAGGAGATAGAGACACAAAAAATCCTTCAAAAAATTAATGAATCCAGGAGCCGGTTTTTTGAAAAGATTAACAAAATTGATAGACCGCTAGCAAGACTGATAAGGAAGAAAAGAGAGAAGAATCAAATAGACAAAATAAAAAAAATTAAAGACGATGTCACCATAAATCCCACAGAAATAAAAACTACCATCAGAGAGTACTATAAACACCTCTATGCAAATAAACTAGAAAATCTAGAAGAAATGGATAAATTCCTCGACATATACACCCTCCCAAGACTAAACCAGGAAGAAGTTGAATCCCTGAATAGACCAATAACAGGCTATGAAATTGAGGCAATAATTATTAGCCTACCAACCAAAAAAAAAGTCCAGGACCAGACGAATTCACAGCCGAATTATACCAGAGGTACAAGGAGGAGCTGGTACCATTCCTTCTGAAACTATTCCAATCAATAGAAAAAGAGGGAATCCTCCCTAACTCATTTTATGAGGCCAGCATCATCCTGATACCAAAGCCTGGCAGAGATACAACAAAAAAAGAGAATTTTAGACCAATATCCCTGATGAACATCAGTGCAAAAATCCTCAATAAAATATTGGCAAACCGAATCCAGCAGCACATCAAAAAGCTTATCCACCATGATCAAGTGGGCTTCATCCCTGAGATGCAAGGCTGGTTCAACATAGGCAAATCAATACACGTAATCCAGCATATAAACAGAACTGAAGACAAAAACCGCATGATTATCTCAATAGATGCAGAAAAGGCCTTTGACAAAATTCAACAGCCCTTCATGCTAAAAACTCTCAATAAATTAGGTATTGATGGGACTATCTCAAAATAATAAGAGCTATTTATGACAAACCCACAGCCAATATAATACTGAACGGGCAAAAACTGGAAGCATTCCCTTTGAAAACTGGCACAAGACAGGGATGCCCTCTCTCACCATTCCTATTCAACATAGTGTTGGAAGTTCTGGCCAGGGCAATCAGGCAGCAGAAAGAAATAAAAGGTATTCAATTAGCAAAAGAGGAAGTCAAATTGTCCCTGTTTGCAGATGACATGATTGTATATTTAGAACACCCCATCGTCTCAGCCCCAAATCTCCTTAAGCTGATAAGCAACTTCAGCAAAGTCTCAGAATATAAAATCAGTGTGCAAAAATCACAAGCATTCCTTTACAGCAATAACAGACAAAAAGAGAGCCAAATCATGAGTGAACACCCATTCACAATTGCTTCAAAGAGAATAAAATACCTAGGAAACCAGCTTACAAGGGATGTGAAGGACCTCTTCAAGGAGAACTACAAACCACTGCTCAACGAAATAAAAGAGGACACAAAGAAATGGAAGAACATTCCATGCTCATGGATAGGAAGAATCAATATCGTGAAAATAGTCATACTGCCCAAGGTAATTTATAAATTTAATGCCATCCCTATCAAGCTACCAATGACTTTCTTCACAGAATTGGAAAAAACTACTTTAAAGTTCATATGGAACCAAAAAAGAGCCTGCATTGCCAAGTCAATCCTAAGCCAAAAGAGCAATGATGGAGGCATCACGCTACCTGACTTCAAACCATACTACAAGGCTACAGTAACCAAAACAGCATGATACTGGTGCCAAAACAGAGATACAGACCAATGGAACAGAACAGAGCCCTCAGAAATAATACCACACATCTACAACCATCTGATCTTTGACAAACCTGAGAAAAACAATTAATGGGGAAAGGATTCCCTATTTAATAAATGGTGCTGGGAAAACTGGCTAGCCATATGTAGAAAGCTTACACCTTATACAAAAATTAATTCAAGGTGGATTAAAGACTTAAATGTTAGACCTAAAACCATAAAAACCCTAGAAGAAAACCCAGGCAATACCATTCAGGACATAGGCATCGGCAAGGACTTCATGTCTAAAACACCAAAAGCAATTGCAACAAAAGCCAAAATTGACAAATGGGATCTAATTAAACTAAAGAGCTTCTGCACAGCAAAAGAAACTACCATCAGAGTGAACAGGCAACCTAGAGAATGGGAGAAAATTTTTGCGATCTACTCATCTGACAAACGGCTAATATCCAGAATCTACAAAGAACTCAGACAAATTTACAAGAAAAAAACAAACAACCCCATCAAAAAGTAGGTGACGTATATGAACAGACACTTCTCAAAAGAAGACATTTATGCAGCCAAAAGACACATGAAAAAATGCTCATCATCACTGGCCATCAGAGAAATGCAAATCAAAACCACAATGAGATACCATCTCACACCAGTTAGAATGGCGATCATTAAAAAGGAAACAACAGGTGCTGGAGAGGATGTGGAGAAATAGGAACGCTTTTACACTGTTGGTGGGACTATAAACCAGTTCAACTGTTGTGGAAGACAGTATGGCAATTCCTCAAGGATCTAGAACTAGAAATACCATTTGACCCAGCCATCCCATTACTGGGTATATACCCAAAGGGTTATAAATCATGCTGTTGTAAAGACACATGCACACGTATGTTTACTGTGGCACTATTCGCAATAGCAAAGACTTGGAACCAACCCAAATGTCCATCAATGATAGACTGGCTTAAGAAAATGTGGCACATATACACCGTGGAATACTATGCAGCCCTAAAAAAGAAAGAGTTCATGTCCTTTGTAGGGACATGGATGAAGCTGGAAACCATCACTTTCAGCAAACTATCACAAGGACAAAAAACCAAACACCCCATGTTCTCACTCATAGGTGGGAATTGAACAATGGGAACACTTGGACACAAGAAGGGGAACATCACACACTGGGGCCTGTGGGGTAGGAGGAGGGGGGAGGGATAGCATTAGGAGATATACCTAATGTAAATGACGAGTTAATGGGTGCAGCACACCAACATGTCACATGTATACATATGTAAGAAACCTACACGTTGTGCACGTGTACCCTAGAACTTAAAGTATAATTTAAAAATATATAAATTTAACATGGAGTTTCCTTGGAACAGGCCTTCTTGAAAAGGGACAGTCAGAAACCAGTGATCCCTCTAACAGTTAAAAAAATATGGATGTGCATTTAAAAATTTTTACTATTAGAGAAGCCATGCTTTTCATAGTCTAGTATGGTACATGCTTTTCTTGAATTTTCTATTTCAACCAAATTAGATTTTAGATACATAGTATTTGCTACCTTGCTTATAGAGTATGCAGTAATATTTTTAACAATTGGAGATACAAGGATGAGAAAAAATACCTCCATACAGATTGAACAAATACATTGTAGGTAGCATGAAAATGCTGACACATTAGACAGAAAAAGTGGAACTTCTAAAAGTTCAAACTTGAAGAGTGTTAAATACATATTTACATCAGAATTGTTCTTTAGAAGTATATATCATTATGTGAATGAATTATTCAAAAATACATGAAATAAATTTATTATAGGGAGTATTATTTTAGTTAAGCATAGAACATACAATTATTTTCTGATCTAGAGCATACATGCTATAATTTAACATTATTTAATAACATGAATTCATGAGATAATCTTCATAACAAAGATTATACTGCGTGGATAATTAAATTATGGTGTTCTTGTATTTCTAAGCTGATTCATTTATAGGTACAATTATTTTGACTTTTGTTAAACTATAAAGAGAAGAAAAAGATTGACTTAAAGCTTTCAAAAGACAAAAAGACTTATATTCACTATTTTTTTCTCAAGAAGTCTGGCAAGTTATATAAGTGTAATTTTATTTTACAGAAGGTATATACATCATGTTACCTAGCCTATTTGCCCAGAAGCAATAATACCAGTGCTTCAATGAAATATCATTCCTCATTTCCTCTGATTAAATATCTTGGTCCTCTAATGTTTTATTGATATATTTTATGTTTTTCTCGATGCTCCATGTATAAATTTTTCTATTTTAGAATACATTGTGGTAAACTACATTTTGACATTTTACACAACCAGATAAGCCAAAAGTTAGAGTGAATTGAAGTTTTACTGTGGTGATTGTTTATAATTATAATTGTATATGTATTATGTATATGTAATGTATTATGTTAATATGTATACATATGTATTACAATATATAATTGATTATAATTTTTGATTATAATTTAAAACAAGTGTTCACTAAAGAAATGATTCGGTACTTGTTGATAATATTAAAATTGAAGCAGGACAGTTGAAAACATACAGAGCATATTAATTCTACCACATAGAGGTCAAATAAGCATTTTCATGATTGTAAGTATAGAATGTACATCATAAAAATGATGCTAAATTATTTATATAAAAATAATATTTTCTTTGGAAATAACAATGACAAAAATATATATCTGGAAGAAACAAAAGTAGCTGAGGTCTGTATCTGCAAATATTACAAGAAAGTTGAAAAACCCTACATTGCTGTGTCCAAACAGCTCATAATCCAGCTTCAGTCACTGGAGCAAGATACAGACACTGCCTATGGCGTTGATTTTCTGTTCTGCTCCAACTCTTAGAGAGCAGTCGTGTTAATTAAAAATTCTGAAATATCATAAGCATGTCTAGAAATCACAGAAAGACTAAAGACAGATTTAATTGTATTTGATAATGAAGTCATAGTCCTTGGTTAAGATAAACTAGGTTTGCTACAAATGTTCATGGAATATGGAGGACTTCCATGGTCACTATCAGGGCAAATATTTGGGATTATACCAATAAGAACAATACTGGCAAATTTGTTAATTTCTGTCTCACGAGAAAATCTGGTCAGCAGAGATGTTTGCTTTCAATTGAGAACTTAGAATTGGTATGTTTGCCTTAGGGAGACAGGAAAAGCGAGATAGAAAGTTGCTTATACCCCCAAAGAAACAGATAATCCACACGTCTAGCTACTGGCAAAATATGTTCAGCCAAACACACCCAAACTGGCCCCACAACTGTGAGAAGCAAATATAAGTAAATAGTATAATATAGGATGTTTATTCACAGAAATGCTAACAGAGGATCACAAATACCGTTAAACTTATATCATATCTTTGGAATTGGGTATGTTGTAGTTGGAAGAATAGGGAAGGCGCACCAGTTCTGCAAAACTCAAATATTTTGCTGATAGTGAGAAAACACTTGGCTTTAATGGCCCCTTCAGTTATCACAGTAGATCCAAGCAATTATTTAATTTTTTGGACACTGCATGCCACGAGCTATAGGCCGTTAATTGTACTCACTGCCATTAGCCTTTTCAGGACAGAGAAGCAATGCAAAATTCTACCCATTACCCTGAGAGTCAGTTGCCTACAATCATTTCTGGTAAAATGTCTCTATGATTCATAGTTTCTAATTTCAAGAAACAAAAACCGTATCTGGATAGTACAATTCAATAAAAATATACTAAGTTCCTCTAGGAATCCCAGCCAGCATCTGAAAACCAGTCTTGGAGGGTGAACAGGCAGGAAAAAAAATGTTCACATCTTCCCTCAGAACCATTTGAAGTTCTCACTGGCTGCCACCATTAGACAGTAACAGTGGGCCTTGCTCCAACAATACCATCAATGCCAAGTCTGTGCACTTCCACAAATGGGACTAGGGAAATTGCATGTGGTTGCCTCAGTTGCCCTCCTTCCTCTGTCATAAAATATACTACGTGGTTCCTCTTTTCTGTATATGTGGAGATATTTTGTTTTCACCTTTTTTCCTTCTCTTTATCCTCCTCTTCTCTGTTTTCACTTACTTCTCTTCATTTTTTCTTCATTTTCTCCTCCTGTTTTTTCTGCCTTTATGCTTCCTCCTCTTCCTCTTTCTCTAGATCTCCTTTTTCTCTTTATTTCTCTTCATTGTCTTCTTCCTTGTTTAATTAAAAATCTAAGAGACCACTTGATTTCCCAAGCCCCATATTCAGGAATGGCAGAAAAAGCTTATATCTGAACTTTACAGTTTGTTTAATGGAAGGTAGGATCTATCATAAGAGGCGGAGGATTTCTAAACACAGGTTTAGGATAGACATAATGAGTAGTTAAATGTAATGATGGATATCTACTCCATCAGTAGTTCCATTCCTTAATAATTACCCCCCCACACAAAAACCCTCCTGTAATGTGAACCAAACTGTTACATATTTATTGCAGCATTAGTTGCAACTTAGAAAATAAGAAAGGAAAGAAAGAACAGAAGAAGGAAAATAAAGAAAGAAGGAAAAGAAAGGAAGAAAGAAAGAAAGAGAAAGGAAGGAAGGAGGAAAGGAAGGAGGAAAGGAAGGAAGGAAGGAAAGAAAGGGATCACTAACAGATAATGAAATAAATCATGAAATGACCATATTATGGATTACCATGTTGCAACTCAGATCAGTCATATTATGGAAAAATGTACCAAACATTTATAGAATAACAAATGGGTTTCTGAATGTAATACATATTTTTGATCTAGTTGTCAAGTAAAGATTTTTAAAAATGATTTATTTTAAAAGTATCTTTATAGTTCTACCATGTATTTTACTTCATTATGGATATATTTCCATTTCTACTATACATTTTACTTTTATGAATATATATTTAAAAAGAGAAACCAATTAGAAAGATAAAAATGACAGTGCAATTTTTAGGTCCTTTTAGGCAAGGTAAGCAATATTTTCCTTTTTTTAAATTCCTAAAACTTTTTTGTTGTTAATATTATTATTTCAATAGTTTTGGGAAACAGGTGGTATTTGGTTACATAGCTAAGTTCTTTAGTGATGATTTCCGAGATTTTGATGCACCCATCACCAGAGCAGTGTACACTGTACCCAATGTGTAGTCTTTTATCTCTCACCCCCTTCCCACCCTTTCCTTCAAGTCCCCAGAGTTTATTATATTATTCTTGGGTCTTTGCGTCCTCATAGATTAGCTCCCACTTATAACTGAGAACATATGATGTTTGGTTTTCTATTCTTGAATTACTTCACTTAAAATAATGGTCTCCAACTTCATCCAGGTTGCTGCGAATGCCATTATTTCATTCTGTTTTTTGGCTGAGTAGTATTTCATTTTTTTTAACTATGTCTATTTTTGCAGGAGTAAGGTGGTATTGTATTGTGGTTTTGATTTCCATTTCCTTGATCGCTATTGATGTTTAGCATTTTTTTTTCACATGTTTGTTGGCCATTTGTGTATCTTCTTTTGAGAATTGTCTATTCATGTCCTTAGCTCACTTTTTGAAGGGATTATTTTTTTTCTTGCTGATTTGTTTGATTTCCTTGTAGATTCTGAATATTAGCCATTTGTAAGAAGCATAGTTTGTGAAGATTTTTTTCCCACTCTGTGGGCTACCCGTTTACTCTGCTGATTATTTCTTTTGCTGTGCAGAAGCTTTTTAGTTTAATTAAGTCCCATCTATTTTTCTTTGTTTTTGTTATATTTGCTTTTGGGTTCTTGGTCATAAACTCCTTGCCTAAGCCAATGTCTAGAACAGTTTTTCTAATGTTATCTTCTAGAATTTTTATGGTTTCAGGTCTTTGATTTAAGTCTTTGATCCATCTTGAGTTGATTTTTGTATGAGATGAGAGAGAGGATCCAGTTTCATTCTTCTACATGTGACTTGCCAGTTATCCCAGCACCATTTGTTGTTTTTTCCCCACTTTATGTTTTTGTTTGCCTTGTTAAAGATCAGTTGGCTTTAAGTATTTGGCTTTATTTCTAGGTTTTCTATTTTGTTCCATTGGTCTATGTGCCTGCTTTTATATCAGTGCCATGATGTTTTGGTAACTATAGCCTTGTAGTATTGTTTGAAGTTAAATAACGTGATGCCTCCAGATTTGTTCTTTTTGCTTAGTCTTTCTTTGGCTATGCAGACTCTTTTTGGTTCCATGTGTATTTTAGGATTGTATTTTTTAGTTCTATGAAGAATGATGATGGTATTTTGATGGGAATTCATTAAAATTATAGATTCCTTTTGGCAGTGTGGTCATTTTCACAATGCTGATTCTAGCCATCCATGAGCATGAGCTGTTTCCATTTGTTTGTGTCATTGATGATTTATTTCAGCAGTGTTTTGTAACTTTCCTTATAGAGATCTTTCACCTCTTTGGTTAGGTATATTCCTAAGTATTTTATTTTTCTTGCAGCTATTGTAAAAGTGGTTGAGTTCTTGATTTGATTCCCAACTTGGTCACTGTTGCTGTATGGCATTGCTACTGATTTGTGTACAGTGATTTTGTATCCTGATACTTTACTGAATTTATTTATCAGCTCTAGAAGCTTTTCGGATGAGTCTTTAGGGTTTTCTAGGTATATAATCATATCATTGGCGAACAGCAACAGTTTGACTTTCCCTTTACTGATTTAGATGCCCTTTTTTTCTTTCTCTTGTCTGATTGCTCTGGCTAATACTTCCAGTACTTTGTTGAATAGAAGTGGTGAAAGTGGGCATCCTTGTCTTGTTTCAGTTCTTGGGGGGAATACTATCAACTTTTCTACATTTAGTATAATATTGAGTGTGGGTTTCTCATAGATGGCTTTTATTGCCTTAAAGTATGTCCCTTCTATGCCGATTTTGCTAAGGGTTTTAATCATAAAGAGATGCTGGATTTTATCAATGCTTTTTGTACACTATTGAGATGATCATATAATTTTGTTATTAATTCTGTTCATGTGGTGTATCACATTTTTTGACTTCATATGTTAAATAATCCCTGCATCCCTGATATGAAACCTACTTGATCATGGTGGATAATCTTTTTGATATGCTGTTGAATTTATTTAGCTAGTTTTTTGTTGAGGATTCTTGCATCTATGTTCATCACTGCTATTAGTCTGTAGTTGTTTTTTTTTTAATGTCCTTTCCTGGGTTTTGTATTAGGGTGATACTGGATTCATAGAATGATTTACGAGAGATTACCTCTTACTCTATCTTTTGGAAGAGTTTCAGTAGGATTGGTACCTACTGAAACATGCAATGGTATCACCATTGCATGTCTGATAGAATTCAGCTGTGAATCCCTCTGGTCCTGGACTTTTTTTGTTGACAAGTTTTTTTTTTTTATTATTATTATTACTGTTTTAATCTTGCTACTTGTTATTGGTCTGTTCAGAGTTTCTGTTTCTTCTGGTTTAATCTTGGAGGGTTGTGTATTTTCAGGAATTTATCCATCTCTTCTAGGTTTTCCAGTTTGTGTAAATAAGGTGTTTATAATAGCCTTAAATTATCCTTTGTATTTATGTGGTATTGATGATAATATCTCCCATTTTGTTTTTAATTGAGTTTATTTGGATCTTCTCTCTTCTTTTCTTGATTAATCTCACTATTTATCTATTTTGTTTATCGTTTCAAAGAACCGGCTTTTGGGACCACTTATCTTTTGTAGTTTTTGCTTCAATTTCATTAATTCTGCTCTGAGATATGTTAATTTTCTTCTGCTGGGTATCTGTTTGGTTTCCTCTTGCTTCTCTGGTTCCTTGAGGTGTGAGCTTAGATTTTCTATTTGTTCGCTTTCAGACTTTTTGATGTAGACATTTAATGCTATGAACTTTCCTCTTAGCACTGCTTTTGCTGTATCCCAGAGTTTTTCTTAGGTTGTGTCACTATTATCATTTAGTTCAAATAATTTTTAAATTTCCATTTTTATTTCATTGTTGACCCAAAGATCAATCAGGAGCAGATTACTTAATTTCCATCTATTTTTCTAGTTTTGTGTGTTCCTTTTGGAGTTAATTTCTAATTTTATTCCACTGTGGTCTGAGAGAGTACTTGGTATAATTTCAATGTTTTAAAATGTATTGAGACTTTTTTTGTGGCCTATCATATGGTCTCTCTTGGAGAATGTTCCAAGTGCTGATAAAAACAATGTATATTCTGCAGTTTTTGGGTAGAATGTTCTGTAAATGTCTGTTAAGGCCATTTGTTCTAGTGTATAGTGTAGATCCATTGTTTCTTTTTTCTTTTTCTTTTTCTTTTTCTTTTTTTTTTTTTTTTTTTTTTTTTTGAGATGGAGTCTCACTCTGTTGCCCAGGCTGGAGTGCAGTGGCACAATCTCGGCTCACTGCAAGCTCCATCTCCCAAGTTCATGCCATTCTCCCACCTCAGCCTCCTGAGTAGCTGGAAATACAGGTGCCCTCAACCACACCCAGCTAATTTTGTTTTTGTATTTTTAGTAGAGACAGGGTTTTACCGAGTTAGCCAGGATGGTCTCGATCTCCTGAACTTGTGATCCACCCACCTTGGCCTCCCAAAGTGCTGGGATTACTGGCATGAACCACCGCACCAGGCCATGTAGATCCTTTGTTTCTTCGTTGACTTTCTGTCTTGATGACCTGTGTAGTGCTGTCAATGGAGTATTGAAGTCCCCCACTATTACTGTGTTGCCATCTATCTCATTTCTCAGGTCCAGTAGTAATTGTTTCATAAATTTGGGATCCCCAGTGTTAGGTGCATATGTATTTAGGATTGTAATACTTTCCTTTTGGGAAAATGTTGTTATCATTATATAATGTCTCTCTTTGTCTCTTTTAACTATTGTTGCATTAAAGTCTGTTTTGTCTGATATAAGAATAGTTACTTTTGCTCACTTTTTTCAATTTGCATAGAAAATCTTTTTCTATCCCTTTACATTAAGTTTATTTGAGTCCTTCTGTGTTAGTTGAGTTTCTTGAAGACAGCAGATATTTGGTTGGTGGATGTTTATCCACTCTGCTACTCTGTATTTTTTAAGTGGAGCATTTACGCCATTTACATTTAATGCTAGTACTAAGATGTCAGGTACTGTTCCATTTATCATGCTAGCTGTTGCCTGAATACCCTGTTTTTATTTTTAATTGTGTTATAGTATTATAGGCCCTGTGAGACTTATGCTTTAAAGAGGTTCTATTTTGGTGTATTCCAAGTTTTGTTTCAAGATTTAGAATTCCTTTTAGTAGTTTTTGTAGTGCTGACTTGGTAGTGGCAAATTCTCTCAACATTTGTTTGTCTGAAAAAGATTTTATCTATCCTTCATTTATGAAGCTTAGCATTGCTGGATACAAAATTATTGGCTCATAATTACTTTGTTTAAGGAGGCTAAATATAGGACTGCAATTCCTTCTTGCTTATAGGGTGTCTGCTGAAAAATCTGCTATTAATGTTACAGGTTTTTCTTTATAGGTTACCCGATGCTCGCACCTCACAGCTCTTAAGATTATTTTCTTTGTCTTGACTTTAGATAACCTGATGACTATGTGTCTAGGTGATGATTCTTTTTGGAATTAATTTCACAGGTATTCTTTGAGCTTCTTTAATTTGGATGTTAGATCTCTAGCAATCCAGGAACAATTTCCTTGACTATTTCCTCAAACACGTTTTCCAAACTTTTAGATTTCTAATTTTTCTAGGAACACCAATTCTTCTTACATTTGTTCATTTTACATAATCCCAAATTTCTTGGTGGTTTTGTTCATTTCTTTTTAATCTTTTTTTCTTTGTATTTGTCAGATTGGGTTAATTAGAAAGCCTGTTTCTAGCTCTTATGGTTTTCTTCTACTTGTTCTAGTCTATTGTTGAAACGTTCCATGTATTTTGTATTTCTTTAAGTGTGTCTTTCATTTCCAGTAGTTATGATTGTCTTCTCTTTATGATAACTATTTCTCTGGAGACTTTTGGATCCATATCCTGTATTTTTTAATTTCCTTAAGTTCATTTCACCTTTCTCTGGTATCACCTTGATTAGCTTAATAATTAACCTTCTGAACTCTTCATTTGGAAATCCAGAGATTTCTTCCTGGTTTGGATCCATTGCTGGAGAGCTAGTGTGATCTTTTGGTGGTTTTATAGAACCTTGTTTTGGCATACAACCAGAATTACTCATGTGGTTTCTTCTCAATTGGGTAGACTGGTTCAGTGGAAAAATCTGGAACTCAAGGGCTGCTGTTCAGATTCTTTTGTCCCACGGGGTGATCCCTTGATGTGGTTCTCTTCCCCCTTCCCTATGGATGGGGCTTCCTGAAAGCTAGACTAGAGTGATTGTTATTGCCCTTCTGGGTCTTGCCACCCAGCATGGCTACTGGGCTCTGGGCTGGTGCTGGGGAATGTCTGCAACTAGTCCTGTGATGTGATCTGTCTTCAAGTCTCCCAGATGTGGATACCAACACCTGCTCCAGTGCAGATGTCAGGGGAGTTAAGTGGACCTTGTGGGAGTCCTTGATTATAGTAGTATTGTTGAGTGCATTGGTTTTCTTGAATGCTTCTTATACTAGCAGTGAAGTTGTCACATGGACAGACTCAGGACCTCTGGTTAGCCAAGATGTTGCAGGCAGTGGAATTAGCTGTTGTTTTCTCATTCTTTGAATAAAGGTGTTTTTTTTTTTTTTTTTTTTTTATGAGTTTCTGAGTTGGTTGGCCTCCAGTCCGGAGGTGGCACTTTCAAGAGATCACCAGCTGCAATAGTAGAAGGTGGATATAAGCTTGCCTTATGTTGCCCAGGATAAGTATTACGGTTTCTCAGGCAATAGGCAGGGCCATAGAGCTCCCAAGAGTTTATGTTTTTGTCTGTGGCTACCAGGGCCATTAGAGAAAAACCATCAGGTGGGGGCAGGTTTAGGCAGGTCTGAGCTCAGACTGTCCTTGGGCAGGGCTTGCTATGCCCACTGTGGGGGATGGGTTTGGTTCTTAGGTCAATGGAGCTATGTTCCAAGGGGGGTTATGGCTGCCTCTGATGTGTCATACAGGTCACCACGGAAGTGGGGGAAAGCAAGCAGTGACAAACCTCATCCAGCTCCCATGCAACCAGCAAAGCCAGTCTCACTCCTGCTGTGTTCCGCCAACAGCCCTGAGTTTATATGCAGGCAGCCTGCACAAAAGGCTGAGATCTTGCTGCAGGCTACAAGTCTCTCCTCTTGAGAAAGCAAGCAGGCTCTCAGACCTCTCCTGCTGGCTGCAGCTCCTGTGCTTATATCTGCACTTGTCATTTGCTCCCCTGGATTCTGCTCAGGAAAATTCACGCTCAATCAAAATATTACAAGTTCAGCTAGAAGTTTCCTTTACCCTGTGGCTTCTCCCCAGTTCTGCTGAGTACCTTCCCCTAGGACCCTTTTGAGGTAAAGCCAGGGATGGCTTCCCTTGGTTCAAGCTGGGGACTGGGAGTTCCTACAGGGCTCTTCCCACTGCTTCTTCTGATTTTATATTTTGCTTGGCTCCCTAAATCCATTTCAGCTCTAGGTAAAATTAAATTCTTCTCCCATGATCTGAATTTTCAGGTTCCCCAATAGGGATATGTGTTCAGAGGCATACTTTTCCCCCTCTCGCACTTTGGGAACTCCGTTTTTCATCTGTCTCACAGACTTTGCAGCAGCAAGCCACTACTTTTGAAGGGTCTGTGAATTATTTTGGTTTTCTTGGTATGTTCCTGTGGTGGTTCTTGGAGTAAAAGTTCATGATGTGAGTCTCCACATGCTGTTCTGTCCATCCGAGTGGGAACTGCATGTTAGTCCTGTCTCCTGTCCATTATTTTCCCCTTGAGTGGTAGGAAATTTTCTTCTGTTAAGGGCTAAATAGCAAATAATTTTAGTTCTATTGCAAAAATATTCACTTGTCACAACTACTGGAATTTTCTCCTTGCGTAAAGAAAGCAACCATGGACAATATATAAATGAGTAACAATGACTTTGTTCCAAAAAAACTTTATTTACAAAAGTAGGCAGAGGCTGGGCTTGGCCCAAGGACCTTAGTGTGCTGACCTCTGAAGTACAGCATCAACAAACTAAAAAGGAAAAGTCCTGAGGATGTAATACTGGGCAATTTTACCAAAATAAAAAACCTATATTTGCATATCAATAGAAAATTATTTTATAAGTGAAGTTAATACATAGAGGAAAATACTATATATGATGGTTATATTCTTAGGAATTCCACCAAATGTTTATAGAAATTATTGTAGAATATAGGGTTACAGGTTTCATCTTTTCTTTGTATTTTTCTGGTAATTCAAAGGTTTTATGGATTTGTTTTCCTGTGAGCTTATATCAGCTTTTAAATCAATATGCTTTTCTCTTTAAAAAGATATAACATTTATTAATTTTGCCTAAATTGAATGCCAAATACTAGAATTCATAACTTATGTAGGTTCTAGTTGCTGTATATCAAGTATTTTTCTTCCTTCATATCTGTTAGAATTATAAAATAATATATACATTTACATCCATAAGCATTTGCTAAATACATGCAGTGAGCTAATTATGGAGTCAATGGATTAGTCTAGCCAGAATGATATTTCTGCTGTGTGCAGAGGCTCACACATGTAATCCCAGCACTTTGGGAGGCCGAGGCAGGAGGACAGCTTTAGTCCAGGAGTTCGAGACCAGCCTGGGCAATATGGCAAGAACTCATCTCTACAAAATGGTTTAAAAATCAGCCAACCATGGCAGCGCACACCTGTGGTTCCATCTACTGAGAAGGCTGAGGTGGGAGAATGACTTGAGCCCATGAGGTCAAGTCTGCAGTGAGCCGTGTTCATGCCACTGCACTCCAGGCTGAGTGACAGAGTGAGATATAAATAGTAACATGCAAAATTTATGCAAACTGAAATGCTTTATAATTAATTCTTGCTATAAGATGGTATCTTCCCATTCTCAGTAAGACTGTGTTTTTATTTTTTAAGTTATCATCCGAATTTTCACCAATCTTTGCCCCCTTTGATGAGTCATTGCAAGGGGACTTGTTTAAGGCTTTTAAATAGAATCTTACTATTAGTCTTTGGAGGAAATGTAAAGCTGATACATTATGTTACACAGCTCTCTTCTCTGAACCACAACTCTTTTTTTTATATCTTTCTTTAGGAAGCAGGAGGACATTTACTGTAATCTTTGTTTTCACTTACAGAATAAGAGTTGCATATGTGGCTAACATATGCAAAGTTAACAATCCTGAAATACTTTAAATGGAGTCCCTTATATAATGGCCCTTCATATAATGGTAGTTATTTTGATATGTTTATCTATGACTTCCCAGGTACTTCTCTTATTTTCTATCACAATGGTGATATTGTGAAAATAGAAATCAATGTGGTTCACAGCTCTTACATGTGGAAAGTGAATGAATATTCATGTCAATTATTAAAATCAGCAATTTAAACAAATTTATTTCCATTCATTCAGTATATTTAGCCATCTTATTTTTCATATTTGTCTAATAAATTATTATAGAAATAGTATCACATATAGTTTAATCTAATTAAGAAATAATGTTAAACTTAACATTCATGGAAAATAAAATACATATCATATAATGACTCAGGACAATAGAAGTCCAATTCTGACTCGCCTAAAGTAAAAGTATAGGCATTTCTAGTTGTCAGGCAATGTAATAATTCACAGACACTGGGTTTTTCATCTGTGGGGCCTTTATCTTTTTGTTGTTGTTATTGTTAGAGATGGGGTCTTGCTCTGTTACCTATGCTGGAGTGCTATGGCACAATCATAGCTCACCGTAACCTTGAACTCCTGGGCTCAAGCAAACATCCCACCTCAGACTCCAAAACTGTTGGGATTACAGGTATGAGCCACCAAGACCAATCTTTATGTGGATCTCAGAACACATTGGATGTGATCTGAGAACACTCCCCATCTTTTAACATGTGATTTTAAATTTAAATGGTTGTTAGTGAGTCAGAGGTAGGAAAAGCATAAGTAGTTTCAGTACACATTACTTCTGCTCATTTCCCATTAGGGAGGATTCAGTCATTTGGCCAAAACTAACTACAAAGGAGGCTGGAAAATGAAGTCCAACTCTCCATGACGAAGACAAAATGGGCTTGGTGAATAGCTAGATACTCTGAGAACATAGAATTTGTCATACAATAGTGACGGTAATGTGAACATCTTTTAAGTAAAGACTTTATACAATTAATAATATTAGGATGCTAACTTTGTAATCCATAATATTGTGTTTATATATTCTAATTCACAAAATAGGTGTGAGTTACTAGTCAGAACATAGACCTTGACATCATGTGCCCTTCCTGTTGGTGCAAGAGTTATGTTAAATACAATTTCAGAGCAAACTGAACTCAAGGAACACTTTATCAAAAATTATTTTTTTTTGTTCCTCTTTCTTAATCTAGATTTCTAACATTCTATGTTCTGTTTGGTTTCATGGATGTTGCAATAATGGCTTGAGTTTTAATAAAATAATTTGTTTTGTTAGCTAAAAGTGAACCTTTATTTAATGACACCAATCCATTAATATATTTCTATTTTTTAATTAACCAATATTGTTGCTTTCGTTCAAAGAAGCTGATTATGGAGAAGTGTTACAGGCCTTTAGTCAGAAAGGCAGCTGAAATCCAGAGTGTTCATTATAATACACAGTTTCAACCTCAGGCTATTCAAGCCAACATAAAAAGACAAATAAATAACAAGGAACTGATATTATTAACTAAAGCAACATTAACTTTGGTATTGATGAGATGTCAGGGAGAAGAGACACAGTCCAAGAAACTTGCATAATACTATTTTACTGTTTGATTCTCTATTGGAAGTGTTCTGAGATCCACATAGGGATTGTTCTGTCAATTTTCAAGCAATTCCATTATTGCAATGATTGAAGAGCCTCACTTTGGTAGAGGACAAACAGTGATCTTGTGTGTCTCAGTGCAATCTAATAATCATACAAATACAGTTTACATCTCTGTCAAAATTAGTTTTACTGATACCTCTCCCATATATCCTGAACAAAATGTTTCCTCAAACTCCAAAGGGAAAATAAGATTTCCACCCAATTGCACCTTGTGTTTTTTTCTCATATTATACATGGATAAACTGGAGGGCTAGGAAGAGAACAGAGAGAAGAAAAACATGTGTCTTTGTGTGGGTATTTACTCCTCATGGTGTCTTGTAAGTCAGTTAATTTGTCAATAGTTACTGAATGTCTTCTCTGAATCAGAACAGCATTAACCCCAGCAAAGCTCTTGGTCTCAAGGAACTTATACAGTATTCTAATGAAGAAAATTATCAATTAAGTATCTAAAAGAAAATAAAGTAGCACAAAGTTAGACTGTGTGAGGAGGTAGGGTCTAAGCAAATATCTCGAGACTGAGGCTCTACCTCTGAGACAACACTCTCCACAATCAACAATAAACTTATTTTACTTTTGGTTATTCTCTAGAAAAGAAAGAATAACTTAGAAATTAACATCAGCTAAATTAAAGTAGCTAACTAATGCCTGAGGGACATGTAGAAAATAAGAATGTGCATGTTAACCATCTAAATAGGAAAATATAATTGGGTGCTTTCAAAAACAGTAGGACCCCTTTCTGCTTCTGAGAAATGAATGATGGCATAACCACCTCCCTGTCCTGTCACCTCCACCCACAGTACACACTCTAGCAGTTTCCTTCCACCACACCATTTTCCTCCACATCTTATTTCCTCATGGCCCTGCCATTGCTACTTCCTCACCGTTATTTCTTTATCTCTTTCTGAGCCCTCCTAGTTCTTTCCACATAGATTTCCCTTTTCAGTACCTCTCCTCTCCCCAACCTAATGGTAAACTTTCACTAAAAGATCAGTTCTCAGAGGAAAGTAGCAGGAGGTGCCATTAGAGTTTTGTGTGTGTGTGTGTGTGTGTTTTGTTGTTGTTGTTTCCTTTTTCTTTCTGAAGACATGGAAATTCACCTAAGCCCTTGACTTTCAGCCTCCTGGCTCTCAAGCAGGGCTTGGTTTTTTAA
This sequence comes from Homo sapiens, assembly GCF_000001405.40. Classification (NCBI taxonomy): domain Eukaryota; kingdom Metazoa; phylum Chordata; class Mammalia; order Primates; family Hominidae; genus Homo; species Homo sapiens. Next base: position 191,428,126 of record NC_000001.11, on the reverse strand, counting down.
ACACACACACACACACACACACACACACACACACACACACACACTCCAAACAACAGCAACAACAAAATACACACAAAAGAGAGCAAGAGAGAGGAGATTTTGGTACAAAAAATGATAGTGATGCAGGGCAGTTGCAAAATGGGGATATAAGAGGGGGGTTGGGAGCCTTACCTGTGATCTCTGATGCCAGTGTAAATATCCCCAATCTAAGGGGTCAAGTGTACACAATCTGCCAGTATAAATTATCTGTTGATGTGTCAGAGATAGGAATTCTAGGTGAGGGTGATGATAAACATCTTTCCTCTCTCCCGCTTTACAAAGCTTGAAATCCATCTGAGAGTTATATATCATACTCCTAATCAGGACATCATGACATATTGCCTCCCTGGAGAGGATGCGTTGGGCAAACACAAAGATGCTATTTGTAAAGCAAATTTTCAGAGCCAGCTCAAGAAATGGAAAATACTCACCTAACTCGTGAGGTGCCTGTGATAATGTCCATATTACAGACAGGGAAAATGTGGCTCTCTGGGATAAAATATGGTTTTCAGTTATTTGAGTCCATGAACTAGAATTCCAAATCCACACCCTGTGAATAAAAATCTCATCTTTCTGTACAGGGGTATAATTGTTGAGTCTAACTGTCCTAGTTTTAAATCCTAACTTTGTTACTTACTGGTTATTTACCGTATGCAAGAAACTCAATCCTTCAACACCTGAATTTTCTTGCTTTTGAAAATTGGGGATAATGGAGCTTACCTTAAACTTTAAAACCTAGTTGTGAGCATTGTGAGAGGTTGATGATAGAAACACATGTAAACTCGTTGGCACATATAAAAAGAGTACAAAATATTTATTATTCTTAACATGTTTATATAAATTAGATGTCTCCATTAGATAGCATCTTAATGAAAAAAACACCAATTGAAAGTTGCCAATAGTTTGCTATCAGAATGTAGGTAAACTCAGGAATATGAACTTATTTTCTAAATATATGAAATGGCCCTTCCGATTTACACACAAATCAAGTTTTTCAGTTACTTTTTGCCCTGTGACTGAGTAAACTGAATAAATCATCACGTATGATAGCTCATGGATCTGTGGTTAGTTGGATGGGCTGGAGTGACTTCTCTAGGCCAGGTTGTTTTCTGCTGGGCTCACTCAAGCAAGGTTAGGGGCTCTGCTGTAGGTTGGGTTTGACCAGGAAAACTTCATAGGGTATCTTGGCTCTATTTGTGTTTCATCCTCTTCTGAAACCAACTGGCCAGTGTGAACACATCCTTTTCACGGCAGTGGCAGGAGTGCAAGAGAGCACATCAAATAGTACACCTACATTGTCAAATCTCTGCTTGCAACACATCTGCTAATGTCATATTAGCCAGAACATATCACAAAGACAAATGGACTTGAGGCTGATGGAGATATTTTCTGTTTCTTAAAAGGGGAAGCTTAACAAAGCAGTTAAAAGGGTATGGGCACAAGGGAAATTGAATAATCTATAGCAAGTAAACACTCTCTTGGGAAGAAAAGTGTAAAAATCTCTATTTGTGTTTAAGGATGAATTCATTCCCTTCCTCTTGGTAGAAGAGAAGTTTACTGTATTGTTGAATGTGTGCTGTGTGACCTTGGGCAAATTATTTAAACTTTTTATGTGATTTGGTAAAACAAAAATAATAAGAAGAACCATGGCATGGAGTTTCTTTGAGAATTGAAGAAGATAATCTATAAAACATGCTTAAAACGGGTCTGGCATATAGTAGGAAATCAATAAATGCTTATTACTAGTTGGACCTGGTCAATAAAAATTAATTTTACATGAAATTTTCCGGAAAACACGGATAATCCAACTCCAGCCTCTCAAATTTTGGGGTCCCGGACTATTAGAACTTGTAATTTGTTGAGATGTTTCCTACACCAAAATCCACAGGTTCATTAGTTTACATATGTAGTAATGTTCTGGGTGAAAATGTCAGAGGATATTATTGTAATGCAAGTGCAATAATTTGGAACTGTAAACACAGAGCATGCCTGTCCTTGGATAAGACTGAGAAATTTGGGAAAATTTCTCTCAAAATAGTACTCTGGTCTAGGTAGAATGCTTCGTTAATACTTGTGGTTAAAAATATTTAATAAAGCATAAGATCATGGGGATTTTTAACCACCACAGATGAGTGTTACATTGTGAATAAGACATGTTTCCTCACCCTTTAAGACTGTAAAACATTACTAGAAGACCAACCGGACACTCATGACAACGGTCGATAGGGACAGTATTAAAGTTGATACCAGCAGATACATGGGAAGCCTGTGTTTTGCCTGTGGGCTCTTAGAAGCAGGACTCACCTTTCTTAATTGAGTAAGCCTCCAAGTTTCTAGGGCAATTAGTGGGGAGAGATACCATTTTTTTCCCATGTAAGTATCTATGTTTCAGAAGAATTTGTTGAAAAGGTTATCATTTCTCACTGAATTTTGTGGCATCTTTTTTTTTTTTTTTTTTGAGACGGAGTCTCGCTCTGCCGCCCAGGCCGGAGTGCAGTGGCACGATCTCGGCTCACTGCAAGCTCCGCCTCCCGGGTTCACGCCATTCTCCTGCCTCAGCCTCCCGAGTAGCTGGGACCACAGGCGCCTGCCACCACGCGCGGCTGATTTTTTTGTATTTTTAATACAGACGGGGTTTCACCGTGTTAGCCAGGATGGTCTCGATCTCCTGACCTCGTGATCCACCCACCTCGGCCTCTTGGCCAAAGTGCTGGGATTACAGGCGTGAGCCACCGCGCCCGGCCTCTTCTGACATCTTTAAAAACACACACACATACCCTGATATCACACTGTTTTAATTTGTATTATTGTAAGTCTTAAAATTGGGTAGTGTAAATCCTATAACTTTTTAATTATTGTTTTGATTATTCTGATAATGTGCATTCCAGTATACATTTTAGAATCAGCTTATTGAACTCTGCAGACAACCTGATGGAAATATGAGTTATACTTTGCTAAATGTGTCAATTAATTCAAGGAAAATCAACAACTTATAAAATTAAGTCATTTCAGTGCATGAACATGATATATCTAGGCAAATATTAAGGTGTTCAACCTTCTTTCTGTGATGCTGTGATGTTTTCAGTGTAGAGATCTGGCACAGATGTTGTTAAACCTGTGAACATTTTATATATTTTCATGCAACTGTAAATGGAATTATTTTTATTTCCAAGTTTATTTTGACAACTTTGAAATGCAACTGGTTATGTGTTTTACAACCTGCTAAATACTTATTTCAAATAGCTTTTTTGTGGATTCCTTAAAATTGTCTATGAACAAATCAGGTGGGGTCAAATAATAATAGCTTTAACTTTTTTTTAAATTGGTATATTTCATTTATTTAAGTATTTTTAAATTTTTTAAATGGGTAAGACCTCCATTATAATGCAATACAGAAGCAGTGAAAAATGCCCATTCCTGTCTTGGGCCAAATCTTGGGAGTGTGATGGGGTAGGGAAATTGCCCTTTCACTATTTCATGATGTGATCTTTAGTTTTTTTTATAGGTGATTTTATCAGCTGAGAAAGTTCCTTTCTTAGAGTAATTTGCTGAAAGGTTCAATTTATCATAAATAGGTGTAAAAGTTTTAAAATGAATCTCCTGAAATTATCACTTGATATTTCTCCTTTTCCTATTAATATGGTAAATTAACATTGATTAATTGATTTTAAATAAAAAGAAAACTGCATTCCATAAACTCCTTATCTTATGACACATCATTCACTTTATAATTGATGGGCTCTGACAACTATCCTATTGCTATTAATAATACTTTTGGACATCAATGTTTATGAGGGATATTGGCTTATAGATTTACTTTTCTTTTAAGATAGTGCTTGAAGGTGGGAGGGGAAAAAAGACACTGATACTGGTATTAGGGACTTACTGTCCTCATAAAATGAGTTGAGAAAGGCCCCACCTTCTGTATTTCCTGAGCAATTCTGTGGAGAGTTAGTGTTATTTTTTTCCCATAAATGTAACAGAATAAGTCAGTGGATTTGTATAAGGCCGGTGTTGTGTCTGTGGAAAGATTTTAAATTTTTATAGTTTCTTCAATAGAGATAAAACTAATCAGATCTTTATTTTATTTTTATAACATTTTTGGTAATTTTTGTGTTTTACAGGATCTGACAATTTTATCTATGTTGTTGAATTGACTGACATAGAGTTTTGTATAATATTTCCTTATTATTGTATTGATAGCTTTAAAATTTCTGTTTATTTCTGTTATTGAAAATTCCATTCCATTTTCTTATTACTTTCATTTTTTCTCTTAGGAGTCAGTTATCTATTGAATGTTTCTACTTTGAACATCGTCTGTCTTAATCACTATGTAATTTCAAGATTTTACCTTTTAAAAATTGTTTTATTTTTAAACATTTTGGGTATATAATAGTAAATTTATGAGGTACACGTGATATTTTGATACAGGCATACAATTTTTTTAAATAGTTGTTACTATGACGTTACCTGGTACGTTTTACTCTTTATTTGTCCCGTTTAAGATTCATAGTGCCTTTTGAAAAAGTATAGTTAAAGAATTTTCATAAGTTCTGAATCTGTCTTACTTATTAGGTATTAAAATGTGTCCTGTGTCCTATTGTCTGAGTCCTATTTCTTTGACTCCAATTAAATGTCCGCCATTAATCTTACCTCTTTCTACTTTGTCTGAATTCTTGTTCCTCTTTGACCACTCTTGATTTTTTTTCCTAACCTATGTACCAGTTCCTCATTTGTATCTCAGTCTGTGTCTTACATGTCATTAAACCTTCATTAAGTTCTTAATTTTATGTCTTTATTATAGAATTATCTTATTATGTTGGACAATTTTTTCTATTTCCTTATCAGAAATTTTGGTCCAAATTGTCTAGATCACCTTTGCCAAATTTAGAAGGCCAAAATAATTTTATGCTAGTAAATAATTTATATTTTTATAACTATATTTTCTAGCTATATAAATTATTCAGCTGACCTCTCACCCTTATTTAAGGCTCATTTATATCTCAGTGCCTATAATTTAAACCCACAAATAGACAGTGGGAGAGAAAATGTTGAGGAAAAGACCTGTTAATCCAGTTTATTTTTTATAGGTTTAACAAATAGTGCAATCTAGTTTATATATCAATTTCTTTACACTAGATAACTGTGGGAGAGTCTTCTTGGTTTCAACCAACTGGAGACCTAAACAACAACAGCAAAAAATAACTGTTTTCCTCCTTACAGTTCTAATAAGATATTATTCTATAGTGAATATTTTAAGAAAATGTCTATCCTCTGACCAACTGGGTAGCCTTCCTAAGAAATACTTCATCCTGTATAGCTTGGCAAACATCATTAGGTGAATCTTAATCAATAGAGGTAAATTTTACATTTTTGAGAGAGGTTACTTAATAACTTTATTATTTAATTAATATGCAGTGATCTGTTCAATTTTTCTTTTTCATATTATATGGCCAAAATTATTGTTGATGAAGTCCCATACAAATTATGTGGATGAGTCACTCTCTGTACATCCAGAAATAATGCTGTATACTAATTATTTGAATGAGGAATTGACCTTCCGCTATTCTCAGGATAAATGGAATTAAAATCACAAGGGAAAGAAGGTGTTAGGCCTACAAACAAAAATCAGAAGAGACCCATTAAGATAAGTCAAATTCATTTATTAACTTAGCAATTTATTTTGAAATTACTAGGCATTAGGGACTAATAAGCCAAAAGGAGGAAAAAAAGATGAAATCCAGACTCTGGGAGTTAACTCAACTAGTATTTAGAGGTTGTAGAGGAGCACTAGTTTTCAATTTTTTTTTTCAGGACTGCTTTGCAGTAAAAGATGGTTTGAATTTTCACCCGTATTAATATTTTTACGTTAATTCAGCTTCCAGCTTAATTAAAATTTTAGTAAAAGTTAATAATATTATAAATATAACCATATGTTAAAATAAAAGATATACTTCTACCTTTTCATGAATGAAATTGGGAGGGAGAGCAACAGACATGTTGCATTACAAAATTGGTAAGCTAAAAAGTTAGAATAGAGATGGAGAGCCCTTATAATTTAACAAGATAAAAAATAAGAAAAATGTAAAATTTTGTCCTTAAGTACAGAAAATAATACTTAATGAAAAAATAACTTAGAAGCAGAAATATAAAACAATAAGCACTAATGGTGATTTTTGCACTAAAGGAGTAACTTGACTGTCAACAATGCTAATGGAACCTAAACTGAAATAATATAAAGATATAGATAGTGAAGCCAATATGATTCTACTCTCTTGATTAGAATCACTAGAATCTTTTTTAATTTTGAAATTTTTATTTTAAGAAATCCATAAATGAGTCATATTGTTTCCATAGGATTTTGATCTGGATGACAAGAAGACTAGAAAATGAATCATATCATATAAGAAATTTTAGGAAGAAGTGTGCATTTTTGCCTGAATAAGACATAAGTATTTGAAGGTCTCCTATGCAGAACAGGGGTTTGGGCTTATTATCATGAAGAAGATACTGACAAGCTTGTCTAAAAATGGAGTGATTTTTTTCTGCCACTAAAGTTCAAGAAGAAGCTGAAGGAACTTTAGAAGTAATTTTAAAGAGGAGATTCAACTATATGATGAGATACTGAAATAGAAACTAGGTAAAAACTAGGTAACCTTAAAGGTTCCTTCTAATCAAGACAGTCTCTAATTTTTTTTTTTTTTTTTTTTGAGACGGAGTCTCGCTCTGTTGCCCAGGCTGGAGTGCAGTGGCGTGATCTTGGCTCACTGCAAGCACTGCCTCCCCGTTCAAGCCATTCTCCTGCCTCAGCCTCCCAAGTAGCTGGGACTACAGGCGACCGCCACCACGCCCGGCTAATTTTTTGTATTTTTAGTAGAGGTGGGGTTTCACCGTGTTAGCCAGGATGGTCTCGATCTCCTGACCTCATGATCCGCCCGCCTCTGCCTCCCAAAGTGCTGGGATTACAGGCAGAGCCACCGTGCCCGGCCGACATTCTCTAACTTTATGAAAACAATCTGGTAAATTCACTGTTGTCTTCATAAACTCTATTCTCATTTCTCATAGGCTAAGGGACGTTTGCATTTATCATATCCTTTATATCTTACATAGTCTTTATATAACTTTTTATATATTTATAAATGTGTGATTTATGGCTCAGATTTTTGGTCATAGTCTAAATTAATCTCATCTTAATGGCTTTATATTAGAATCAATATTTTTGTTTCAAAACTGGTCTTCTGAAACTTCTCCCAAGCTAACAACCACCCTAAGTTTAGAGAGAGTGGAGACACCATTGTAATTTTCAACTTGTGTTAGTTTCACAGAGCTCACATAACAAATTTTTACTAATCTGGTGGCTTAAAACAACAGAAATGTTTGGGAGGCAGAAGTGGGGGGATCACTTGAGGCCGAGGGTTTGAGACCAGCCTGATCAATATGGTAGAACCCTGTCCCTACTAAAAATAAAAAATAAAAAAAAAATAAAAAAAAAAAAGCTGGGCATGGAGATTGAGATTCGGGAGGTTGAGGCAAGAATTGCTTGAACCCAGAAAGTGGAGGTTGAAGTGAGCTGAGATCGCACCACTCCACTCCAGCGACTCTGTCCAAACAAACAAATAAACAAAAAAGGAAATTTATTCTCTTACATTACTAGAGACTAGAAGCTAGAAGTCTGAATTCAAGGTGTCAGCAGCGTCATGCTACCTCAGAAAACTCTAGGGCAACATCACTACTTGCCTCTTCTCTCTTCTTGTGGCCCCAGGTGTGCCTCTGCTTGTGGCAACATAATCCCAATCTCTACTTCTGTCTTCACATTGCCCTCCTCTCCCTATACAGTTTCTATGTGTACTCTTCTGTCTCTTATATAAGGGATACTCATTAGATTTATGGCCCACCCTAATCCATTACGACTTTATCTCAATCCTTACCTAAAGTGCACCTGTAAAGGCCCTGTTTCCAAATAAAGTCATATTCTGAGGTTCTGGGTGAAGATGAATTTTGAGAAGCACTATTCAACCCACTGCTCTACTGAGACAGGAAATGAAACACTTATGCTTTGCATTTCAGCAGGGGCTTACACTTTACATCTGTCCTCTTATGTGATGAATATTAAGTATCTTTACTAAAGAAACAATGTAAGACTTGTAATTCACTTTCATGAAGCAGCAACAGAGAGTTTGCACTATTTAAACATGGTCATGTTTCTTCCATTGATTTTTTTGCAATAACATGATGAAATTAATTTCAGAAAATATTTTTTAAAATTTATCAAAACAATTCTCATGTATGTGATTGGAAAGGTAAACCATGTAAAGCATTAAAAGTAAAGAATCTTTGTAACTCACTAAATAGTACTTATGTAAGAAATGTTTCTACAGTCTGTTAATAGAACACTGATTTTTCCATCCTGGATGATCCAATTTTGGTTTATCGATCTCAGAAGCTAAAAAATATATTGAATTTCAGACAAAGTGTATAGATATAAGATATCAGATTAGTTATAGAAAGAAGGTGCTTTCAGCAAATTATAAATCAAATTAAGATTTGTCTTTAACACTGCTACTAGTATGTATTACAAGCACCTTAAATTATTTTTACCTTAGGAAGAAAATGTTGATCTAATCATCAGTTAATTTGCCGAAGCCACATGTGACATGTACAAATAGTTATTGGTGACTATTATTTTATTTTTATCTTTAATTATTTATCACTAATTTATAGAACACTAAGTAATTGCATTTTACAGCTGTATTCTTTCAGAAATTCTTCAACTGGTGAAAACTTTACTCTCTGATTATGTATGCATTCAAAATGTCTTTGGGGATTTTTAAACTGTAGTCTTCTGTTATGCTCCTTGAATAGAGAATGTTCTAATAGTTGTAATAATAATAAATATCTCAAAAAGTTAATTTAGGAAATACACAAATAACAGAGCCTGTATCTAAGCTGGGGTTCAAATAGTAAACCAGAAACTGAAATAAAGTCACATGCATTCAGAATAAATGGACACCAGAGGTCCAATTTTGTGCTAATTGTCATCCTTTTGAAGAATAAATGGACGCTGAGGTGGTGGGTTTGGTCTATGATGAGGGAAGGTGCTCATGAGGGTGCCCACTGTGACCATTACCTAGAGAACAACCAATGAAGTCTTCTAAATATGATGTGATTTATATAATCCGCACCACCCCACCCCCAGCAAAGGATCATTCTTTTTAAACTTGAATCTTTTAGCCCATGTTGAGATATATATTTGTCTATATGCTACCTTGTTTTTCTTCAGTTTCAAAAGTAGAAGGCAGGCCGGGCGTGGTGGCTCACGCCTGTAATCCCAGCACTTTGGGAGGCCGAGGTGGGTGGATCACGAGGTCAGGAGATAGAGGCCCTCCTGGCTAACATGGTGAAACCCCGTCTCTACTAAAAATACAAAAAATTAGCCGGGCGTGGTGGCGGGCGCCTGTAGTCCCAGCTACTTGGGAGCTGAGGCAGGAGAATGGCGTGAACCCGGGAGGCCGAGCTTGCAGTGAGTCGAGATCGCGCCACTGCACTCCAGCCTGGGCGGCAGAGCGAGACTCCGTCTCAAAAAAAAAAAAAAAAAAAAAAAAAAAAAAAAAAAAAAAAGTAGAAGGCAAAGGATCAGGGATGTTATTTTCTTTTCTATGGTTTTACACATGGTATGTTAAGAGAGTACTAGTTGATATTGTGATTCTTTTGCTGCACTCTTACAACCAAGTCTTGCAGTAAAATCAGGACCAAATAAATTTTGACCTTTTAGGAAATCAGTGATATGTGGGATGTTTTAGAAACAGAATATTAAGCGCTAGTGAGAAAGCCTAGGGATTGCAAATTTAGTCCTTGATTTATGTAGTTGAAGCTTAAATAAGACTAAAAATTATTTTATTTCTGCTTTTTAATTTCTGTGTATCTGTTGAGAAATGAAAAATGGCAGCACATTAACTGCCTTTTAATTACTTTCTGATCCCTGATGAAGCATGATAATTTAAAAACTCTTGCTTAACATCAGCTTGTAGACTAAGATCATTAAATATTGTGTCACAACATCGGAGTACTATTATTTTATGCTCCTGGTTTATCACATTAAAGCTTTTTCTTAATGAGCACCTAATAACCTTCAGGCTGCCCTGCCCTTCTTCTGAAACTAATGAGAGGAGAGCCAGTTAGAATATCAATAGGCCTAGCCCCAATATATAATACAATTTTGAAATGTTTACTTCTGCTGAATATCTGAGATGGAAGTACTGGGTGAGAGTTACTCCCCAGAATAGATCTACAGACACCTGCAAGGGTCACCTCTATCTAGGGCATTTGTGCCCGTGTTTTCCTTGACAAATCATAGTTGTGTACATTTATGGGGTACAGTGTGATATTTTGATATATGTATACAATGTGGCAGGATTAAATCAAGCCAATTAACATATCCAGTACCTCACTTACCTATCATTTTTTATGGTGAAACACTTGAGAAGTATACTTAATGTGTCACTCCCCCTCCCACTGAGTGTGAGGCACAGGCGACTGTCCTGTGGCCCAGCCTTTTGACCATGTCTTGTTTATCTGTATTATTTAAATAATTGAAATAAAATAAACATTTTTATTCGGTAAAGTAGAGTTTATAGACATAAATTGTTGATGAATAAAATAGCTTGAGGTTGTTAATGTTTTGGAAAGAATGAAAATTTCACACAGATGCATTGAGAAAAAAGTTAAACATTATTGATTCTTAACTAATCTTCAGGTTTGTGATATGCATGAAATTATTAAATAGTTTGGAGTACAACAAAAATACATTATTTTATTAATGACAGGTCTTTAGAAATGCAGCTAGAGCATTAACTGATGTCAAATAAAAAATAAAAGAATCCACAAAAAAATCAGAAGGTTGAACTTTGCAAATTGTCTAACACAGTACACAAATGCAGCAGAGCTTTTATATTTTAATGGGTGAAAAATTAACAGATTACCTGGAAAGAAGATGGTTTGCTAAGATAATTCTCACACTACCACTATAGTGAAGAATGCAGCATTTTATTTAAATTTTTTAAGGGATTTCAAATTTATTACTTTAAACAAAAATCTCAGAGACAACTTAGCTGTTACATTTTTTTCTCTTAGATAAAAATCTATATGTAATATTTTATGTCACTTAGATATATAAAGAAGATTATACAAATGATGAGGGATTTCCAAACTAATCCTTTATAAAAAGCAAATGATTCGTCTCTCTTCTCCTGTAATGCTGTCTTTATCCTTGCTCAGTCTTAATACGTCAGTGTATATCCTGATTTTCTTATTGTGCACCAATTTTTAAGAGTAAATATCCTCTCACAGCTCAATTCCAATGCAAAGGTGGTTTACAACATAGAATTCTACTGAGTATAGATTTTTGAAATCCTACAGAAACATGTAGGTACTCAATCAAATGGCTGTAAAAGCATTATTTTTTCCAATATTCTGATCCTTCTTGTTAAATCAGTTTACTAATTAAAAGCTTTACATGACCCTTTTAAATGCAGATTATAATCAAAATTCTTAGATGTATAATTCTACATACATGTAGGATAAATTACAGCATTATATAAAATAAAGCATAAAAGAGGTAAAAGCAACTAATGCAGAAAAACAAAAAGGCAGTGGGGTTCATAGATAATTATCTAACAACAATCAATACAATGCTATTGTTACATAAATGAAATAAGATATAGCCTAGGTTTTATTACATATACTTAAAGCTCAAAGGTGCTTGAAAGCATAGTATTGAATAGATTATGAATAGGACTTTTTTTTTTTTTTTTGCAGTATAAGAGGTGAAAAAAAGTAGAACGTGATCTTATTCTATCTCAGTTGAGAACAGGTGCATCATGTGACACAAATATTTTGCCACCCTGTCCTCAAATGATCACAAAAAGCTGTGAGCATTTATTTTGAAATAACTTAAGTATACTTAATAACACCTGGGATATATCTTATTTCATAGATAGAAAAGACTATTGGAAAGATTATCATGAAGAAGAAATGCTTGACAATCTTCACAATAACCTAAAATCACAATTGTGTACAAGTATAGTTTCATAAGAATATTTGCACTGTTTGAATACCATGGAGTTATTAGCCTTACTTTTATATATTAGGCAAAGTATGAATAGATCAAGTACTCTAGGAGTATTTATAGTATCATTATATATTGATTACAATAAAATGATGAAGATTTAGTATACTGAGCCCTTTTTCTTTAGATGTCTTATTGTTGTTATTGTTGTTTACTTTTAAGGCTTATAATAAAAAATTTTAGAAATGGGTTCCTCCACTGGTTAAAGTAATATTTGAGTCTATTTTAAAAAATTAAGAAACATGAAGTATTCCTGACAACTGATACATTCAATTATTTAGAGTTGATAAATTTATCAAGGTAGGGCACTTGTTTTTCCCTTCAGGCTATAACACATATTGAAATGTTTTCTCATTTAGATATTATTTTTCAATTTACTCTGTTTACAAAATGTACTCAAACTCTTGATTTATTCTGAGTTCAGCTCTGTTGGCTTTTGTACTAAAAGATGTTATACAGCATAAGTAATAGTGACACTAAAAAAAAAGGCCATATCACATTTTGAAACATGTGAACCAGCCAGCACTAGCCAAGAAGGACTTAATATTCTCTTGCTCCTGAGTAACATAACCATAAATTTCTTTGGCTTTCAGCCTCAGAAGAATGCCGTCTGGTATGTTTTTTAAAAATTTTCACCATTTGTGAATTCATAAATGTAGTCACTTTTCCATCTTTTCTATAGCTTCAGCATATACTAGGGATGTTATGTTAGCAGCTTCTTCAGTAGCCTCATATACAGATCAACAAATTTTTTCCACCTTTTCTTGATGTATGGCATTGTTGATTCATTAATGTTGAACTTATGGCCAACGGCACTATAACTCATATCCAAAGGAAGCTTCTGTAGCATATGTTATTTTCTTCTTAAAGCACATTGCAGTTTTCTTGTGCTTAGGAACACTAGGCAGTGTTTTAGCACTGTATTAGACTGGGTAATTTATAAAGAAAAGAGGTATAATTGACTCTTTTCTTTATAAAAGAAAGAGTGAGACTTTTCTTTATAAGGTGAGACTTGTATGGGGACACACAGCCAAATCATATCAAGCACTATGTTTGGGGGTCATATTTTTTTTCACAGAATTAAACAAAACAAACAAACAAACAATAAACAAAAAACCTAAAAGGTTGAATAGATTTCAAATAAGACTTTTTTTCAATATAACAGCTGAAAAAAAAGTAAGGTAGCGTGTGGTCTTAGTCTGTCTCGGCTAGGAAAGTGTGCATCATGTGACTCAAATACTTTACCACCCTGACTGCAAATGAGCACAAAAGCTCATGAGCATTTATTTTGAATTAACAAATTATAGCAAGCAGGTGAATTCTCAAATAATCTGCAAACATGATAATCTACTGTATTTTGATTAGAATAGAAACCTAGGGCAAAGAATAATGCTTAAATGTAACTTAAGTTTATTTGATCTTTATAATCAATGATATAAATTAACATCTTTTAAAAATATTGCTTTGTATAATACAGAATTGATTTTCTTGTAATTTTTAAATTAATGCAAATGTTGTTTAAATCAAATAATCCAGCTTTTAAGATATTTTTATATACAATTATACTCCCATGTTAACATTTAGGTTAATAACAGCAAGAAAAAATACTATTATCTTCTTTTCAGTTTTTTTTAAAAATAAATTACATTGACCAAAACACACCTGTTTTCAGTTTACATTTCTGAGGGTGTTGACAAAGGTATACAATCAAGTGAACAGAATCACAATCAAAATATGGAAGGCTTCCAGAGAAAATTTCTTCATGCCACTTTTTAGTCAGCTACCTCCTCCACAGCCCCATCACCATCGATCTGTTTTCTTCCTACATATTTACCTTTTCTAGAATGTCAAAAAAATGAATTCACATGACTCACTGCCTTTTCATTCTGACTCCCTTCATTTAGCATTTTTCATTTGGGATCCATATATGATCCAGCACTTTTCAATGTGTCATACTTTTAAATTGGTAGGCAGAATTCCATTGTGTGGATGTACCTCAGTTGGTTATCCATCACCCAAGAGAAAGGCATTTTGAATATAGTTTTGGGCAATCACAAGTAAAGTTTCTATAAATATTCACTTGCATGTTTCAGCATAAACATAAGCTTTCATTTCACTTAGTTGGATACCTAGAAGTGAGACTGCTGGATATTTTAGTAAATGTATATTTAACATTGTAAGAAACTGCCAAATCTTTTTTTCCAACATAGCTCTACCATTTTGCATTCCCACAATCAATGTATGAGAGTTTCATTTGTCTTTCCTAATTGCAAACATATGGTCTTTTTAGTTCATTGTTACTGTTGTGATGATTTGCTTGTTTGTTTTGAACGTTAAACATTTTATTAAGTATGTAATGATATCTTATTGCCAGATTACATTGTGTTTTCCTTAATGACTAATGATGTTGAGGATATTTTAATATGTTCAACTCTATTACCTTTCTTTGTTGGATTGTTTGTTTTTTATTGAGTTTTGGGAGTTCTTTATATATACAAGCCCTTTATTGGAGGAGTGATTGCACAGTATTTCTCAGTTTATATGGCCTTTCTACTCATTTAACAGTACATCAAGAGCAGGGATTCTTACCTTGGCTGTTGCTTTTATGGTACATGTTTCTGGTGACATATCTAAGGAATATTTGTCATATTAAAGACCACAAATATATTTTCTTATGTGTTCTTCTAGTAGTTTTATAATTTTAGGTTTCATATTTAAGTTCATGTCCTATTGTGAGTTAATTTTTTATATAATGCAAGGTACGGATCAAGATTCTTTATTTTACTGCTTGTCAATGTCAAAAACTTTCAACACTATTGTTAAAAATGTTATCTATTATTAATTAAATATACTTAAAATTAATAAATCATAAAGAATGAGCCTATTTCTGAACCACACTATTCTGTTCTAGTCATCTAACTGTGTATATATCTGTAATATTACACTGTCTTGATTATTGTAACTTTACAGAAAATCTTGAAAGTAGGTAGTGTGATACGTCTAATCTTGTACTTTATCAAAATTGTTTTGGATATTCTTATTTGTTTTCATTTCCATGTAAATTTAAGAATCAATTTGTTAATTTCAGTAAAGTTCTAGTAGAATTTTAACTATACATAAATTTGAATACTTTCTTTAATTTGTTTACAATTGACATCTTAAAATACTATGCATTCTAAGACTTAAACAATTTTCCATTTTATTTATATAACTTCCCATTTATTTAGATCTTCTTTGATTACTTTCATCAGTGTTTTGTAGTTTTCAACATACAGGTAGTAAAAATATTGTGTTAGTTTTATACCTACATTTTTCATGCTTTCTCTTGCTTTTGAAAATTTGTACTTTAAATTTTAATTTCAATTGCTCATTGTTATAATACATTATACGTGCATATATGTATGTGTTTGTGTGTGTATATTATGTATCTTTTGGGTTTTTTGTTTTATGTCACAGCACATCTTTATAGATACATACACATACGTATGTAATATGTATGTATAATATACATACATCTATAATATATGTATTATGTATTTTATATATTTATACACATATACAGAATGTATATATATACACATATACAGGATATATGTGTGTGTGTGTGTGTGTGTGTGTTGACCTCATATTCTGCAATGTTGGTAAACTTATTTGATCTAGAAGATATTTACAAATAGATTGGTTGTTAATCCTTGTAGATATTTATGTCACCTTTGTATAGAAACAAATTATTTATGTTCAAATTTTATGCATTTCCTGTCTTTTTCTTGACTAATTTCACTGGCTAAGATCTTCAGTACAGTAATGACATCTGATACATTCACTTTCTTTCTGCTCTTAAAAGAAAACCTTTCTTCAACTAGTAAGTATATTTTTATCTGCAGGGATTTTTAGTCTACCTTAAAAGGCTTAAGAAAGCCTATTTTCTTTTCAGTTTGCTTAGATTTTGTATCACAAATATTGAATTTTCTCAAATTATTTTTATGCAGCTATTGTGATGATCATACGTTTTTTCTTTTTTTTGTTTGTAGATACAGTGAGTTTTATTAATCAATTCTTGATTACTGAAGCAGTTTTTATTGCCAGGGTAAACTTATTTTCCATGACCTACTTTTAAATATTCTTGCACTAAATTTGAGTTTTTTGTCAATGTTCTTGAGAAATAGTAACATGCAGATTTCAAATTTTATAATAATTTGTTTTTGGAGTCATATTAATGCTAGTCTCTTAAAATGAATTTGAAAGCATTCCCTTCACTTCTATATTCTGGAAGAAATTCTGTACATTTGAAACTACTTCTTTCTTAAATGTCGGGTAGAATTCACCATTAAACTGTTGGGACTTGGCATTTTCCTCATTTGGAAGTTTTTAATTATAAAAATAATTATTTAATAGATATAATACATCTTAGATTATGTATTTCTTTTAGATTGGTCCTGGCATTTGTGTTTTTTAAAGGACTTTTAAAAGTTGTTAAATTTATGGGCAAAGAGCTTCTCATGCCATTTCCTATTTTCCTAATAAATTCTGTGGGCTCTATTGTAATGTCCTTTTTTTTAGTACCTCATATTTAAAATTTCTTTCTTTCTCTTTCTTTGTCATCCTGCAGGAAGTTTAATGATTATATTCATCATATTAGTTTCCTAATTCCTGATGCCTTAAAAATTACACAATTGAGCAGTTGAAAACATCAAGTTTATTTTCTCATGGTTCTGATGATCAGAAGTCTAGATTGGCTTAGCTTGGATGACTTTCTCTGTTTTGGGTTTCACAGGGCTAAACTCAAGGTATCAACCAGCTGAGCTCTTATCAGGAGGCTCTGAGAAAAATCCCCATTCAAGCACGTTCACGTTGTTGGCAGAATCCAATTCCTTGTGGTTTTCGGACTAAGATCTCCATTCCCTTGTTGACTAGCTCTCAACTGGGAGATGACATTAGCTCCTAAATGACTCTCTCTGATCATTGCATGTTGGCCCTTATTTCAGAGCACTGATGGCATGCTTCATGTTTGAGTTCTCCTGATATCTCCTGTTGCTGCATCTCTTCAACTTACTCTTTTGGCTTTAACTTTTATTTTATTGGCTCAGGAATTAGACCGAGACCACCTGGATAATTCAGGATAGTCTCCTTATTTTATAGTTCTCTGATTATTAACCTTAATTATATCTGCAAAGTCCCTTCATAGCACTATATAGATTAGTGCCTGGTTGAATAACCAGGAACAGAAACTTGAAGGAAAGAAGACATCTTAAGATTCTGTCTACTACACTGATCTTCACAAAGATCAGATTTCGGTGTAATCTGCCTTCCTCATTATTTTTCTGTTCTCAAGTTCATGATTTTTTTCCCATGTGAACACCATTTTATCCCTCCTACTGGCCATTTGTTTCTACTACCTGTTTGTTTTAATTTCGTCTTCTTGATCCTCTCTTTTTAGTTTCTTATTTCTTAAAGTGGCAGCATAAAGCATTAGTTTGATATATTTCTTCCTGCCTAATATCAGTATTTAATGTGATAAATTACTCTCTAAACACTGTTTGTTTGCATATAACAAATATAAGTATGTTATATTTTCATTTTTGTTCAATTCAAAATATTTCTAATTTAACATACTTTCTTTTTTTGCCCTTGGGGTTATTCAGATGTGTGTTCTTTAATTTTCAAAATATAGGCAAATTGCTGATATATTTCTAATAATTCCTTCATATTTAATACTGTTATGGTACAATATTATATTATGTATCTTTGGGGCTATTTTTGTTTTCTTTCACAGTATATGATCTATTGTTATGACTGGTATTTGTGTATTCTTTTGTTGGTTAAAGGTTTTATAAACAAACACCTAAGGTAGACTGTTAATGGTGTTTAGGTCTTCTCTATTTTTCTGATTTCTTTCACTTATTCTATTAATAGCTGAGATATGAATGTTGATATCTCAAACTGTAATTGTGGATTTGGATTGTTGGGATTTTAATTGCTGTCTTTCTTTAGTTTGTTCCTTGAAAAGTATATCTGCTTTATCACTAATGTTTCCCAGATTCTTACATTCTTATACATTTAGAATTTATGTGTTTATATATTAAATGATTTCCTGCAAACATTTTTAAATTTATGTATTATGAGTGTGTGTGTGTGTGTGTGTGTGTGTCTGTCTGTCTAAGTACAGTCAGCATAGTTTTTGTTTTCTTTCTGTTCTGATTATCACAGTATATATATATTCTAGGTCTGTTGCTATACCCCATGGATGATAGCATGTCATCTGTCTTTCTTTCTTTTTTTAAATTATGAGCTGTGTGCTCTCTTGGGAAATTATTTTGAAAAATCTTTATATTTAGATTCTAATTTTAAGATCATTTCCACTATAGAGGAGGACCCAATGCTATGCCAGGCACTGGGGAACATAACCTACCTGGTATTTTATACTTAATTAAAAATTTGTATTTTTGAACACAGATCACATAAATTTGATCTGTAAATGCAGGCAAAGGTGAGCTTTGTGCTATAACTTATCATATACTCATTTTATCCTCCACCTTTGCTCACTGCCATGGTAAGCCTCATATCAGTCTTCTTGGTATAAGGGCTAGAAAAAATATATTTCAGGTGCCATCACATACCAAGTGTGTTTGCTTTTGGTGTTTCTGTTTTATTTGGAAGAGTCACCCACCTTGTAGCAGCACTGAACTTTATATATGTTCCCATTTTCAACAAAGCCATGGAAACTAAAGTTCAAATTATAAGACTTAGAAAATACCGTCAAAATAAAAATATGTTTCTGTGAGTTCCTGTTCCACTGAGATTATAACTTGCTACTTCCCTATTCTCCTTCAAGAACTTTGATATTTTTGAAGCCTCGTTTTTTATGTTTTGACTTTTTACTAGAGTGGATACATAAATAACCATGCTACTAGAAATGGGACTTCATTCCAAGGATTTTAATTGCCCATTCTTCTTTAGCTTCTACACTGGCAACTTGCATCCATTAATGTTTTCCAGATTCTTACTGTTAGTTAAGGTGGTTTGCTTGAAGATACTTTCTCTGATTTCTTTGAATTCCTATGGTATAACATACTGCTATTTCTTATTATGATACTTTGTAGATTCTCAGCTTATTAGATACCATTTTACTATCTTTATTTTTATGTGGTGTTAAAATATTCTCTCATTCAAAGCTTTTAGATTTGTTTTCTTTAGAAAGGGTATAAGCAATGTACAATTTTTGAGTTCTTGTCTTTTTTATATTTAGTCTTCTGCCAAACTTGAATTGAGAGTGTTACTGCATATAAATTCAGATTCAGAGTATTTCCCTCATTTTGATGAAAATCGTACATCACAGTTTTAATATGGTATTAAATATCATGTTATTATGTATTATGATAATATTTTTGAAATTACTTTTCAATGTTGTATAAGAGTCTAGTGCCAGTTACATATACATTTCAGTAGCCTTTGCTTACTTGAAGTAGAAGAGTTCAGTTCCCTTTAGGATTAGGACTGTTGTTATCCAGGGTGCAGCTATGGGTGAAAATTGTTCATTTACTCTACATATGAATCTGTAAGATCAGCTTTTAAGCATCTATATAAATCATATGAGGTAAATGCTGTATTGAGTTCATGTCTCATGCTTTTCCCCCACCGCATATTTTTCATTCTTATCTTTTTGTTCTACTCCATAGAATTTTACCTCATAATTGTAAAGAGCTTGATTTGTCATTACTTTTCTAGCTCTTGAGTTAGAAGGTTTAGATTATTTATTTTCAACCCATCTTTTTTCACCCTGTATGTATTCAAAGCTATAATTTTATTTTAAGTTGTGGTTTAGCTATACTACAAAATTTGATATGTTGCAATTTTATTTTTATTTCACTCAAAGTATTTTCTAATGTACTTTTTTCCTACCCATGAATTATCTAAAAGTATTTTGCTTAATTTCTTTTTTATTTTTCTGATAACTTTCCCTTCCTATTTACTATATTCTGTAGTATTCCAATTACTTGTATTATGTTGTGGCTTGTTTTTGGACTTAGCTGATGACCTATTTTGGAAAAATTTTCATGTGAACTTAAGAACAATGAGTATTTAGTGGTTGAAAAAAAAGTCATTAAAGTAAGTCATGCTGTTCAGATTGAGTTTTCCTTCTGTAAGATGCATAGAATATTAGATTACCTCAATTTTCTCAGAGGTTGTATTTCAGTTGTTAGGTCTTTTCTGTTTTAGCTT
Organism: Homo sapiens; assembly: GCF_000001405.40. Classification (NCBI taxonomy): domain Eukaryota; kingdom Metazoa; phylum Chordata; class Mammalia; order Primates; family Hominidae; genus Homo; species Homo sapiens. The sequence continues at coordinate 191,407,743 of NC_000001.11, read as the reverse complement.
TGTTTCTATTCCTATGGCATAGCTGTTACTCATATTGTGTGCCATGGTGCCTTGTGTAGGTCACTTACTCTCATCTTTCTAGGTCCTGAAATGAATGAAATGAAATTGACAATACTTTTCTGCCTTGTCTGTCTTTGAGCTCAAAGCTTAAGAGATTCTGTTCAACTGAAACTGTACATGTATGACTAAACCATTGCAATTATGTAGAAATGCACCTGTCTCAAAATATGTTTTAATAAATATGTTTATATTTGAAAAATGTATATACATATGGAATATATACAATGTTTTCTGTAGGAAACAAATTTTCACTGTGGTAATGCAAATGAACTTGTTTTTCCCAATAATTTCATGATATAGATAAACAATGATTAGCAATTTTTTCTAATAAAATAATGTATTAATCATAGAGTTTAACAACTTCTAAGAATTTGTAAAACAAGGGATTTCAATGGGTGATATTCACAGCTAACATACAGAGATCAGATATAAACCTTGAGTTATATCTGGCTTGTGTAATTTTAATCTGTAGCAACTTCAAGCCTGCTGAGGATGTTTTCTTGTTGGAAAACTTTTTGTCTTGACACCAACGATACTCTTAAGTGGTCATCTTGCCTACTTTGTCATTTCTCCCTCTCTGTTTTTGCTGATTTGTCTTCCCCTACCAAGCCATTTCTAGTTGGAATTACTCAAGATTGGATGTTAAGCGATATGATCTGATCTGATCTCTTCTTATACTATAGTCTACCCATAAGCGTTGTATCCATTCACAAAAATGCAATTATTACCTATACTCAACTGTGTCATTACTTTTATTCCTAACTCCTATTTTTCCACTGAGTACTACCCATTTACCTAACAGTCTAATTGAAGTTTTACACATGTCCAAGGATACTCAAATCTAACATATAAAAAAACCCAAGCTGATCACTTCCCTGTCTCTTCTCCTTAACTATTTGATTTCTCTTAGTAAGTGGCCCAATTCAATCCATTTTTGCAAGCCAGAGAACTAGCAATGAACCATGGCATGTCCATCCCCTTCACCCACAGTAGTTAATTTATTACTGAGTCCTGTCTGCTTTTCTTCCTTGACATTTATCAGACTCTCTCTATCACCTAGTTCAAACTAACAGTTCCCATTGGGACATTTACAACATCCTTCTCAAAGTTTTCATCTGCATTCACTCTGTCATCTGCTCTTGACACTGCAGGTCCAGTTATCTTTCTCCCTCCCCCCACCTCTAAAATCTGTCTGATGATATAAGCTTCTCAAATAACTTCAAATATATTTAAAAATCTTAATCATTGTTAGGATAGAAACAAATCTTTATAACATGGTTTACAAATTATCCATCTAATGTTAACTTTTTATTGTATTGTACTTTTTATTTTTCCCTATTCCAGCCATTCTTAACTTTTTTCAATCCTCTACCATGGAAAACTGCTTATAATTTTCACTCATACTGAAACACAATTATGTCCTTTTTTAATGTGGATTCCTCAGACACATTTAAGTTCAAAACTATTTACATTAGAAAAGAGTTTTTTACCCACCCTGAAAAGATGAAATTACTGATTTTATCTTCTCTTATAAAACATTATGTTTTCTACTTAGCATTTATGTCAATTATAATTTTATGTATTTATTTTGAAATTATTTGAACCAATGTGTATCTTCCCCACCAGAGTATAAGTTGTTATAAATCATACCCATGTTTATTTATTTGTTATATGCATTATATCTGCATAATGTCTGTTATCCAATGAGTATTGACAATCATTCATGCATTTGATATAAAATAACTTACTGAAGGTTTTTTAGAGTTCATATGTATATGGGCTAAGGATATAATATTGAAGGGGAACACCCATGATTATAGCTGCTGGTGATAAAACTAAACAAACAAAAATCCTTATCCTTTGACAGCTTCATTAGTGGGATGAGACAAACAAAAAGTGAACACATAAATATTAAATATCAGTCCTATAAAGAAAAAATAAAGCATGGTAGGGCATTGCTTCACTGCAATTCTATTTTAAGTAGGGTAATCAAAACAAGGCCTGTTGGAGAAGACAACGATTGAGAAGACACTTAAGCAAAATAAGAAAGCAAGTCACGTGGAGATCTGAGAAAGACAGCTTATGGTTGAAAAAAACAGGTGCGAAAATCCTGATGCTAGAGTTGCCAAATCAAATACAGGACACCCAGTTATATTTGAAATTCAGAAAAACAACATTTGTTTTAGGAGAAGAATGTCCCAAATATTTCATGGGGCATAATTAGACTAAAGAAGTTTTCATTGTTTTTCTGAAATTCAAATGTAACAGAGCATCCTGTTTTTTCTTTGCTCAATCTGGCAACCCCACACTGAGGCAAAGTGAGCTTTGTGCATTTAAAATATAGCACAGTGAGTCTGAGCCTTAGAGGGATGAAAAAAAATGGAAGAGAGAATACTGGAGAGAGTTACAGTGATCAGAACAGGCAGGGTCTTGAGGACAACTTTAATGTATAATTTAAGTCTAAGTGTGAAAGAAATTATTGAATTTTTTTTTATTTGGAGAGTAGCATAATCCCATTATTGTTTTTAGAAGAATTATAATAGCTGCTGAATGAATAAATAATGATGATGATTACATGGAATGGTAATTAGAGAAGCTTTTTAGGAAAATAAAACATCCTGAGGGAATATATAATTAGAGAGGATTTTGAGAAAGGAGTTTTAAGTTAGCAAAGAATGTACTAAAGATTAACTATGTCCTAATAATTAAGTTATAAGAAAAATAAATTTGTAGTAGAGGTCAGAGATGATTATATCATAGAAACCAACTATTTACAAAGATAAGGTCAAAAATGTTAAGAAAACAATCACAGTATAGCAGTAATTTAAATTGTTGAAGAATGGATTAGGTAAACTTAGCAAAGTATGGGAATTAGCAAAGTATGGGAATTTCAAATAAGGCTAATCCAGCTCTACAGAAGACAATGCGTTGGTAATAGGCACTGTATTAGTTCCTATGGATGTCCTAACAAAGTAGCACAACACAGGGTGGCATAAATAACAGAAAGTTTGTGCCTCACCCTTCTGGGGGCTATAGTCCAAGATTAAAAGGTTGGCAAGGTTGGTTCTCTCTGAGGGATTCTGGTGGTTTGCTGGTAACCTTTGGCATTCGTTGGCTTATGGAAGTTTCACCCAAATCTCTATCTTCACCTTCACATGCTGTTTGCCTCGTGTCTTTATCTGTGTTCAAATTTCGCTCTTTTATGAGGCCATGAGTCATATTTGAGTAGGACCCACCCTACTGCAGTTTGACCTCACATTAACTAAATGTACCTGGAACAACTGTGTTCCCAAATAAGGTCCCATTCTGATGTATAGGGAATAGGATATCAGTACATGACTTGAGAAAGGGAGTAGAATTAACCCAGAACAGGTATTCACACAAAATAACTGGTAAGACATTTTATAGTTGACTACAAATTTTAAATTTTATAACCAAAGTGTATACTACTATTTCTATCACATAACCTTTTTTTAACAACATACATACACAATTTTAATATTTTAAGCATTTTCACATAAAATTCCATGTGATCCACATATCACTGCTATGTGGTAAATATTGTTTTCTAATTTTATGCATAAGCTGAGACTTCGAATGAGGATTTCACCAAGTGAGTGACAGTCCTTATTTCAACCTTAAATTTCCACTGTCCAAAATCCATTTGGATCACTAAGCAAACAATTTATGGAGAAAGAAGTAAAATCCAGGGAGCATAATAAATTGCATGATGTCTTTCATTGTGAAGGTATAAAAAATATAAGAGTTTGTTGTATCATAATATCTCAAAAAGTATATTTTCATAATTTTAATACTTTTATTTTAATAATAATATAATTATATGAAATTTTGCACACCTGATTCTTTTCCTTGTCTCATCATTTTATTTCCAACAAGTAATGCTTATTAATGAACCCATTTTTACTTTTCCAATTTTAAGGCCAATCACCAATTTCTTTCACTGCAGTCTTAAAATTTTATACTTTATTTCTATCCTAGCAGCTCTAGCATGTAAGACTACTGAAGAAATCTGTCAAATATTCACACCTAGTGACAGACAATGAACTAGTTATCACCAAATCTTCCTGGTTTCAGGAGAAGCCACAAAAAAGGAGAGAGAAAAGGTTGATTTTCACTTTTGAAAACACTTCTAAGTGAATCCTCTTACTGTTAATTCTATGGTTGAAACATAAGTTCAATTGGAAATCACTGAAAAACACCATCAGCTTAATTGACTATAGAACATTTCCATAAATCTGGCAACTAATAAAGACTCAAATATGCCCATTAGGCAGACCTTCCTTTTCAGATCTGTTCCCAATGCAGGAAATCAACCTGAATATGATAGTTGGCTACATTTACTTGTCATCATGACACAGCTAAGAAAAAGAAGAGAAGTTATATTACTTATTGGGAGAAGAGTGGTGAATATTTTGGATAGTTAACTAAACAGATGAGACAAATAAATAAATAATGTATCTACACTGGTTCCTCTGTCTTTTGAGGTAAAGGTTTAATGTAAATTTTCTGAATGGTCTTAAAAATGATCTTAACATTATTTATTGACTGTTTTTATATGGATATGAATATTCTTCAAAATAATTTATTATTTTAAAAACTTTAAAACTTATAGTTCTAGAATATTTTTAAATGAAGGGAATTTATATCTATTAAGAAAACTTCAACTCACAATTATCTGGAAACAAATCTTAGACAAGTTTTGTAATTTTAATATTTAAAATTGTAAACTTACAAAGAAAAATATTTAAAAGTAAAATGTATTCTACTAGTATGATACAGAAGAGAAAGGATAAGAATATAATAAAAATTTTCAAGGAAAACATCAAGAAATAAAGGGAAAAATGATAAAAGAAGACGTCTATATAGGATGACAATATATTGTAATGATTTAAACCGGTTCTGCTGGCAGTCCTTATGCTTCAGTATGATGCCTTGGATATTTTTATTTATATTACTACTAGGAGAGTGTTATTTATATTACTAATAATTATTGTACTAAAATAACCTAGGAGAATTTGGGGATACTGACATTTTGTACCTTTTATTTCTTCGTCTCCCATAATCATATATAAAATGCATATATAGTTAATAGTATATATTCACAATAATATTTGACTAAATCTGACAATCATGTTTCTCTTCTCTTGATCTTTGCCAGGCTTAATATAATTAACATGTCCCTTTCAAGACAACATGCAGGAAAACAACATTTGCTAAAATAACATTTGCAAAAATATCGAAGCTTGCTTGGAATCTGAGCAGCCAATTAGAGAGGATGCCTTCTGTTCTCAGAGGGTGGTGGGAGGTGTGTGTATGCTAGTGTACCTACTAGCCTTTTGGTGAAAAATAGTCAGTTGTGCCATAACTTGTGCTGGGTCCTGCAAAATCAATGAAGCAGTAGACCACCACATGGCTATATTTTTGGGAAATGACATTGTTTGACATTGAAATGAGACATAAGCTTGAAATAGAGGATGAACAGCCTTGCCCTTGAGCACCTTGAGTGTAATGTGAACCCTACCGTGGCAATAGTAGTACCACGTTAGTAACATACTACTTACGTTGTTACCTGGTAACTCACTTTTCATTTTGCAATAAATCACTTAGGCCGTGCAATTGTAAAACCACAAAAGCAGAAAGAACTATCTATTTAATAAAAAAAAATTCAAGCACTGAATTTTCAGTTGATGAAGAATGGGAAACAGGAAAAATTGTAGATTCTTTTGAATTATTAAGATTTGGAGAGGGTTATTGTGATATTGCTTGCTACATTAAACTCAAATGGCTCAAATCTATTAACAAAGCACCTGGATTGAATGTTAGTAATTTTAACACACCTTTTCAAAAGAGAATAATTTAACATGTGAGACCTGGAGGGATGAATGCCTGCAAGAATTATTTGAAATTTTCACAAGAGAGTTGTCTTTTCTTTCTTTTTTTTTTTTTTGAAAATTTGTATTAGTGTAGACATATGATTTTATATTTCGGCTTATAATACAATACTAGCTTATTTATTTCATTACTCAAATTGTTTCACTTTGGGCATTGAGAGCACTTTCAGTTATTCCCTGTGTCCTTTCAAGATCCCTCCATCACTGTGACTTCTTTTGTTGTCTGTTTTTATTTTAAGACTTCCTTAATTTCTGGCACTACAAGATATTTCAGCCTCACCTTGCATATTTCTTGTAATCAGCTATTTCTTTAAGGTTTCCTGCTTTCTCTTCCTAGAGAATAGTATAAAAAACTAATATCCAGGTGCAAGGTGAGGACTGTTGCTACTGAAGTGTTGTATCTTCTAAGCCTCTAAGCTGACAAGGCAAGGAAATATCTGAATGTATACTAACCAGTGTATATATGTATGTGTAAGTATTTTTATGTCTAACCATCTGTATCTATACTGAGGTAAAAATAAGTTCACACTGATCTCCCCAACTCTAATCCATCACCCCATGGATTACTCTAGCCTTATCCCTTTGTTTTCCTGTAAATTCCCAAAAGTAGAAAACTTGGCTCACAATAGTAAACAAAATCTGGTGTGAATTTATTTAATATTTCATCTTCTTTACACAGGTGTAGCAGTGTTAGAAGTGGTAACCTATACCCCTGTGGGATACAACTTTGTCTAATACAATGCAGTGCTTACATGCATTTGCTTTTGCTTTGAGTCTTAGACTCCTCTTGTGTCTAGTTACTCATGTCAGCGCTCCATTCAGTGAGGTTGTTTCATTTGTAACACAGTTGATTCTCTTCTCACAGCCTGCATTCCTTCCTGGGATCCCCTGAACTCCTAAGGTTTTTTTAAAAATTGTTGCATATATTAAGGTTTGCTCTTTTTGCTGTAAAGTTCTATGAGCTTTAACATACTTATAATACTAATGTAACCACCATTACAATATCATATATTATATTTTTACCACCATATAAATCCCCTGTGACTCATATAGTCAATCCTATCTCTACCTTCTGAACCCATGGCAAACACAGATCTTTTATTGTGTCTGTATAGTTTTTCCTTTTCCAGGCTTTCATATGTGGGAATTGTACAGTATCTTGCCCCTGCAGACAGTCTTCTTTCATGTAGTAATGGGCAGTTAATATTCATTCATGTCTTTCATGGCTCACTAACTCATTATTTATTATGGCTGAATAATATTCCATTATATGGATGTACTAGTTTTTTTTAATCCATTTACCTATCAAAGAACATCTTGATTGGTTTCAATTTGGGGGTACTTCTAAATAAAGTCACTTATAAACATTGTATGAAGGTTTTTGTGTGACCATAAGTTTCAAATATATTGGGTAAATACTTAGAAGCATGATGGCTGGATTATATTTTAAGAATATTTTTAGCTTTGTAGGAGACTTAAACTTCTTCCTAAGTGTCTATACCTTTTAAATTCCCACCGGCAATTAATGTGAGTTTCTGTTGCTCCGTTTCTTTGGTAGCATTACGTATTTTGAGTTGTATGAATTTTAGCCATTCTAATAGATGTATAATGGTATCGTATTATTGTTTTAATTTGGAATTATCTGGTGACAAATAATTGTGAGCATATAGTTACATGTTTATTTGCCTTATGTGTAACTTTAATGAGGTGTCTGTTCTGATCTTTTGCCATTTTAATTTTGTAATTTCTTATTGTATGGTTTTAAATGTTCTTGTATATTTTACATACAAGACCTTTATTAATGTTTTTCCAATATGTTCCCACATATATAGCTTATCTTTTATTCTTTCATTTCTGTGTTTCACAGAGAAGAATTTTTAATTTTTAAAAAATACAAATTGTCATTTTTTTTCTTTCATGGGTTGTACTATTGGTGTTATATCAAGGACTTCATCACATACATTCTTTCCTATGTTTTCTCCCAGAAGTTTCAGGCTTTTCTGCATTACATTTAGATTTATGATCAATTTTGAGTTATTTTCTGATGAAGGTGTATGCTGTGTGTCTTGCCTCATTTTTTGGATATGGACATCTATTTGTTTCAGCATGACTTGTTGAATACACTATCCTTTCTCCATTGAATTGGCTGTGGATCTTTGTCACAGTTCATTTGATTATATTTGCGTGAGTCTATGTCTGTTCTCTTTATCCTACTCCATTGATCTGTGTCCTCATTCTTTCCTCAATATTGTGCTGTCTTGATTCTTATAACTTTGTAGTAAGTCTTGAAATGAGTTAGTCTACCAACTCTGCTCTGTTGCTTTAGTATTGTGTTGGGTGACCTTTCTATATAAATTTAGAATGAATTTGTTAATATCTACACAATAACTTTCTGGCATATTTGGGATTGCCATGAACCTATAGAGCAAGCTAAGAAGAATTGACAGCTTACTAGTATTGAATATTCTAATTCACAAATGTTAGTTATTCCCTGATTTCTTTGATAAGATTTTTTGTAGTCTTTCTCATATAGATCATATACACATTTTGTTAGACTTATACCTAAGTATTTCCCTTTTTTGTGATACCATAAATGACACCATGTTTTTAATTTTAAATTAAAATTAATTGGTTTTCATTTTATTTTCCAAATATTCATTGCTGGAATGTAGGAAACCAATTAATTATTTGTATTATCCTTGAATCCTGACACCTTGCTATAATTGCTTATTAATCCCAGGAATTTTGTTGTTGTTGTTTCAAATCTTTGGAACTTTCTAATAATAATATTAGTTTCAGAGAAATTGGACTTCAAGGAAAAGACAGTTATCAGGGAGAGAGAAGGACGTCATATAATGATGTAAATCACTATGGAGTTTGCATTAATCTGTTTTCACGCTGCTGACAAACATATACCCGAAACTGGGCAATTTACAACAGAAGAGGTTTATTGGACTTACAGTTCCACGTGTCTGGGAAGGCCTCACAATCATGGCAGAAGGCAAGGAGGAGCAAGTCACATTTTACATGGATGGCAGCAGGCAAAGAGAAAAAGAGAGCTTATACATGGAAACTCCCATTTTTAAAACTATCAGATCTTGTGAGACTAATTCACTATCATGAGAACATTACAGGAAAGACCTGCCCCCATAATTCAATTGCCTCCCATCAGGTTCCTCCCATGACATGTGAGAATTGTGGGAGTAACAGTTCAATATGAGATTTGGGTAGGGACACAGCCAAACCATATCATTCCACCCCAGCCCCTCCCAAATCTTATTTCCTCACATTTCAAAACCAACCATGGCTTCCCAGCAGTCCCCCAAATTCTTAACTCATTTCAGCATTAAGTTAAAAGTCCAGAGTCCAAAGTCATATCTGAGATAAGGCAAGTGTCTTCTGCCTATGAGCCTGTAAAATCAAAGGCAAGTTAGTTACTTCCTAGATACAGGCATTGGGTAAATACGGCCATTCCAAATGGGAGAAATTGGCCAAAACAAAGGGACTACAAGTGCTATGCAAATTCAAAATCCAGTGGGGCAGTCAAATCTTAAAGCTCCAAAATGATTTCTTTTGACTCCATGCCTCACATCCAGGTCATGCTGATGAAAGAGGTGGCTTCCCATGGTCTTGGGCATCTCTGCCCCTGTGGTTTTGCAGGGTATAGCCTCCCTCCTGGTTGCTTTCACAGGCTGGCATTGAGTGTCTGTGGCATTTCCAGTTGCATGGTGCAAGCTGTGAGTGGATCTACCATTCTGGGATCTGGAGGATGGTGACCCTCTTCTCACAGCTCCACTACATGGTGCTCCAGTAGGGACTCTGAGTGGGGGCTCCAACCCCACATTTCTTTTCTGCACTGCCCTAGCAGAGGTTCTCCATGAGGGCCTTTCCCTGCAGCAAACATCTGCCTGGGCATCCAAGCATTTCCATACATCTGAAATCTAGCCAGAGGTTCCCAAATCCCAATTCTTGACTTCCGTGCACTCACAGGCCCAACACCACATGGAAGCTGCCAAGGCTTGGGGCTTGCACCCTCTGAATTCATAGCCCAAGCTCTACATTGGCCCCTTTCAGGCACAGCTGGAGTGGCTGGGATACACGAAACCAGGTACCTGCTGCACACAGCTCAGGGACCCTGGGCCTGGCCTAGGAAACCACTTTTTCCTCCTAGGCCTCAAGGTCTGTGATAAGGGGGGCTTCCCTGCAGACTTCTGACATGCCCTGGAGACATTTTTCCCATATTCTTGGGGGTTAACATTTGGCTCCTCATTACTTATGCAAATTTCTTCAGCCCGCTTGAATTATTCCTCAGAAAATGGGATTTCCTTTTCTATCACATTGTCAGGCTGCAAAGTTTCTGAACTTTTATGCTCTGCTTCCCTTATAAAACTGAATGCCTTTAACAGCACTCAAGTCATCTCTTGAATGCTTTGCTGCTGAGAAAGTTCTTCTGCCAGATCTCCTAAATCTTCTCTCTCAAGTTCAAACTTCCACAAATTTCTAGGGAGGGGGCAAAATGCCACCAGTCTCTTTGCTAAAATATAACAAGAGTCGCCTTTGCTCCAGTTCCAAACAAGTTCCTCATCTCCATCTGAGACCACTTCAGCCTGGATTTCATTATCCATATCTTTATCAGCATTTTGATCAAAGCCATTGAACAAGTCTCTAGGAAGTTTCAGGCTTTCCCATAGTTTTCTGTCTTCTTCTGAGCCATCCAAACTTTTCCAGCCTCTACCTATTACCCAGTTCCAAAGTTGCTTCCACATTTTCAGGTCTCTTTTCAGCAGCACCCCGCTCTTGGTACCAATTTACTATATTAGTTTGTTTTCTGGCTGCTGATAAAGACATACCCAAGACTGGGCAGTTTACGAAAGAAAGAGGTTTATTGGAATTCCAGTTCCACGTGTCTTGGAAGGCCTCACAATCAGGGCAGAAGGCAAGGAGGAGCAAGTCATGTCTTACACGGATGGTGGCAGGCAAAGAGAGATCTTGTGTGGGGAAACTTCCATTTTTAAAACCATCAGATCTTTTGTGACTTATTCACTATCATGAGAATAGCACAGTAAAGACCCACTTCCATAATTCAACCTCCCACCGAGTTCCTCTCATGAAACATGGGAATTGTGGGAGTTACAATTTAAGATGAGATTTGGGTAGGGACACAGCCAAATCATATTACTGTTAAATTTCCAAAAACACATAAGAATCCTTAACATGTATGTATCTAAAAACAGATGAAATGGACTAATGCTTGAAAGACACAAACTGAAATAAGGAGAAATAAGTAATCACAATAGGCATATCTATATATTAAATAAATGAGTTTAATAAAAATAATCTTCAAGAAACAAAAACATTAGATCAAAATAATTTCACTGGTGAACTGTACCAGATCTTTAAGGAAAAAATGATACCAATTTCTGTAATCTGTTCCTGAAAATAAAAGCAGAGGGGAATATTTTGCACTCATTCTCTGAGGCTAGCATTACAATAATACCAAAGCAAGGAAAAGACATTGCAACAAAGTAAACTAGAGATCAATATCATTCTTGAACATTGATGAATAATTCAAAACAAAATATTAGCATATATTTCCAGTAATGTATAAATAGAATTATAAATTGGAAATATCTTTAGAATATTATTTTTACTTAAGTGTACATTTAGGCAAATTCACACTTGATAAATTATATAAAACACTAATTAAGGAGCTGAATATTCAAATATTAAAATTGGGAGAGGTGAAAGCAATAGATAATAATAGGGGATTAGTGAACTTCAGGATAGGAAGAGAAATAAAGAATATTATCCAAATTAAATTAAGCAAGAAGATTAACATTTTTATTCACTTCCAGCTAACACCCTATAGTGGACAAATTCCACATAAATGACCAAGTAAAATTGGATTCTACAATTTGATGAATAAATGACCAATTAACATCTTTTCATATGATCTTTCTAGCTTCATGAAATTCACAGTGTTTTAGTATACATGTCAGTGTTTGCCTCTGAAGAGGAGCTAGGCATACAAAGCCTGCACATCATCACTTTGTTCATAGAAAGCAGCATTTTGAGAATCTCTACCCTTAGGCATGTGTTTCCCTCTGGGTAGATATGGCCCTCTGAAATTTATATAAACATATTAAGATAGAGGTAGGATATGTACAAATTCACAAAGCAAGGAACTTCCTTAACTGTTTCTAAATGAGAAATTAGACAATGCAACAAATCATTTTAATAAAATCTCGGCTGCTAAGTGGAGATATATATGCCCTCCCCCACACACACATATTCATGACCTTGATTCAAAAAAATTTTTTTATCTAAAAAAATGTTACTTGAGACCTAATTAACATGTTTGTAATATATATACATAGGAGTTCTGGTAAATTCTGTTGAATATAAATGTAATCTTATCAACATTAAACTTTTCTGCAAATATAAGCAATCTAGCTGTACAGATCTTTTATGCACTACTATGTAACTCATAATTCCTTTGGTAAAATAAGTTGATTTTGAAGTTTCATGAAAGAAAATTAATCTTTTTTCAGGATATTATTTTTAAACCACTTTAATGAGATATGACTGACAAAACTTGATGAATTTGGAGATAAATATACACTTGTGAAATTATTACCACAGTTAAGGCCATAAATCTAGTCATCACCTCCAAAAGTTTTATTTTTTTCTTTTATGGTGACACTGCTTAACATAAGATTTACCTGCTTAGCAAATTTTTAATTAGACAAAATAATATTGTTAACTCTAGGTATTGTTATGGGTAGTTAGGCATGAGTGGGGCAGGAGAGGGCTCTCCCCTACCCACCAGAAATATCAGGTGATGGTTTGACAATCATCACATTGCCTCTCTAAAAATGATAATTTGACAGCCTGCACCAGGGAAAGACAATCTTCTAATGGTCCACAGTTAACATTATAGTATAAATTGAATGCAGGCACCAGGGAAAAGCAAAAAAGAGCTTCCAATAACATCTCAGATACGGGCGAGTGACCCCGGGCACGCACATTATGAGACAAAATGGCCAAGTATGACATTCTGGGGGCACTCCACCAGAAAAGAGAAGAAAGCCTCAGACGGGCATGCATACAACTTCCTAAACACACTACACATGCTCAGTTTTCAAGGGTAAGAAAGGCACTGTGTATGTGGGCAGCCCACCCTAAGGGAAGACACATGGGAAAGGAGTGCAAGATACAGGAAGAAGATCAGACTGTAAAGTCCTAGGATCATGGTTAAACATGGCACTTGACCTTCTCGGTGCCCATTTGGGTCTCTTCCAAGTGTACTTTCCTTTATTTCCTACTCTAAAGTTTTTAATAAACTTCCACTCCTGCTCTGAAACTTGCCTGAGTCTCTTTCTGCCTTATGCCCTCAGTCAAATTCTTTCTTCTGAGGAGGCAAGAATTGAGGTTGCTGCAGCCCTGTATGGATTTGCCACTGGTAACTGGATACCTTCCACTGGTAACAGTATTATCCTCTACTGTAGATCCCTAGAACTTAACGATCTTGCATAACTGAAACTTTGAACCCTTTGATCAACAACTCTCCATTTTCCCCTCCCTCCAATCCCTGATAATCACCAGTCTATTCTCTGCTACTATACGTTTGACTATTTTTGAATCTATGTGTAAGTGAGATCATGCCATATTTGTCCTTTTGTGTCTGGCTTAATTACTTACCATAAAATCCTCGAGGTCCATGCCTCTTGCTAAAAATGGTAGTACTTCTGTCATTATTAAGGCTCAATAATATTTCATTGTATGTATACAGCATAATTTCTTTATCCTATAGACATTTTAGACATCTTGACTACTGAGAATAATGCTTCAACGAACATGGGGGTGGAAATAGCTCTTTGAGATCCCGATATTCAATTCCTTTGGACATATGCCCAGAATTGGGATTGTTGCATTAAATGATACTTTGTCTATTAATTTTTGGAGTAACCTCCTTTCTGTTTTCCATAGTATTTACATCCATTTATATCTTTACCAACAGTGCACAAGGATTCCCTTTCCTTCAAATCCTTCCAGCAATTATCTTTTGGTTTTAGTTGTAGCTTTTTAAATTTCAGTTTTTTTTAATAATAGTCATTTTAACAGGTATACAGGTATGAAGTGAGATGTAATTTGACTTTTGATTTGCATTTCCCTGATGATTAGTGATGTTAAGCACCTATTTATATACCTGCTGGCCATTTGTATATCCTCTTGGGAGAAATGTTTATTCAGGTTCTTTGCCCATTTAAATAGTTGGATTATCTGGGGTTTGGTTTTGTTTTCTATTGAGTTGTATATGAGTTCCTTAATATTTTTAATATTAACCCCTTATCAGATAAACAATTTGCAAATTTTTCCTCCTATGGCTGACTTTGTATTTTGTTGATTGTTTCCTTTGATATGTGGAAAATTTTTAGTTTAATGTAAGTCAGCTTGTCTGTATTTGTCGTTGTTGCCTGAGCCTTGGTATTAGATGCAAGAAATTGTTGCCAAATCCAAGAAAAAAATTTTTTTATGTTTTCTTCTAATAGTTTTATGGCTTCAGATTTTACCTTTGTCTTCAAAGCATTTTTGAATTTTTTTTTTTGTATGGTATGAGATAAAGGTTCAAATTTATTCTTTTGCTTATGGATATCCAGTTTTGCCCAAGCCATTTGTTGAAGAGACTATACTTTCCAAATTGTGTAATCTTGACCCATGGAAGACGAATTGCTCATATAAGCATGGGTTTACTTCTGAGTCTTTGTTCTGTTACACTGGTGTCAATTTTTTTATTAGTCTCATACTATTTTGATTACTCTAGATTTGCAATGTATTTTGAAATCAAGGAACATCATACCTCTAACTTTATTCCTTTTGCTCAAAATTGGTTTAGCCATTCAGGGTGTTTTGTAATTTCAAATGAATTTTAGCATAGTTCTATTACAGTAAAAAATGCCATTGGGATTTTGAAAGAGATGGCACTGATTCTGTAAATTGCTTCTGGTAATTTGGGCATTTAACAATATTAATTCTTCTAATCATTCATGAGCATGGAATATTTTTCCATTTATTTGTGTCTGTGTTAATTATTTTCATGAATGTCGTATGGTTTTCAGTGTACCAATTCCTCACTTCCTTGGATACATTTATTTGTAAGGATTCTATTCTTTTTTATACTATTGTAAACAAAATTCTTAATTTCCTGTTCAGAAGTACACAAAATTAGATGTGTACAAAATTAGATGTGAATGAAACTCAACTAATTTTTAATGTTGATTTCTAATATGCAACTTTACTGAATATGTTTATTCATCTGAAGAGGTTTTTTGTGGGCTCTGAAGTTTTCTACATTTAAGACTATGTCATCTGCAAACAGATTTAAATTCACTTACTCATTTCAAATTTGAATATATTTGGATGTTTTTCCTGGCCTAATTGCTCTGGTTAGGACTTCTAATACTATGTTAAATGGGAGTGCTGAGAGTGAGTGTCTTTGCCTTGTTCCATATCTCAGAGAGAAAGTTTTTAACTTTTCAATAATGAGTGTAATTGTTTTGTTTGTCTGTTTGTTTTTTGAGAGGGGTCTCGTTCTGTCACCCCAGCTAGAGTGAACTGGCCTGATCTTGACTCTCTGCAACCTCCGCCTCCCGGGTTCAAGCGATTCTCCTGCCTCAGCCTCCTAAGTAGCTGGAACTACAGGTGTGTGCCACCATGCCTGGCTAATTTTTTGTATTTTTAGTAGGGGCAGGGTTTCACCATGTTAGCTAGGATTATCTCAATCTCTTGACCTTGTGATTCACCTGCCTCGGCCTCCCAAAGTTCTGGGATTACATGCATGAGCCACCACGCCCGCCAATTTTTTTAAAATGGTCTTTATTGTTTGGAGGTTAGTTCCTTCTACTTTATTGAGCATTCTTATTATGAAAGGGAATTAAATTTTATCAAATACTTTTTTGTAGCTACTAAGAGGATCATGTAAGTTTTACTGTTCATTCTGTTAATGTAGTGTAACTTATTGATTGATTTGGATGATTGATTCAACCATCCTCTCATCCTAGGTATAAATTCTACTTGGTTATGGTGTATGAAAATTGTAATGTGGTTTAAATCTGGTTTGCTAGTATTTTCTTGAGCATTTTTGTACTATGTTTATCAGGGATACTAGCTTGAAGTTGTATTTTCTTTCTCATGCCTTAGTATTAAGGTGATGTTGGCTTTATTGAATGAGTTAGAAAGTGTTCAATTTTTTTTCTATTTTTTGAAAACGTTTAAGTAACATTAGTATTGATTATTTTTTAAAAGTTTTTTTTTTCTTGAATTTACCTGTGAAACCATCTAGTTCTAAGCTTTTGTTTCTTAAGAAGTTTTAAATAACTGAATAAACCTCTTTATTTGTTATTGGTCTTTTCAGGCTTTCTATTTCTTCTTACTTCTCACTTAGTAGATTTTATATTTTTATGAATTTATCTATTTCTTCTAGTTTGTCCAATAGTTGGGGGAATGTCACTCATAATAGTCTATTATGATTTTTTAATTGTTGTGCCATCAGTTGAAATATTGCCTCTTTCATTTTTAATTTTATTTGATTTTTCTCGTCTTTTCTAATTTGTTTATTTTTTAAAAATACCAAATCTAAGTTTTAGCAATTTTTAAATTGTCTTTCTATCTCTATTTCATGGACATCTGCTCTGATATTTATTCTTTACTTCCTTCTGCTCAATTTGTGCTTAGTTTGTTCTTCTTTTCCTAGTTTCTTGAAGAATAAAGTTAGGTTGGTTATTTGAGTTCTTCTTTTTTTTAATGTAGACTTTCATTGCTATAAACTCCTCTCTCAGTACTTCTTTAACTGTACTCGGTAAGTTTTGGTATGTTTTGTTTTTGTTTATCTTGAGATGGTTGCTGATTTCCTTTTTGATTTCTTCTTTTATCTAATTGTTGCTTGGTGGTGTATCGTTTAACCCTTTTCCCATTTATGAAGAAGTGCAGCTCACTGCCAGCATTCATTTAACTTTACATGAACACATTCGTTGAGGATGAAGCAAATATGATTGACTTTCAATGTAGAAATAAAATATAAATATTGTTCTAGGAGTTATTTCTAAACAGAACTAACATCAAACTCATCTAAATCATCCAAATCATCTATTTCAGAAAAACTGGATTCATCAAATGAATCTTTGGCCAACAATGGTTCAAGAACGATGTTAACATCACACTTAAGAACGCTATGCTTTCTAGGATTTGGCATTTTCAGTAATTAAGAATTATTATATTTTATAAATGAAAGTACCACTATTAAAAACAGAATGCTATAAATAGAATATCTTTTTTTCCAAAGTTTATATACTAGAGCAATGTGAAAATAATAACAAAAGTGAGATATTCTGTGGCAAAGTTATCTCTGGGTAAACTGCAGCCACAAGCGCTGCTGGTGAGGACTATCAAGAAAAATGGGAAAGAGCTAATTTTCATGCTTTTGTGAATTTTCACATTTTCCTCTGGTTATTGATTTCTATTTATTTTCATTCCATTGTGATTGGAAAAGATACTTGAAATGATTTCAATCTTCTTGAAATTTTTAAGACTTGTTTTGGGAACTACCATATTTTTTATCCTGGATAACGTTCTGTGTGCACTTGAGAGAAATGTATACTTTATTACTGTTGGGTAAAATTCTTTGTATGTATCTGTAGGACCATTTGGTCTACAGTGTTTTCAAGTCTGTTGTTTTCTTATTGATTTTCTACTTCAATACCCTACTCTATAATTGAAAGTAGGGTATTGAAATCACCTACTATTATGATATTACAGTCTGTCTCTCACTTCTGATTTGTCAGTGTTTGCTTTAAGTAATTAGGTGTTCTGATGTTGGGTGCATACATATTTATAATTATTATACATATTTTCTGAATTGATCCTTTTATCATTATATAATGACCTTATTTGTCTTTTGTGACAGTTTTTGACTTAAAGCCAATTTTTAAAGATTTTTTATTTTTAATTTTTGTAGGTATATAGTGGGTGTATATGTTTATCTGATATAAGTATAGCCACTTCTTCTCTCTTTTGTTTACCATTTGTATGAAATGTCTTCTTCCAATTCTTCACTTTCAGCCTATGTGCCTCCTTATGTCTAAGGTGAGTTTTTATAGTCAGCATAAAGTTGGTTACTGCTTTTTTATCCATTCAACTATTCTATATATTTGTTTGCAGTATTTAGTCAGTTTCTAAGTAAAGTAATTATTCGTAGGTAAAGGCTTACTATTGCACTTTTTTATTATATTTTATTTTGTAGTTCTCTTGTTTTCTCCTCTCTTGTTTTTCCTTGTGTTTATTTTTTCAGTGATATGCTCTGTGCTCTTTTTTTCTCTCCTTTTTTTATTTATCTATTATAGGTTTTGCTTCTTGTGGACAATATGAGATTGCATCAAAAATCTTATATTAATAACAGTCTATATTAAGCTGAGAACAATTTAACTTAAATCACAAACAAAACTACAATTTTACTTATTTGACACATTGTGTTATTTATATCAGATTTTGCTCTTTACACACCACCATTAATGTGTTACAATATTTATATATGTCTGTACATTTGCCTTTGCCAGTGAGAGTTATGTTTTTAAATGCTTTTGTGTACCATATAGTATCTTTTTATTATAATTTGTAGAACTCTTTTTAGTACTTCCTAGAAAGCAGGTTTAGTGGTGATGAACTCCCTCAGTTTTTACTGACCTGGGAAAATGTTTTTCTTTTCAGTATTAAAGGACATATTTGGTGGTTATAGTATTCTTGGCAGCAGTTTTTTCTTTATGTGTTTTAAATATATCAACCCATTCTTTCTCGGTCCACATAGTTTCTGTGAGAAATCCTCTGACAGTTTTGTGAGAGTTCCCATGAATGTGATCACTTCTACCTCTGCTTTCAAAATTCTCTCCATCTTTGATTTTGGTCAATGTAATTATAATGTGCCTTGATGTAGATATCCATATGTTTTACTGATTTGGGGTCTTTCAGATTCATGAGTCTGAATGTTCATTTCTCTCTCAAGATGTGGGAAGTTTTCTGCATTATGTGTTTAAATAATATTTCTTCTGCTTTGTCTCTCTTCTCTTTTTAGACTCCTATAATGTATGCCTTGTTGCAATTGGTTGTGTCACATAAGTGCCATAAGCTTTCTTCACAATTTTTCAGCTTTTTTTCTTTTTCTTCTCTGACAGTCTAAATTCAATTGATCTGTCTTTGAATTCACTGATTCTTTCTTCTTTTGATCAAGTTTGCTGTTGAATCTTTCTATTGAATTTTTTGATTCAGTCCTTATATTCTTCAACTCTAGGATTCTGTTTGTTTTTGTGTTTCTTTGTTTGTTTATTGAACTAATTTTGTCCTTATATTTTTTCTGAGTTTTGTTTATTTGCAAATCTATGCTGTTTTATATTCCAATAAGCTTCCTTAAGATGAATTCTTTGTCAGAAAATACATAGATATCCGTTTCCTTAAGGCTGGTTACAGGAGTTTAATTAAGCTCTGTTTGTGGTGTCACATTTCCCTGGTTCTTCCTGACCTTTGTATCCTTCTGCCAGTGTCTGCATATTTAAAGATACAGTCACTTTTTCCCTAGACTTTACCAAATTACTTTGGCGGGGAAATACCTCTATGGTAGTCAACCTGGTCACAGATTCTTGGTGGGTTTGCTGTTGCAGTCTGTGTGTAGGTGGGAACTGCTGTTAGGACCTGTGTGCAGGTGAAGCCTACTGTTAGGGTTTATGGGAAGGTGGATTCTACCACCACATTCTGTACACTTGTTGTTGAGAGACCACACCACTTCTCTTTGTACTTAAGTTCTTCCAAGGCATTGAGTCATGCCAATTTCGCCAACGCTCTGGGTGAGGCAATACAGAATGGGTCACTTGGGAAGTGCCCTGAAATGCTGGGAAGCTCCAAGTCCACTTATACTATACTTTCGCCACAGGAGAAATTATAGATCCAATAAATTCTTCTCAGTGATGAACCATACTGACTTAAAAAGCAATGATGCAAGAAAACTTCTCTTACTCTTTTTAATGTGGCTTTCTTTTAGTTTCTGTGCTGTGCTCCACTGTGTGTGGTACTGCATCCCTTGGATTTCAGAGCTCTTACAATGGCATTTTTAAAAAATCTGTTGATGGTTGTCAAGTTGGTATTTATGTAGGGGGATGAACTTGGGCCCTCTGTCCTGCCATTTTTTTTAATACACTCTCAATAAATTAATCATAAAGCAACATAGTCCCAAGTTAATTTTAAATAAATATGCATATCATACACATATGTATGTAATTAACAATTTATCAAATGTCAAAATTAATGTTTCATTTTTTGCGTCATTCTATATTTATCTCAATTTAGTCAGGCCATTTCTTTTTTTATATTGTGATTCAGGTCAGATATAAACTTTTCAGCAAACTCTCTAATTCCTCAGGATTTATTAGCTCATTCTAAGTGCTCTCTTAATTCTCTAAATATATTCATAATTATTCTACATGAATAACACTATATCATAATTTCCTCTGTATTCTAATTTGTCTCCATTTGACAGCAAGTTTTTTAAGAACAATCACCCTTTATTGTTCATAATTACATTCCTATATTCTGTCACATTCAAAAACAAGTAGAAACCTTTTTTTGTGATTGACCGAATGACTGAATGGAAATAAAACAGAACGTTTTCCATGTTTTTAGCATTATTTCTTATATAGGGGAATTTTTTATATATAACTAACATTTATAACTGCTGTCTAAATAATCATATAGATTATTGTAAATCAAAGGATTCATTTAATGAAATTTATAATTTGGCTTCCAAATACTATCTTTTATTCATCTATATATACATATACATAAATATATGCGTGCAGAAGCCCATATAAATTTTCATATAATTAAAGTATAAGTAGAGATTATCTAATAGTAAGTGTGATTGCAAATTTGATAATACTATTCAATTTGTGAAATTTTTCTATCCACAATATTGGAAAATTTTAAAAATTTCCTTTCCTAAATTTTAACTTGTATTTATTTGTTAGGTCTGAATTCATATATGATTTCATTCATTGTTGAAATATTCTTATGGCAATATTACCAGTACTCTAAGGGTTAAAAGTATAGGAATAAGGCTATCTATATTTGCTTGGAATAAAGAGGTAGACTATGGAAACCATAATCAGGAATATGAGTATCTTAGCTTTAGTTGAGCTCTTACTTGAAGGTAAGAGTTTGAAAAATATTCTCTATCCAGCTTCTCTCTATGTCCCACAAAACATTAGAAATATTGATTACCCCTACAAATTTTGGAATGTTTTTCTCTATACATGGGCATATTGTCGAGTAGCCTACTGCCTGTTTTGAACTGAAACAAACACAAATTATAAAGTCAGACAAATATGTATCTAGCCACCATCATGTATTAATAGGTATTAGTTACAATGCCTAACTCATAAGTTTATTGTAAGAATGAAACAAAATGACATATGAGAGGATGCAACACACTACACTATCTAACATGTATCAGTTTCTCAGCTACTTATCACTTGACAGTTAATATTAAATAATTATGCATAAAGTGACTTAATATTAGTTTTGATGTGTAAAATATACAAGTAATATTTTTTTCTCAAAAATCACTTGAATTGGAACACCCTAAAAAGTCCTTATAAAAATTCCTGAGAGCACCACTGAAAAATCACTGGGGACCTAGGAGTGTACATTAGGAAAATCCCTTTGGTAATTCCTATGAATTATAGGCAATGATATTTAGTGTTTACCTTTAAGTTTAATTGTGTATATTCTATAAGGAAAATATATTCATGGCTTATAATAAACATTCAAATAATAACAATCATTATATGAAACTGCTTTAACATTACTAAAACACTCCATGACTATAGATATTTTGATGTTATAAACAAAAATAATGAAAACACATGGCTATATGCCCTTTCAAAAACTATTCCTACAGGTGATACAGACGCTAATTTTAGCTAGTTTACAGGTTTATTTATTAATTTAGATAATGTTACCTGATATAGTCTCTTTTTTTGGGGAAACAAGTTATCCTCTAAAACAAAATTCATACTTATTACTACGCATTGCACAATGTAGCATCTCAAAGAGAAAGTTTGCCTACTATTGCAAAGAATAAGCTAGAAACAAGTATGGGCATTCCCTGTTCAATCACTTTCCAACATCTTGTAGCATTATGTAAGGTTGTTTCTTAATCTCTATAATGAAAAACACCTAAATTAAAACAGTTTATTCAAGCAAAATATATTTATATGGACTTATTTACACCCAGGGCTAGTAACCTGTCCCAGCAATTCTCCAGTTTAGTTGTCTTTCCTTTTATCTGGTCTCTGCACTTCACATTCCTACTTCAGAATGCTCTTCACAAAGAAGGCCAAATGATATCTAAGTGTGTGTGTGTTTGTATGTGTGTGCACACATATGCAGGTGTGTGTGTGTGTGTGTGTGTCATATTCAGAGTATTATACTCCTCTGGTTACCAGAATTCAAATTTCACAAGAATGAAATCCAATCTTCTAGAATAAACAGAAGGCTCTGTGTGGTTTGATCTTTGGCTACTATTTTAATCTTTCATGCATAAATCACACTGTTTTTTAATTCTTCATATAACTCTCTGCTTTGAATATCTCTCTCCAAATGGCTAGATCCTCTGTACCCTTCAAATTTTAACGGTAAAATAATCTCCTTAGGATTTTTTCTTATCATCCAAACTAAAGAGATGTTTCTCGGTTGTTCTATATCAATTATTTGTCATGGCAAATGTCATAATTAAAACTTATTTTTAATTGTTTGTACTTTTTTCCCTAAAAGCATAAATAGTGTATGGTTTGGTTTTTGGTAAATACATAGAGTGAAATATTTCACATGTAATAGTTTTTTAATAAACATTTATCTTACAAATTAATGAATGAGTAAAAAGCAGTATGTTAAGTAGCAAAATGCAATGCAATTTTGTGAAGATATTTACTGTATTTTTAATTCATGAGGAATTATATATTTTACTTTTCTCTAATTTTTCTAAACAATGTGATATATTTATTCTTCTATTTCAAAGACGAAAGGTAAAATTAGATCATTTGGAGTGTTAAATTGACTGAAGAGTTATATTTATGAGAAAAGTTGCCTGCAGTGTTTGATTGCGGGAATACTACAAATACTGTATAGCTAATGATCATCCTCTTCCATACTCCCCCCCAAATATTCTATTTAAATCAAATATTTTTTAAGTGAATTCAGTTAAATTGCATTTTTTTTAAAGGAAAGCTACAGGGTGTCTATTAGTTGGATTCCAGTAAGGTGTAAACTTTTTTACTGGCTACTTAGAGCATTAGCTATGCACAATATTACTTTCCTTTTGATCTCTGAAACATCAGATTGCAAAATATGCATTATCTGAGTAACCCAAAAAATGTAACTTTCTCTTAGCCTTTGTGGTGTCACAGTGTGATGGAATAAAAAAGCAAAATGATTCCTTTAGGCTTATCGTGTATTTCATTGGCATATTTTAAAAATCATTTTCAGCATACTTTACTGTAAGACACCATTTATGTTTTTTTTGTACTATTCTTCCCATTTATAGTCAAATTTTAGGAAAACTAGGGCAGTGCAAGGAAATGCAAAACATTTAATCCAGGTAATTCTTTAAAGAAAATGTTTCAGTATTATAACTGTTACTGGAAACAGGTCCCAATACAGACTCTGAGAGAGGGTTCTTAGATCTCGCACAAGAAAGAATTTTGGGCAAGTCCATAGAGTAAAGTGAAAGTAAGTTTATTAAGAAAGTAGAAGAATAAAAGAATGGCTACTCCGTAGACATAGAAGCCCTGAGGTGGCTGGTTATCCATTTTTATGGTCATTTCTTGATGATATGCTAAACAAGGGGTGGATTATTCATGTCTCCCCTTTTTAGACCATATAGGGTAACTTCCTAATGTTACCATGGCATTTGTAAACTGTTATAGCACTGGTGGAAGTATAGCAGTGAGGATGACCAGAGGTCACTCTTGTTGCCATCTTGGTTTTGGTGGGGTTTGGCCAGCTTCTTTACTGCAAACTGTTTTATTAGCAAGGTCTTTATGAATTGTATCTTGTGCCGACCTCCTATCTCATCCTGTGACTTAGAATACGTAACCATCTGGGAGTACAGCCAAGTAGGTCTCAGCCTCATTTTACCCAGCTCCTATTGAAGATTGAGTTGCTCCAGTTCAAATGACTCTGACATAATTTAATTAAGTTAATCAGGACTGCTGGTAGCTCCTTTTGGAATCATTTCCAAAGTGAGCTGGAAATTCTTCTTACCCCCATGCTGTTTGCTAGATAGCTCTATTTTCCTTTGTTTTCCAGAAATCTTTTTTGGACCTTTCATTTGTAACTGCAAGTTCCATGAGTTTAAATAGCACTCTAGATACCACTCATGACTAGTTTGGCTCTATGGAATTGTGAACCCCAAATATCTGAGACAGGTCTCAGTTAATTTAGAAAGTTTATGTTGCCAAGGTTGAGGACATGTGCCCGTGACACAACCTCAGGAGGTCCTGAAGATGTGTGCCCAAGATGGTCATGGCACAGCTTGGTTTTATATATTTTAGGGGACATGAGACATCAATCATTATAGGTAGGATGTACATTGGTTCTGTCCAGAAAGGCAGGACAACTCGAAGCAGGGAGGGGGCTTCCAGTTCACAAGCAGGTGAGAAACAAATGGTTGCACTCTTTTGAGTTTCTGATTAGCCTTTCCAAAGGAAGCAATAAGATATGCATTTATCTGAGTGAGCAGAAGAATGACTTCGAATAGAATGTGAGGCAAGTTTGCAGCAGGCCAGTTCTCACTAACACAGGCCTCCATAGCAACTCTTTCAGTACTGACTGAGTGGTTAAGCTAAATATTAAAAGTTAAAAAAAAAAAAAAGCCAGTGCCCTTATACAAAGGCTGGAATGTAACAAAAGCCCACCACGAGTTTTGCCTAAGCCTTTTCTTGGCCTTAAAGCATGAGAAAATAATGAAGAAATTATTAACAGGACCCATTTAGGATTAAACAAGTTGTATTGGGGGTCTGAAGAAACTCCCCAGGCCTCCACAAACAAGTTTATTGGGGGTCTGAAGGAACTCCCCAAACCTCCATGATTTAGCAGCAGACAGGATAAAGGTAATCACCCAGCACCTGGACCCATTTAGATTAAGTAAATTTACTGAGGCTCCAGAGGAAGGTCTTGAAAACTCAGACCTTAGTTATAGATTAAGAGAAGTTAATCACTTATGTCTTTAGATGAATGCACAATTACATATAGACATATAGCTTAGAAGATACATAATCTTGAAAACTTTGTAATTTTGAGTTGGTCTGGCAATAATATCCAGACCTTCTCCTTGTAACCAGTTGCAGAAATAAAAACTCTCTTCCTCCCCAGTTCATCTGCATCTCGTTATTGGGCCACGAGAAGTAGCACCTCAGCCCTCAGCTTGGTCTGGGAACTGGTTTGCCCTAAGAAGTTCCAAGCCTGACTTTTCAGTTTAGCTTAGTGATTTTGGGGCTCCAAGAATTATTTTCCTTTCACAGAATCTACTATAGCTCCTGGATGCTTTTAATAAAAAATATATACATTTAAACTTTTTGGTTTAACAGAATTAAAATAGTGTTCTAAGAAAGAAAGAAAAAAATTAGAAGGTATTTTAACTAGTAATTTTATAATAAAGAAAGACAAATTTGAGGTATTTTGGCCACAAGTGTTCTCCTGAAGAATTTCTTCTAATTCTCCCTTTATTTTATATATATCTAAAAATTGGCACCCACAAAACATGGAAGCAACACTCTAGAATTAATCATAGAAACATTTTATTTCAAGAAAGTAAGAACTCCAAAGTGAACATAACACTTCAACTCCAACTATCTGTCAACAAAAAGAGTCAAACTCTGCAAAATTTTTTAAGAGTTTTATTCTGAGCCAAATATGAGTGACCATGGCCCATGACACAACCCTCAGGAGGTCCTGAAAACATGCACCCAAATTGGTCGGGGTACAGCTTGGTTTTATATATTTTAGAGAGCCATGCGACATCAATCAAATACATTTAATAATACATGGATTTGATTCAGAAAGGTGGGACAACTCAAAGCGCAGGGGGTGGGGGGACTTCCAGGCTATAGGTAAATTTAAACATTTTCTGGTTTATAGTTGGTTGAGTTTATCTGAAGACCTGGGATAGCTAGAAAGGAAATGTTCAGGTTAAGATAAAAGATTGTAGAGACCAATGATCTTTTGAGGTATTATAGTGGCTGCCCTTAGACACAATAGATGACAAGTGTTTCCTATTCAGATCTTTAAAAGGTGCTAGACTTCTAGTTAATCTCTTCAGGATTGGGAGGGCCTGGAAGAAAAAGATCTAGCTGTGTTAATAGAGATTCTTTACAGATGCAAATTTTCCCCCACAAGGACAGCTTTGCAGGGCCATTTCAAGATATGGCAAAAAAAAAAAAAAAAAAAAAAACGTGTCTTGGGGTAAAATATTTGTATTTTCTTTCTCATCTTGTAATGTTATTCCAGAGTCAGATTAGAAACTAAGTCATAATATATATGGTTAAATGAAATCCATCCAATGAGAATTTATGGTTTATAGGGCATGATTCCACACACCCCTTAGATAGGAATTTGGGCATGATAAAAGTTTCAGAGCTTAGCCCTCATATCTGTTAATCTGACCCATGGAACTTAATCAAATGTATCTTCCTCTCTTCTTGATGAATATATAAATTGAATTAGTGTATCTCCTATGCATCTAAGATGGTGGAATGCACCAATCTTAGGAGAATTGAGAGGAGAGCTACATATTTTCTTTTTTAAAAGGCTTAATTCTCTTGCATAAATCTCGGTGAAGAATTTGTTATCCAGCTCAAAAAACGTGGTTATTCAATCAGCAGAATTTTTGTCACCAAAGGATAGGAAATCAGAATCTCAGGCCCTAACCCAGATCCACTGAATGAGAATCTGCATTTTAACAAGATTCCCAGGGGATTTATATGACCATAAAATTTTGAATAGCACTGACATTTTCATTAAAATATTAAATTGTTTTCATTAAAATTTTTAATTAAATTTTAAAATTTAAACATACCTCAACAAACTAGGTTCTTTGTGACAGAAATTACAAAACCGGTACAGCAAGATTATCTTTTTGTTTCACAATACCTGGAACAAAATCTTCTAATAGTGACTTTAATTGCATATGTGGAAGTAAATGCTGGCATCACCTGAGAAAGAGTTTTATTTTAAACCCAACATAACCTGGTTTTCTTATATTTAAAAATTCATTCTTTTGCTGATCTTTCCTCCTTTCAGATTATCAACAGATTTTCTCTCTTCTTGGATACCTCTCATTGAGAAGAGTCTAGGCAGTCCTTTGCACATTTTCAATATGGAAATATTTTTAGCTAGTTCATTATGTTTCTTAGAAACATTTCCTGTTCCTTATATTACCATGGGTGACAGCATTACCAAACTCTCTGCTGTTAACATAACAAAGGTGTTCTTCCCTTTACTGGGGTCTTTTCGGTTTTCATTAAGTCTCCTAAAAGCCTTTCCAGACGGCTTATTGCTCAGTACCTACTTACTGAACATTTAAAAAAAACAATTCTGGTAGCATTCAGTTGCTAGGTACCAAATTTCTGTTTCACATGTTATGATTGTAATAAAAATTTACTATCAATTATTGGTCTTAAAACAACCACATTATTACACTCATACATTCTCTGTATCAATAATTTAGAAAGGGACAAAAAGGACAGATTTGGTTTGCTTCAGATATTTTAAAGTCCAGGACTTGGGTCTTCCAGAAGACCCAAGTCCTGGACCTTAAAATATTCTGAAGTCATCATCATTTACAAGTCTTACACCTGACTGCCAGCTGGAACTTTACCTGGGACTGTGGACAAGAATCCTTTACCTGGCCTTTTCATGTGATCTGGGCTTTCCCACAACATGAGATCAGTGCTCTAAAGATAAGTCTCTCAGCTCATAAATCAGACGTTTTATCATCTTTTAAGACTTGGCCTTGGATTTAATGCAGTTTAATTTCTGTCATATTCTTTTCATTATAATTTAGTCACATGTTCTGCCTTAATTTAAGGAGTGGGGAATTTGACTTCACGTCCTGATGGGGGAGTGACAAGGTCCTAGAATAGCAAAATTAGATGCAATCTACCAAAACTGGCTAATTTCATGTGTTTAAATGATTACTTATGTGATGACTTCTACCAATATGTAGACTTATCCAGGCATTTATTTTTGTTCCAGAATTTAGATGTCTTAAGAAGAAGGAACAAAAACTGTAATTTGGTTATACTTAGAATTCTTAGCATATGATTAAATGTATACCACATGCTTCATAAATACTCATCAACTTATAATGGTTCAGTGGCTATTCCCAAGTATCACCATTTGAATGACATCAATACCTCATAAAATATTTAGAAAAAATAAACTTCTAATCAAAGACCATTGAACCTATAGGCTAAGTTAACTATTTATTTATTTATGTGTTTATTTACTTAAGACTTGAATAAGAAAAATATGCCAACACTCATATTGGTCCTAGAAGTATGTGAAGATTTTTAACTCTCACAATGGTAATCAGCTGCCCCTCACCTACACTAAGAATTTAACAAGAGAAGAAAAATGGGCTTAAGTTGTAGTATGAACAGCCTAGATTGGGAAAATTTAAACATTGGTTTGAAAAGACAGTATCATAGACATCCCTAAAGATTTTAAGATAGTGTCTAAAATGGCCAAATAGAAACAGCTCCAGTGTGTAGCTCCCAGCATGATTGACACAGAAAATGGTGATTTCTTCATTTCCAACTGAGGTGCATGGTTCATCTCACTGGGACTGGCTGGACAGTGGTTGCCACCCACGGAGGGTGAGCCAAAGCAGGACGGGGCATCACCTCACCTGGGAAGTGCAAGGG
The DNA here is from genome assembly GCF_000001405.40 of Homo sapiens. NCBI lineage: Eukaryota > Metazoa > Chordata > Mammalia > Primates > Hominidae > Homo > Homo sapiens. The sequence continues at coordinate 191,378,750 of NC_000001.11, read as the reverse complement.
GTCGGGGGATTTCCCTTTCCTAGCCAAGGGAAGCCATGGCAGACTATACCCAGGAAATCGGGACACTCCCACCCAAATACTAAGCTTTTCCAATGGTCTTAGCAAACGGCACTGTAGGAGATTATATCCCGTGCCTGGCTCAATGGGTCTCACACCCACAGAGCCTTGCTCACCATAGTGCAGCAGTCTGAGATTGACCTGCGAGGCAGCAGCCTGGCAGGGAGAGGGGAGTCTGCCATTGCTGAAGCTTGAGTAGGTAAACAAAGCATCAGGGAAAGCTCAAATTGGGTGGAGCCCACCGCAGCTCTGCACAGCCTGCTGCCTCTGTAGACGCCACCTCTGGGGGCAGGGCATAGCTGAACAAAAGCAGCAAAAACCTCTGCAGACTTAAACATCCCTGTCTGACAGCTCTGAAGAGAGCAGTGGTTCTCCCAGCACAGTGTTTGAGCTCTGAGAATGGACAGACTGCCTCCTCAAGTAGGTCCCTGAACCCCGTGTATCGTAACTGGGAGACATCTCCCAGTAGGGGCCGACTGACACCTTATACAGGCAGGTGACCCTCTGGGATGAAGCTTCCAGAAGAAGGATGAGGCAGCAATATTTGCTGTTCTGCAGTATTTGCTATTCTGTAGCCTCTGCTGGTGATACCCAGGCAAACAGGATCTGGAGTGGACCTCCAGCAAACTCCAACCGACCTGCAGCTGAGGGACTTCACTCTTAGAAGGAAAACTAACAAACAGAAAGGAATAGCATCAACATCAACAAAAAGGACATCCACACCAAAATCCCACCTGTAGGTCACCAGCATCAAAGACCAAAGGTAGATAAAACCACAAAGATGGGGAGAAACCAGAGCAGAAAAGCTGAAAATTCTAAAAACCAGAGTACCTCTTCTCCTCCAAAGGATCGCAACTCCTCACCAGCAATGGAACAAAGCTGGATGGAGAATGACTTTGATGAGCTGACAGAAATAGGCTTCAGAAGGTCGGTAATAACAAACTTCTCCTAGCTAAAGGAGGTATTCAAACCCATCGCAAGGAAGTTAAAAACCGTGAAAAAAGATTAGATGAATGGCTAACTAGAATAAACAGTATAGAGAAGACCTTAAATGACCTGATGGAGCTGAAAACCATGGCACGAGAACCACGTGATGCATGCACAAGCTTCAATAGCCAATTCGATCAAGTGGAGGAAAGGGTATCAGTGATTGCAAATCAAATTAATGAAATAAAACGAGTGAAGATGGTTAGATAAAAAAGAGTAAAAAGAAACAAAGTATCCAAGAAATATGGGACTATGTGAAAAGACCAAATCTCCATTTGATTGGTGTAACTGAAAGTGATGGGAAGAATGGAACCAAGTTGGAAAACACTCAGCAGGATATATTATCCAGTGGAACTTCCCCAACCTAGCAAGGCAGGTCATCATTCAAATTCAGGAAATATGGAGAACACCACAAAGATACTCCTTGAGAAGAGAAACCCCAAGACACATAATTGTCAGATTCACCAAGGCTGAAATGAAGGAAAAAATATTAAGGGCAGCCAGAGAGAAAGGTTGGGTTACCCACAAAGGGAAGCCCATGAGACTCACAGTGGATCTCTCAGCAGAAATCCTACAAGCCAGAAGACAGTGGGGGCCAATATTCAACATTCTTAAAGAAAAGTATTTTCAACCCAGAATTTTATATCCAGCCAAACTAAGCTTCATAAGTGAAGGAGAAATAGAATCCGTTACAGACAAGCAAATGCTGAGAGATTTTGTCACCACCAGGCTTGCCTTACAAGAGCTCCTGAAGGAAGCACTAAATATGGAAAGGAACAAACATTACCAGCCACTGCAAAAACATGCCAAATTGTAAAGACCATCAATGCTAGGAAGAAACTGCATCAACTAACGAGCAAAATAACCAGCTAACATCATAATGAGAGGATTAATTTCACACATAACAATATTAACCTTAAATGTGAATGGGCAAAATGCCCCAGTTGAAAGACACTCAGACTGGCAAATTGGATAGAGTCAAGACCCATCAGTGTGCTGTATTCAGGAGACCCATCTCACGTGCAGAGACTCACAGAGGCTCAAAATAAATAGATGGAGGAAGATCTACAAAGCAAATGGAAAATAAAAAAAGACAGGGGTTGCAATCCTGGTCTCTGATAAAACAGACTTTAAACCAACAAAGATCAAAAGAGACAAAGACGGCCATTACATAATGGTAAAGGGATCAGTTCAACAAGAAGAGCTAACTATCCTAAATATATATGCACCTGATACTGGAGCACCCAGATTCATAAAGCAAGTCCTTAGAGACCTACAAAGAGACTTAGACTCCCACACAATAATAATGGGAGACTTTAACACCCCACTGTCAATATTAGACAGATCAACGAGACACAAGGTTAACAAGGATATCCAGGACATGAACTCGGCTCTGCAGAAAGCAGACTTAATAGACATCTACAGAACTCTCTGCCCCAAATCAACAGAATATACATTCTTCTCAGCACCTCATCGCACTTTTTCCAAAACTGACCACATAGTTGGAAGTAAAGCACTCCTCAGCAAATGTAAAAGAACAGAAATCACAACAAACTGTTTCAGGCCACAGTGCACTCAAATTAGAACTCAGGATTAAGAAACCCATTCAAAACCACACAACTACATGGAAACTGAACAACCTGCTTCTGAATGACTGCTGGGTAAATAACGAAATGAAGGCAGAAATAAAGATGTTATTTGAAACCAATGAGAACAAAGACATAACGTACCAGAATCTCTGGCACACATTTAACGCAGTGTGTAGAGGGAAATATATAGCACTAAATGCCCACAAGAGAAAGCAGGAAAGATCTAAAATCGACACCCTAACATCACAATTAAAACAACTACAGAAGCAAGAGCAAACAAATTCAAAAGCTAGCAGAAGGCAAGGAATAACTAAGATCAGAGCAGAACTGAAAGAGATAGAGACACAAAAAACCCTTCAAAAAATCAATGAATCCAGGAGCTGGTTTTTTGAAAAGATCGACAAAATTGATAGACTGCTAGCAAGACTAATAAAGAAGAAAAGAGAGAAGAATCAAATAGACACAATAAAAAATGATAAAGGAGATATCACCACCAATCCCAAAGAAATACAAACTACCATCGGAGAATACTTTAAAAACCTCTATGCAAATAAACTAGAAAATCTAGAAGAAATGGATGAATTCCTGGACACATTCACCCTCCCAAGACTAAACCAGGAAGAAGTTGAATCTCTGAATAGACCAATAATAGGCTCTGAAATTGAGGCAATAATTAAAAGCCTATGAACCAAAAAAAGTCCAGGACCAGATGGATTCACAGCTAAATTCTACCAGAGGTACAAAGAGGAGCTGGTACCATTCCTTCTGAAACTATTCCAATCAATAGAAAAAGAGGGAATCCTCCCTAACTCATTTTATGAGGCTAGCATCACCTGATACCAAAGCCTGGCAGAAACACAAGAAAAAAAGAGAATTTTAGACCAATATCCCTGAAGAACATCGATGTGAAAATACTCAATAAAATAGTGGCAAACCGAACCCAGCAGCACATCAAAAAGCTTATCCACCATGATCAAGTGGGCTTCATCCCTGGGATGCAAGGCTGGTTCAACATACGAAAATCAATAAATGTAATCCATCACATAAAGAGAGCCAATGACAAAAACACATGATTATCTCAATAGATGCAGAAAAGACCTTCGACAAAATTCAACAGCCCTTCATTCTAAAAACTCTCAATAAACTAGGTATTGATGGACTTATATCAAAATAAGAGCTACTTATGACAAACCCACGGCCAATATCATACTGAATGGGAAAAAACTGGAAACATTTCCTTTGAAAACTGGCACAAACAGGGATGTCCTCTCTCACCACTCCTATTCAAAATAGTGTCAGTAGTTCTGGCCAGGACAATCAGGCAAGAGAAAGAAATAAAGGGTATTCAATTAGGAAAAGAGGAAGTCAAATTGTCCCTGTTTGCAGATGACATGATTGTATATTTAGAAAACCCCATTGTCTCAGCCGAAAATCTCCTTAAGCTGATAAGCAACTTCAGCAATGTCTCATGATACAAAATCAATATGCAAAAATTACAAGCATTCCTATACACAAATAACAGACAAAAAGAGAGCCAAATCACGAGAAAACTCCCATTCACTGTTGCTACAAAGAGAATAAAATACCTAGGAATCCAACTTAAAAGGGATGTGAAGGACCTCTTTAAAGAGAACTACAAACCACTGCTCAACGAAATAAAAGAGGACACAAACAAATGGAAGAACCTTCCATGCTCATGGATAGGAAGAATCAATATCATGAAAATGGCCATACTGCCCAAGGTAATTTATAGATTCAATGCCATCCCCATCAAGCTACCAATGACTTTCTTCACAGAATTGGAAAAAACTACTTTAAAGTTCATATGGAACCAAAGAAGAGCCTGCATTGCCAAGACAATCCTAAGCAAAAAGAACAAAGCTGGAGGCATCATGCTACCTGACTTCAAACTATACTATAAGGCTACAGTAACCAAAACAGCATGGTACTGGTACCAAAACAGAGAGGTAGACCAATGGAACAGAACAGAGGCCTCAGAAATACCACCACACATCTACAACCATCTGATCTTTGACAAACCTGACAAAAACAAGAAATGGGGAAAGATTTCCCTATTTAATAAATGGTGCCTGGAAACTGGCTAGCCATATGTAGAAAGCTGAAACTGCATCCCTTCCTTACACTTTATACAAAAATTAATTGAAGATGGATTAAAGACTTAAATGTTAGACCTAATACCATAAAAACCATAGAAGAAAACCTAGGCAGTACCATTCAGGGCATAGGCATGGGCAAGGACTTCATGTCTAAAACACCAAAAGCAATGGCAACAAAAGCCAAAATAGACAAATGGGATCTAATTAAACTAAAGAACTTCTGCACAGCAAAAGAAAGTACCATCAGAGTGAACAGGCAACCTACAGAATAGGAGAAAATTTTTGCAATCTACCCATCTGACAAAGGGCTAATATCCAGAATCTACAAAGAACTTAAACAAATTTACAAAGAAAAAAAAATCAAAAAGTGGGCAAAGGATATGAACAGACACTTTTCAAAAGAAGACATTTATGCAGCCAACAGACACCTGAAGAAATTCTCATCATCACTGTTCATCAGAGAAATGCGAATCAAAACCACAATAAGATACCATCTCACACCAGTTAGAATGGCAATCGTTGAAAAGTCAGAAAAGGCTGGGCGCAGTGGCTCACGCCTGTAATTCCAGCACTTTGGGGGGCTGAGGGGGGTGGATCACGAGGTCAGGAGATTGAGACCATCCTGGCTAACACGGTGAAACCCCGTTTCTACTAAAAATGCAAAAAATTAGCCAGGCGTGGTGGCAGGTGCCTGTAGTCCCAGCTACTCGGGAGGCTGAGGCAGGAGAATGGCGTGAACCCAGGAGGTGGAGCTTGCAGTGAGCCGAGATTGCACCACTGCACTCCAGCCTGGGCGACAGAGTGAAACTCCATCTTAAAAAAAAAAAAAAAAAAAAAAAAAAGTCAGGAAACAACAGATGCTGGAGAGGATGTGGAGAAATAGGAACACTTTTCCACTGTTGTTGGGAGTGTAAACTGGTTCAACCATTGTGAAAGACAGTGTGGCGAGTCCTGAAGGATTTAGAACTAGAAATACCATTTGACCCAGCGATCCTATTACTGGGTATATACCCAAAGGAGTATAAATCATGCTGCTATAAAGACACATGCACAAGTATGTTTATTGCAGCACTATTCACAATAGCAAAGGCTTGGAACCAACCCAAATGTCCACCAATGATGGACTGGATTAGGAAAATGTGGCATATATACCATAGAATACTATGCAGCCATAAAAAAGGATGAGTTCATGCTCTTTGCAGGGACATAGATGGAGCTGGAAACCATCATTCTGAGCAAAATATCACAAGGACAGAAAACCAGTCACCACATGTTCTCACTCAGAGGTGGGAATTGAACAATGAGAACACTTGGACACAGGGTGGGGAACATCACACATTGGCCTGTTGTGGGGTGGGGGAATGGGGGAGGGATAGCATTAGGAGAAATAGCTAATGTAAATGATGAGTTAATGGGTGCAGCAAACCAATATGGCACATGTACACCTATGTAACAAACCTGCACATTGTGCACATGTACCCTAGCACTTAAAGTATAATAATAATAATAATAATAATAATAATAATAAGATTTTAAGATAGCAAAATCTTAGATCCGATATGACTGGAATAGTTTAAATGGCCCTTCTTGGAGGAAAACAAAACAAAATAAAACAAAAATTGCTTGCCTCCTTATATCTAAAAATAGTTATAAAATGTGCCTTTAAATAAATTTTTATCATGAAAACAAGGCATTTTTTCAGTGTTTATGTCAAATGTGCTCATCATGCTGCAATACTTAAGTAGCATTAGTGCCAAAAAATTTAAATACTTTGTTTTGACAAACAATTGAAGTAATATTGTTACAATGGGTAGCTAGTCAGGCACGAGCAGGACAGGAGAGGTCCCCCCAAACCTTTACCACCAGGAATGTCAGGCAATCATCAGGTGAGGTTTGGGTGATTATTAAACTGTCTTTCTAAAATAATAATTGGTTACAGCTGGCACCAGGGAATGGCAGTCTCCCGGTAGATAGAAACACCTAAAACTGATGATCAGCAGCCTCTCCATGAGATCTCAGGAGTTAGGCAAGTGGCCTCCAGCATGTGCACTAAGAGGCAAAATGCCAGAGTTTAATTAATAACCCTCAACTGGTAAGGGAAAAACACCTCAAGTAAGCATGTGTACAATGTCAGTATACACATTGCTCGTGTGGCCGCTCCCAAGTGCTGGCAGGCCACTGTGCATACGGACAGCTTATTCCAAGGGAAGAATCAGAGAAGTAATGCAGGACTCAGAAGCATGCCAACATTTAAAACCCCAAGTCTGAGGTCAAACCATGCACTGGAATCTCTCAAGTTGCCTGCTTGACCCTCTTCCAAGTGTACTTTTCTTTCTTTGGTTCCTGCTCTAAAACCTTTTAATACACTTTCACTCCTGCTCTAAAACTTGTCTTAATCCCTCACGCTGCCTTATGCCCCTTGGCTGACTTCTTTTTTCCGAGGAGGCAAGTATTCAGGTTGCTGCGGACCCCTATGGATTCACCACTAATAATATGACATTTATGAAATCTGAAGATTAGGAGGATATTAGGCATTCATTTCATTATTCTTTCTACTTTGAACTAAAGCTGAACCTTACTTTAAAATTATAAAAAAATTTCTAAAATGTTTTATAACTTTTCTTACATTCAAAATCTACTATCTAATTTTATATCTGACTGTAATTGAAATTGTAATTCAATTCAAATTTGAATCCAATCGAAAGTAAACCAAACACTTTTGGTTTACTTTCAGTGGAAACTGAGTAGCTGCTCTATTTGTACTGTGATTTTGTGACCAACTGTTAGATTAAAAGTATCCATTTTTAAGACAGATTTCATTCAGAGTGGTACTTTCATGTTTTTCTTCTAATTGTGTATAAAGAATGTAGTCTGCAATAACCATATAGATAACTAATATCTATTTATAACTAACCTCTGACAGATTAGCTACGTAAGTTTGTAATATAAAATGATAATTGGAATATTTCTTAATCCTCCCTTAATAATAATAGATTTCTACATGTTGGACAACGTTTTAGACAAAAATAAGTACAACACACCTCAATATTTAGTGTGAAGGGATACTTCTGATATATAATTTTATTTAAATTAAGGCAGAAGCAAATGCCAAGAAAACATGGACTACTTTATTCTTGAAATGTGAAAATTATATGCATTTATGAAAATATTGATTTTAAAGATAAATAACAAAAAAAGATAAAGAAGTTCTTTTCAGAGAGAGGGTGGGAAATCCACTTTCCAGGTGAAACTAAATGTAAGTCTTGTTAAAAATATAAGAAATTGACTAGTACTGATAGAACTTTCAAAGTGAACAAATTTACATAAATCTCTCAGTGTATTCTTTGTATTTCTCTTCCAGCTTTCTGTGTTTTCACTCGCTAAACTCATGGGCATCTACTGAATTCCATGATTTTATGTCAAATTTCTAGACTTCCTCAGAATAATGCATGTGCCATAATAATCTTATCCTTCTGTCATAACTTTATCATAAATCATAATTTCATCAGTACCTCTGATTTCATGTGGGCATTATGGAGACAAAAAGGACAACTCTTTTAATTCACCTTTAAGTGAACTGCCTCAAATAGATTATGTTTGTGGTAAAGTGAGAAACATATGGCTCTATTCTTATGCAAATAATTTAAAATAATTCATCTCCTCTCTAAATGCTCCTTATTAGCACATGAATTTTCTAGAAAGTGTTTCATATGTGCTTCTAATCTCTTGTCTACCAGCGAAATTGTTTCCTTCTGCCCTTTTCAGAGCTTTTTAGTAGTATCTCCACTATTCATGCTCAATCTTGGAATGCTTTGAGACAGTACTTTCCCTCATCTCTGCATTCTGTCCTCCAGAATGCTGATAAACCCTCTAACATTTCACATCTATTTGTGCCATTTTTTGTTGTGTAAGTTAACAAAAGAGTGCTGTTTGGTGCTCCTAATATCTTGCAGCAAGTTTAGCTGTTAAGTTTCAATACTTCTCTCCTAGGAAAAAAGGTGAGAGGGACAGAAATTTAGTTGCCTTTCCTGTACTTAAAATAATCCTTTTACTCTGAGGCTGACCAATTACTTCTGGCTCTCAGTTGTGCATTTCTACTCTCTCTTCCCTTAGTGTACTCTTTTTTTTTTTTATTGAGCCTGGTAGATTCATGTCCAAAATGCTCCAAACATGGATGGGATTATATAAAGTTTGCGTCAGCCCTCTGGAGACCAACTATAAATCTATTATGGGCGAATAAAAAATTTCTTCTTGAGTTTTTAACAAGAAATTTTGTTCTAATATAAAATATGCTTTCCTATAAGAAATTTCTCCTCCTGAGAAATTTTTATTAAAGCATCTCGATGTGGATTGTTTCCAAACTTGGCTAAACATCGGAATATTCTGCGAACATTTTGTTGTCCACTTACTAATTTTTACCTCCAAGTAATTCTATTACTATTCTTGTTGAGAATAATAAGAAATCACGTGGTGTAAAGGAGCAGAATATACAGCCTGGCCTCAGCAGTGTTTGAAAATGGTAAGTGGGTCGGGTGTGGGGTGGCTGACTCCTGTAATCCCAGTGTCGGTATAAAAATGCTCTAGAAATAAATTCTCAGTGCTGCAAAGTGAAACCAGCACTCAGGCAAAAGTTTTCTCTCAAACGCAATTTACTTCTGCAGAAGGGTGCTGCCTGCATTGATCACTATCACAAGAGCACAGGGAACAAAGGAAAGCAGGGGGGTTTTATTCTTAACGCGATCCCTACCTCTGTGTCACTCCTCCATGGGCTGGGGTTGAACTGCGCAATCTAAGCTGACCTGATTGGCTACTTGTGAATATTTCTCCTAAATAAGGAAGGTGGAAAGGGACGTGAGTTACAATGGTGGGACGTGCAGTTTTGAAGGGTGGATGTGTGGTTTCAAAGGGTGGAATGGGTGCAGAGTGAGTTACCAAGTGAACAGATGTGAGTTATTGATTAGCACTTACGAGAAGGTTGTTTACAATAACTGGGAGCAAGAAGGCATGGAGAACAGAACAAGAAAGTTAGGTATGAGAGCAAAGAACAAGGAAGTTAGCAGGCTAAACCTTTGAAGAGAAACTCAGAGAAATTTATTGTATCTTACACCAGCATTTTGGGAGGCTGAGGCAGGCAGATTGTTTGAACTTAAGGTTTTGAGACCAGCCTGGGCAACATGGCAAAACTGTGTCTACTAAAAATACATGTCTGTAATCCCAGCTACCTGGGAGGCTGACGTGGGAGGATAGCTTGAACCCAGGAGATCCAGGCTGTAAGTGAGCTGTGATTGTGTCACTGCATTCCAGCCTGGGCAATACAGTGAAATCTTGTCTCAAAAAAAAAAAAAAAAAAAGAGAAAAGAAAAAGAAAAAGAAAAATATTAAGTGGAAACCTATCAGAACACGGGGAGAGGACATTATCATTTCTCTGATGCTGCAAGAGATGCCTTGCCTTTCTTCTTAATACTGCATCGTATTTTGTTCTGGTTGGTGTTCCTACTTTGCTATTTATTTCCACATCTGACATCATAAATTCTTCAAAGGAGAAGTCTTATCCCCCAAGTTTGCTTGTCCTTCTAGTTCTCTCACCACCGCTGCCAACTCAGTAACTGCTTGTAACCCTATATCCTAATTCTAAATACTTGAAAGTTAAATTTTTATTGATCCATCCTATGTCAGATGGTCATGAATATGAACATCAGAAGTGGGTAGAAACAGTTTCATAGGTAATGTGTTATTTTCAGGGCTATTATAAACATGTGTTACTATCAGAGCTATAAAAACTGTTTCAGTGGATTTTTCGGCAAACCTTGCAAGCCAGAAGAGAATAGGATGACATAGTCAAAATACTGAAAGAAAAAAAGCCTGTCCACTAAGAATGATTTATCCACAAAGCTGTCATTCAGAAAGGGAGAAATAAAGACTTTTCTAGAAAAACAAAAGCTGAGAGATTTCATCACAACTAGACCTGCCTCAGAAGAAATACTAAAATGGAAACTAAAGTTGAAGTACTTCAAGTGGAAATTAAAGGATGCTAATTAGCAACATGAAAATATGACACTGTAAAACTCCTTGGTAAAGGGAAGTATAGAGTTAAATTCAGAATGCCATAACACTGTAATGTAATGATGGTGCATAAAATCATTTTTAACTCTAAGAGTTAAGAGTATTAAAAAAACTATAGTTACAGTAATTTGTTAATTGATGCATGATATAAAAAGATATAAATTTTAACATCAATAACAAAATGTGTGAGAGGATAGAGGAGTTAAAGTGGAGAGCTTCTGTATAAGATCAAAGTTAGCTTGTTATCAGCATAAAAAATTAGAATGTATCTCCAAACTAATTGCATTGTATACAGTATGTACAGCTTTACATGACAATCATATCTTGATAGCATAGTTATTTTTAAAATAAAAAGTTATACTCTTTAAGGTCATATGATAAATAAGCATATTTATTTATGTATATAACATGATATTATGAGATACATACAGATTGTTAAAAAGTTACTAAAGTGAAGTAAATTAACATATTCATCATCTCACATATTTGCTCAATTTTTTTATTTTTATGGCAAGTGCAGCTAAAATATACTAATTTAGCATGAATCCCAAATAAAGTACAGTTTTATTACCTATAATCCTTATATTGTACATTAGATTTCTAAACTTTTCTCTCCTATGTATCTGCTACTTTGTATTCTCATACCCACATCTCCCCATTTGTTCCCCAGCTCTACCCCATGGCCCTGATAATCACTGTTTTATTTTCTATCTCTGTATATGTGATTTTTTTTTTTTTTTAGTTTCCACATATAAGTGGAATCATGCAATTTTTTCTTTCTGTGTGTGCCTTACTTCACTTAGCATAATGTCCTTCAGGTTTATTCATGTGGTGGCGTATGGCAATATTTCATTCTTTTTTACAACCAAATAATACGCCATTATATATGTGTGTGTTATATATGTGTATATGTATGTATACAACTCTTTATCCATTTGCCTATTGATGTACACTTAGGTTGTTTTCATATTTTGGCTACTGCAAGTAATGCTGCAATGAATATGAGAATGCAGATATCTTTATGAGGTGGTGATTTCTTTTCCCTTGAATATATGCCCAGAAGAAGGATTGCTGGGCCATATGGTAGGTCTATTTTTAATTTCTTTAGAAATTTCCATAGTGTTTTTCATAATGGCTATACTAATCTACATTCCCACCAACAGAATACAAGAGTTTTATTTTCTCCACCCTCTCAGCAAAATTTGTTATCTTTTGACTTTTTGGTAATAGCTATCCTAACAGGTGTGAGGTGGTACCTCATAGCGATTTTGAAATTGGTAGCATTTTATATAATAATAACAACTGAACTAAAAAATAAATCAAGAAAACTATCTCATTTAGGATAGCATAAAAATAATTGGGAATATATTGAACCAGGGAAATGAAAGTTGTGTACATTAAAATTATAAAACATTTGTGAAATAAGTTGAAGAAGACACAAACAAATAGGAAGATATCCTGTCCTCATGGATTGGAAGAATTAACGTTGTTAACATGTCCAGTCTACCCAAATAAATATACAGATTCAACACAACTGCTTCCTACTGCTAGGAGGAATCCCAATGACATTCTTCATAAAAGTAGCAAAATGGTCCTAAAATTCATATGGAAACATAAAAGACCCCCTAGAAACAATTCTTTGGGAAAAAAATATTGGAGTCACTATACCTCCTGATTTAAAATTATATTAAAAGCCTACAGTAATTAAAACAGTATGATGCTGGCTTAAAACAGACAAATAATCCAGTAGAACACAATAGAGAGCCCAGTGATAACTCCAAACACACAGTCAACTAATTTTTGACAAGACTGCCAAGACGGCACAATGAGGAAAGAGTAGTCTCTTCAATAAATGATGTTGAGAAAATCATATTTTCACATGGAAAAGAATAAAACTGGACACATATCTTATTCCATACACACACACACACAGGAAAACTCAAAATGGATGAAAGACCGAAATGTAAGACTAGAAACTATAAAACTTCTAGAAGAAAACATAGAAGAAAAGCTCTTGGGAAGTGATTTTTATATATATATGTTATCACTACAAATGCTCAGTCTACAGAAATAAAATTTTAAAAAGGGACTACATCAAACTAAAAAACTTATGCACAGCAAAGAAATCAACAAAATGAAATGGCAGACTATAAACTGAGAAAAACATTTGCATATACCTGAAACAAACCATACAACTCAATAGTAGAAAAACACATAACTCAATTTTTAAAAATGAGCAAAAAACCTAAACAGACATTTCTCTAGTGAAGATATAAACATCACCAACAGGTAAAGGAAAAGGTGTTCAACTCAATGTAGTCTATTTTAATGCAATGTTTTACTTATTTGCAACATTTAAAAATAATTTCTGGTAATGATTTATATGAGATGACAATATGCATTGTTGAGCAAATCCAGTGGAGGAGTCCCAGTGCATGGAAGACAGTAAAGAGTGAAGCAATGCCCACATCCAGGAGCAGCTGTTTCAGGATGTCAACCCACTGCATGGTTTGCAGGTATCAGTGTCACCAAGAAAGACACAATTTACACAGGTACCAAATAAAACAATGCTTTACTCACATAGAGAAATAAAGCACAAGATCACCAACAGTGAACATAGGTCTCCCATGGCCAGTTGGTCTTGCCCAATAGTCTATACAGGGAGACGGTCTGTGCACATCTGCCCTGTGCTATAGCTGAAGAACACTGTTTTCTCCCCACCAGAAGTAGATATAGGAGTTGGGTTGGCCAGGTTCTGTATGATGCACGTGCTTTAAGCAAAACAAAGAAGTACTTATCAAGTCCACAGGAAGGAAAGATAATCCCAAACAACACAATATGCCCAGCACAGGCTGTGAGATCTCTTTATTTCCGTGTAAAAAAATGTTCCAGGCCAAGGGAACTCTTATTTGACCACGCAGGGATAAACAAGCTCACATGACTGTCTTTCCCAGCGTGCAGCCAATACAGAAGTTATTAATGGTTATTCTACTGAATTGTGTTATGTGTTTAAACATTGTATGTTTCAAATATAAGTATTTTCCCTAATTTGCTAGTTAATTCTGAATATAAAATGAATATAAAATGCCTGTATTGACAGTTTGTATTACCATCTCTGTATACAAGGAAGTCTAGTTTATGTAGTCTTGGGACAAACAGGTTTAAATTAAATTAATAATCTCAGCTTCACCATGTCCAAACATATCATCATATAATATTTGCTGTGCTAATTGATTTTTATAATCTTCTTAATCTACTCTGCTTATGTGACTCTATCCCTTTCTCATACGAGTTCACAGGGAAATGCTCTCTGGGGCTCAGTGCAAACCAGTTCCCTCGTGTTCAAACAAATATAATCAGATTATTATATACCATACCAAAATAGGACAGAAGCAGGAAAGAAAAGTATGACTAGCCAAAATCTAATTAAAATATAATTATTTAACATGTAATACAAAAACTATTATATTAATCTTAATATGAAATTTTGTATACAAAAACAAATTTATCACTTTACAGACTTCCTGCAAGAATGTAAAGGTAATAAAAGTGGAACAGAGTAAATTTATTTAAAACATAATATACAACATCTACTGAAAAGTTAGTTTGTACTTAGTACTTCACAACTATTAAAAGGAAGAAATGAGTTGTTTTTTCCCCTTCCGAGAAAACAGCCAGGCTATTATATCTAAGGTCCAGGTTTCCTTCGTATCCATAAAAGGCAAATAGCCTCTATTTAATCAGAGGACTGGCTTTCTGAGTTACTATGTGCTTCTCAAAAGTCCTATTTTAATTGAACAGTTTTGAAAGTGAGTAAGAACACTAAGCTTGAATGGGTATGTAGAACTCAAAAGAAAGAATACAGGAAAACTTAGGTTAAATGCATGAGGCCTTTTAGAATGAAGACTTAAGATACTGGAATTAGAAGGAATACTGGCGGTAGCTGGCCACACAGCTTAAATACTGTGTAGACTGTCACTATATCCAAGCTTGATCAAAGCACTGCCATGATTACAGGAAGCAGAGTAGAACAACGAAATGTCATAATTGCACTGAAAAGCACAGACAAATATGGTACCAGCCTCTGACAGGGGGGACCAGTGGTAAGTGTGAATGTGAGATGTGTCTACAATAGCAGAACTAGAGTTTATAAAAAAAGATCTCTGAAAATTTAGCACTGCTGAGGACAGTGATAGAAAGATAGAACACTATCTAGAAGTCCTCAAAGGCAGGTTCAGTACATAAGAGGATACTAATGCCACTCTTATAGTGAAAGTTCAGGTCTTGATGTGTGTGTGGGTGTGTGTGTGTGGTGTTTGGCTTGATTTTATTTCCCTTCTCAGATGAACTATTGGCCCTGTAGCATGGTTGCCAGGTGATTGTAGGGTTAATTTTGTGACTGTGACACAATAACTTGTTCTGCCAGTTACTGCCCTCTCAAGAACTCTCACTAACTGTAGCAGTTAGCCTAGGGATGCACCCCAGGGATTCAGGTCTCTGGCACCTTAAGTCAACTCTCCCTGTGGTCTGTAATTCTGCCTACCTACTCCTGGATACATACATACATACACACACACACACACACACACACACACACACACTTCACCTTTATCCCTCAATATAAACTAATTAACAGATATAGATACAAATGTGTGTGTGTGTTTGTGCGTGTAGCTAGAGAAAGAGAGAGAACCATTTTTTGGTGACATTTTCTAATTTGTTAAACCCAAATAAACGTGTGTGTGTGTGTGTGTGTGTGTAAATAATCATTAAGGTACTTTATTTACCTTTGCTTGGAAACCTCTCCAGCTAAATATCCAATTTCAATACTTGCAATTTCTACCTTCCACAAAATTACAGAATGGGAATAAAAATTAGGTAAGTTCTTTGCCACTTTATGGCAAGAATCTTCTTTTCTCCATTTTTCAATATCATATTCTTCATTTACATCTGACCTCTCCTCAGAATGGCCTTTACCATCCATATCTGTACCAACATTGTGCACATGATTACTTGTGTATTCTCTAGGAAGATGGAGGATTTATCTCCATCTCTTCTCTTTTCTTTCTGAGCCCTCACCAGAATCACCTTTAGCAGTCTCTTCACAGAAATATCAGTTTTTTCTAATATACACCTCAAAACTCTTCTAGTCTTTACTCATTACCTAGTTCCAAAGCCTCTTCCACATTTTTAGGTATTTCTTACAGCAGCATCCCATTTCCAGGTGTGGATATTTGTCTTAGTCAGTTTGTGCTGCTATATCCGAATACTGTAGACTGTGTCTTAAACAACATAAGTTTATATCCCACAGTTCTTGAGGCTGAGATCAGGGTGCCAACATGGTTGGGGTTTTGTTGGGTCTCCTTGTCTTGGTTGACAGACAGCTGCCTCCGGCTGTATCCTCAAGTAGAGAGAGCTCTAGTTTCTTTCTCTTCTTATAAAAACACTAACCCTTCATGGGAGATCTACCCTCATGACCTCATCTAATGACCTTCCAATGCCCTTCCTCATAAGGCCATCCCATTGGGAGTTTGAATTTCATCACATGAATATTTTGGAGAGGGGCAAGAAACACACAGTTTATAACAATTACATAAACAACATTTTATGTACCTGTATCATCAATGGTTTTTGTAAGCAACAAACAAATCTACTCTAGCTCATTGAAGCAAAATATACCAACCCCGTCTCTACTAAAAATAGAAAAAATAAATAAATAAATAAATAAATAAATAAATAAATTAGCCAGGCGTGGTGGTGAGCGCCTGTAGTCCCAGCTACTCGGGAGGCTGAGTCAGGAGAACAGCGTGAACCCGGGAGGCGGAGCTTGCAGTTAGCCAAGATCGCGCCACTGCACTCCAGCCTGGGCGACAGAGCCAGACTCCGTCTCAAAAAAAAAAAAAAAAAAAAAAAAAATCATCAACATAGCTCATATGGGGAGAGGGAAGGGTACGTGGTGGCAAAATTTACATAAGCAGAAGTATAGGTAAATAAAACTAAGAGCTTTCTTCCTATTCCCATATATTCCTATACTTTTTCAGCAAGCAGCTCTGTGACTAGGGTATAGTTTTTCTAAACTTCAGATGCAAAATAGGTACGGCAATTTATACATTCGACTCTAGCATTATAGGTGATGAGGAAAAACAATCCCTTACTCAGGAAAGGCATTGCTGTCATTATTTACTTTTTTGTGACATAATACAGCTGACTATAGGCTTTTTAGTACAGAAAATGTTTTCTAGAACCTACCTTAGAGAGAAAGTCATAATAAGCAATCAATGTTTATTTGAATTTGGTTATATAGGATATATTTGAGAAAGACAAATGGAAATATGGCTATAAAAGTTCTATGTTTTCTCTTTAATTGGTTTGTATAAATAATTTCTATTTTATTTCCCATCACTATGCAGTAATACTTTATTGAAAGATAAAAATAGCATTTTCAGTTTTATTAAATTATTGAAAATTATTATTTGCTTCACCATATGAGTAATTTTCACTCATAATACATAGACCTTAGATTTTTCCTCAACTGCTTTTATTAAATTCAGATTAATCTTTTCAATGGGAGACTACACAGTTCTTACAGATGCTAATATATAAGTGTCTATCTAATATGTCAGGATGACCGAGTGATTCCTAGGTTAGAGGCCTTTGGCAATGCCATTTGTCACCTCTTTTCTGTCTTTTGGTTTTCCTTATTCCTTCCTAAATTTCTCCAGCAAGCCTTTTATTATCATCTGAGTTAGAAATAATCAATTATTTCCTGGAAAATGGATAGCAATTACTGACTATCCCACCCATATTACAAATGCTGTATTATGCTTATTTTACTTATATAATAATAAGTATGCATAGCTGAAATATCTATTAGATTTTGAAGTTTAGCATATTATTAAAAATGACATTTTTATATTTAAGCAAAATTATGCAAATGTGAAATTATTGCTAAAAATAATTTCAGGATAATCATGGAGAAATGTATCATTTTGTAGATGAAACTGAAGACTCAGGAAGTTGAGGTCACTTGCCCAACTTCACATAGCTCACCAAAGTAATGTCTTGAGTAGGTTTCAAGGTACTACATACCAGGGACCAAGTAGTGATATTCTCATTACACCACCAATTATATGAACATTGGCAAAAACTTCCAAATTATTAAATGGCAACAGTCTTTCTTAGATAATCTCCAGATAAATATTACATTGTGCTTGGGATTTGAACAGTGATATCATTAGTGTGATTAGTATATTGATTAATAGCCACCCAATAATATCTCTACATCATAATCCTTAGAATCTGTGAATATTATCTTATAAGGCAAAAGATTTGATTAAGCTAAGGGTTTTGAGAGGAGGAGCTTACCCTGAATTTTTCAATATGATTCGCTCTGAGTTCACTGACAAGAACCCTTATTAGAATGAGCCAGAAGCAGATTTGACAGAAGAGGCCAAAGCAATGTGCCCATAAATGTAGAGAGAGAAGTGATGAGGCTACAAGTCAAGGAATGCCTATGACCATCAGAAGCTAGAAGAGACAAAGGAGGTATTTGCACCAGGACTTCATGAAGTGTAGCCTTGCACAAACTTTGATTTAGACCTTCTGGCCTCTATAACCATGAGAGAATACATTACCATTATTTAAACCTACCTAGTTTATGATACTTTGTTACAGCAGCCACAGGAAACTAATAGAGCCAAGAAACCCAAATTGTAGCTGCCACAATGCTGACAAGGATAACTAGAACACTTCATGGCAGAATTTAGCCTATTAGAAAAATAAAATAGATTAAAAATGTTTTTATGGAATAGCAAATGTGTATGGAACAATTAGCACGTGTCTGGCAGTATTGTAAGTACTCATGTTACTTCATCCCTTCATGGCAAAATGACTTGAAGTATACAATCTTCAGTGCAAATGAAGGAATTGAGGCAGAAGCTATTTCCTCTGTTAAATAGCTAGTGAAAAAATAAAGGCTTACAGCTTGACCAAGGTCAATCAACAAGTACAGACTAAGGCTTGAATCTATTAAGATTAGGTTTAACAGAAATGAATGTGAAGTCACAGCTTGCATTAAAATACAAACAATGAAAAAGGATAGATACAAAATCAGCGATTCTTAATTATTTCTTGTGGACTTGTAGGCTGTAGTTCAATGTGATATCACATAAGCATTTGGGAAGGGAACTTAAAAAGTTAAAGAAATGTAATCATGATGTTCGGAACATTACTGATAGAAGGCTTTTTAAATGCATAATTAGATATCATGTCCATTTTTGGGAATGGAAAAACTACAATGAGAGTTTTGACAAAATGTATGATACCCAAAATGACAAGTAATGTCCAACGAGATCCTCTGAAGAAATTTAGGGAATGTAACTTTTAAATGCGAAAGCTGTATCTTTAAGTTTATGTTCAAATATGTCATAGCATCTCAAATAAAAGAGGAAATAAACTTTGTTGATATTGCCTACAGCACAGAATCTGGACTAAGGGTAGAAACTGTAAGAGGGTAGATATTAATAATTAGAAAATTTCTAAGCCACAAACAAGAACTCTGAGAAACTGTATAAGACAGAATAAGAATACATTAGAGAAAAGATCAAATCAACTGAGGGCAAAATGAAACCACATGCTGATGAAGAGACAATATTGAATGAGGAGAACAATAATTAGAAAGAAAAGTGAAATACTGTATGATTAATCAACTGTAAGTTCCAGATGTGAATAATCAAAAAGTATGCGTAAAAGAGAATACTTTAGAAAATCTTTTATGACTGAGCTCTGCAGTGCACATGGATAGAGCTTCATGTTTTTCCTGCATCTCATTACATTGCATGTAAATTCCATTTCATAATCATAAGGAAACAGTATTCTACATAAGGGAGACATATTGGGGCACATTTGCTTGCATGGATGCAACTCTAGTTTCTTGGTAGAGAGTGAGAAAGCAAAATAATTTAAACAGAGAAGTTTGCTTTCCACTTAAGGACAAGGTGAAACTGAGATGGGGAAATGAGATCCTGTTAAGTCATCAAAAAAGAAGTTTTCATATGCTCCCCATAGAATAAACATCTCTTTGTACTGAGCATGGCTGTCATTTTTAAACATATAACTTTTTCATATGATGTACGCTATAAATATAAACTTCATTTGAAGCTGAATGAAAGCAATAGTGGAAGACAATATCTGGAATTAGGTTTATTGAGAGAAGTTATGTAAACTTTCAATAATAATACTAATGAGCATTTTAAGGGTAACTTGATTATTTGTCAGCTTTGCACTATGAGAAACCTTCTTAATAGTCATTAATAAATCACAAGCCAGGCTGTAGAAGGAAAATGTTATGTCATCTGAAATCTATATTTAACTATGGAGCACTGTATGTTATGTTTTATTTGAATATGCCTAGGTTACTACAAGGTACGTTTACTTAATTGGAGGACTAGAAATCAAGTTTGGAAAGGAAAGACCTCCAGAGCTCCAGAGCTCTTCTTAGTCTGCACTGAAGTCTAGGATCTACTTCAGCAGAGATGGTCCAGTCTGGACCTTCCCACTTCTAGCCTGGATGTCACTATCATCCTCACTGATGTGATGTCCAGACCGCCAAGTACCTCTGCTTTTTATATAAAAAAAATTCCTGCTGGAGTATCAGATTGGAAAATGGTAGGACATTGACCTGCACCTCTGGCTGCTAGGGTTTAGATAAAGATAATTTTTCTTTTTCTGTAGCAAGGGAGAGTTAAAACCCATCAGCAATATATGTAAAGGGACAATCTACTCAATAGGAAATATTAATCTTACAGAATCATGTATAAAAACAATGAATTAAATATTAAATAATGTATTTATAATAATTTATTGTGAACTATTAATGATAAGAAAAGGGAGATAATATCCTGAGTCCAGATGGAAAGAACATCTTGATAAATACTATCTGGTGGCAATATAATGGGGCACTCTGGATGAGTAAGTGAAACATATATATGAAAATTTTAAATTATTCAATTACCAGATTTTCCAGAATATTGTAAATTTGAAGATATTTTCCCTCATAATTCCAAAGCCATATTGGCACTTCACTATGTTTTAGTCTTCATAAAATAATTATTATAAATTTATATTTATAAATTTTATTAATAATTTCTCTTTACTCCATTCTCCATTTAGATCTTGGCATTACTGAGGAATAGCCTAAGGAATAAAAGAATTGATTAAATAGACAGCTAAAATCCATGCAATGTAAACTGATTAAACAAACATGAAGAGGATGAATTATATGATCTCTAGTCTTTGGACGATTCCTCACAGTTGAATTATCAGAAAAGGACAGATAACATAATGTTCTTAAATAGATTTATTTAAACAGCAGCAGCAGTTGAGTGGAATAAAATTTAAGTATAGGAAAATCATCCAATAGATGATTTAGAATTATACTTTTATAAACAAGGTAAACCCTTAACCTCCTTTGCTTCCTTTATTCTTTCTGGACTTCATCCTGGGACCAAAAACACACTGATTAGTGATATCTATTAAATGAATATCTCCAGTTTATTTTCTTACCAAGAAAGAGGAAATGATAACAGAAATTATTTGGGGTTTACTTTAGAGAACTTTAAAATTTTCCATCCTAAAACAATTATTCAAATAATATTGCAATCCATATGCCTTTATCATATTTTTGGTTTGGCATGGCAATTTTTAAAGTAACTTAAAATATTTGCAATTGATGTAACTTCCAATATATAGTAAATATTTGACATTTTAAAATAAAGCTTTTATGACATACATTTCAATGGATCCAAAAGAAACTATTTACCACTCAATTTTGGTGTCTATAGTAATCAGTTAAACATAAACAGCCTCAGCAGAAACTTCACAAGCCACAAGAGACTGGAAAACCTATTTTATTTTCAACATTCTTAAAGAAAGACATTCCAACCAAAAATTTCATAACCCACCAAACTAAGCTTCATAAATGAAGGAGAAATACAATCTTTTCCAGACAAACAAGGGCTGAGAGAATTCATTACCACTAGACCAGCATTATGAGAGACCCTTAAAGGAGTTGTAAACATGAAAACAAAAGAGAAATACCTACTACCGCAAAAACACACTTAAGTACATAGCCTACAGACCCTATAAAGCAACTACACAATAGAAAACACAAAACAATCAGGTAACAATTTTATAATAGTATTAGAAACTTACATATCTACATTAACTTTGAATGTAAATAGTCTAAATGCCTCACTTAAAGGGCACATAATGGCAAGTTGCATTAAAAAAACACCCATCAATCTACTATCTTCAAGAGACTCATCTCACACTTAAAGACATCCATACACTCAAAGTAAGTGGTTGGAGAAAGATCTATGATCTACATGGAAAACAAAAATGAACAGGGGTCACTGTTCTTGTATCACAAAAACACCGATTTTAGACCAACAACAGTAAGAAAGGACAAAGAAGGGTATTAAACAGTGATATAGGATTCAGTTCCACAAGAAGACTTAACTATCCTAAATATGTATGCACCCAAAATCGGAGCACACAAATTCAAAAATCAAGTACTTCTGACCTATAAAAAGATGTAGAAAGCCAAACAATAATAGAGGGGAACTTCAACATCTCACTGTTAGCATTAGACAGATCATAGAGGCAGAAAACTGACTAAGAAATTTGGTTATTAAACTTGACACGTGACCAATTAGACCTAGTAGACATCTACAGAATTCTCCAGCCATCAGCCACAGAATATACATTCGTCTTATCTGCACATGGAACATATTCCAAGATTGACCACATTCTTGGCCATAAAGCAAGTCTCCATTAATTAAAAAAATCAAAATAATACCAGCCATACTCTTAGACTAAAGTGGAATAAAAATAGAAATCAATAGTAAGAAGATCTCTCAAAATCACGCAATTACATGGAAATTAAACAACTTGCTCCAGAATGACTTTTGGATAAAGAAGAAGATTATGGCAAAAATGAAAAATTATTTGAAATAAAGGAAATCATAGACACAACTTACCAAAATCCTTTGGGATGTAATAAAAACAGTGCTAAGAGGAAAGTTTACAACATAAATCACCTACCTCAAAAAGTTAAAAAAATCTCAAATTAACAATTTAACGTCACACCTGGAAAAATGAGAGAAAGAAGAACAAATCAACCTCAAAGCCTGTAGAATAAAAGAAATAACTAAAATCGGAACAGAACTGAATGAAATTGAGACCCCAAATTTCATACAATCAATGAAACCTCAAAAGCTGGTTTTTTGAAAGGATAAACAAGATTTATAGACCAGTATTTGGACTAATGAAAAAAAAAAAAAAAGAGAGAGAAGATACAAATAAGCACAATCAGAAACAACAAAGGTAACATTACAACTGATCCCACAGAAACACAAAAGATTAACAAAAACTATTATGAACACGTCTATGCCCACAAATTAGAAAATCTAGAACAAAATGAATGAATTCCTGGAAACACAATTT
The DNA here is from genome assembly GCF_000001405.40 of Homo sapiens. Lineage (NCBI taxonomy): Eukaryota > Metazoa > Chordata > Mammalia > Primates > Hominidae > Homo > Homo sapiens. Next base: position 191,355,433 of record NC_000001.11, on the reverse strand, counting down.
CTAAGATTAAATCAGGAAGAAATTGAAATCCTGAACAGCTCAATATCAACTTCTAAAAGTGAGTCAGTGATAAAAAAATTTAAAAAAATTTAAAAAGCCCCAGAGGACATGAATTCACAACCAAATTTTAGCAGATGTACAAAGAAGAGCCAGGATCAATTTGACTGAAACATTTCCAAAAACCCAAGGAGGAGAGACTCCTCCCTAACTCATTCTATGAAGCCAGCATCACCCTGATACCAAAACCCGGCAAAGACATGATGAAAAAATAAATCTATAGGACAATATCCCTGATGAAAATCTATGCAGGCCGGGCGTGGGTGGCTCACGCCTATAATCCCAGCACTTTGGGAGGCCGAGGCAGGCACATCACAAGGTCAAGAGTTTGAGACCAGCATACTGAAACCCCATCTCTACTAAAAATACAGAAGTCAGCCGGGCGTGGTGACGTATGCCTGTAATCCCAGCTACTCAGGAGATTAATGCAGGAGAATTGCTTGAACCCGGGAGGTGGAAGTTGCAGTAGCCAAGATCATGCCATGGCACTCTAGCCTGGGCGACAGAGTGAGACTCTGTCTCAAAAAAAAAAAAAAAAAAAAAAAGAATAGATGCAAAAACCCTGAAGAAAAAAAAACAAAAACAAACAAACAAACAAAAAAAAAAACACTAGCAAACTAAATCCAACAGCACATCAAATGGTTAATTCACCACAATCAAGTAGACTTTATTCCTGCGATGCAAGGGTGTTTCAAGATATGTAATATGTAATTCTATAAATGTGATTCACCATATAAACAGAATTAAAACACAAACCCTGTGATTATCTGAACAGCTGCAAAAAAAGATTTTGGTAAAATCCAACATACTTTCATGATAAAAACTCTCAATAAACTCAGTATCATAGGAATAGAACCATCTATGACATATCTATAGCCAACATTATACTGAATGTGCACAAACTGGAACCATTTCCCTTGAAAACTGGAACAAGAAAAGGATGTCCACTCTCATCACTCCTATTCAACATAGTACTGGAAGTGCTAGCCACAGCAGCCAGGCAAAAGAAAGAAACAAAAGGCATCTACATTGGAAAAGAGGAAGTCAAACTATCTTCCTTTGTGGATGATATGGTTCTATACCTAGAAATACCTATAGACTCTGACAGAAGGCTCCTGGAAATAATAAACAATTTTAGTAAAGTTTCAGGATACAAAATCAATGTACAAACGTCAAATAACCTTTATGCTGAGAGTCAAATCAAGAGTGCAATCACATTTACAACAGCCACAGAAAAAATAATACCTAGGAGTACACCTAACCAAGGAGGTGAAAGATCTCTTTAAGGAGAACTGTAAAACACTGCTGAATGAAGACGTAAATGACACAAACAAATGGAAAAATATGTCATACTCATGGATTGGAAGAATCAATATAGTTAAAATGGCCATAATGAGCAATGCAATGTATAGATTCATAGATTCAATGTTGTTCCTACCAAACTACCAACATCATTTTCACAGAACTTAAAAAAAAAAAAAAACTCTCCTAAAACTCATATGGAGGAAAAAAAAGAGTCCAGATAGTCAAAGCAATCCTAAGCAAAAAGAAAGCTGGAGGCATCACACTACCTGACTTCAAACTGTAAGGCTACAGAAACCAAAATAGCATGGTAATGGTACAAAAACAGACAAATAGACAAATGGAACAGAATAGACAATTCAGAAATAAAGCCACACATCTACAATTATCTGATCTTCAATGAAGTTGCTAAGAATGAGCAATGGCAAAGAACTCCCTATTCAATAAATAGTGCTGGGATAGTTGGCTAGCCATATTCCGAAGAATGAAACTGGGCCCAATCTTTCACAATACACAAAAATTAACTCAATGGATTAAATATTTAAATGTAATATGTCAAACTGTAAAGATCCTAGAAGAAAACCTAGGAAACACCATTCTATATATCCACCTTAGGAAAGAATTTATGACTAAGTTCCAGAAGTCTTTGCAACAAAAACAAAACTTAAAAAGTGGGGCCTATTTAAACTTAAAGCTTCTGCACAGCAAAATAAACTATAAACAGAGTAAAGAGACAACCTACAGCATGGATGAAAAAATTTGCAAACTCTTCATCTGATGAAGGTCTAGTATCCAGAATCTATAAGGACCTTAAGAAGGAACTATAAGAAGGCGTACAAGGTGTCAACAAAGATGTTAAAAAATACTTCACATTATTAATCATCAGAGAAACACAAATCAAAACCACACGATACTACTTCACACCAGTCAGAATGTCTGTTATTAAAAAGGCAGAAAACAACAGATGTTGGCACTTAGAAACCTAAAGAAGATTTTTTTCTTGGTTCCTTATATTTTGATATCTTATATTTAAACCTTTAATCCATCTTAGGTTAATTTTTGTACATGGTGAAACATAGGAGTCCAGTTTCATTCTTCTGAATATGGCTAGCCAGCTATCCCAGCACCATTCATTGAATGGGGAGTTCTTTGCCTACTTCTTATTTTTGCCACCTTCATCAAATATCAGATATTTGTGTGAATGTAAATTAGTTTAGCCACTATGGAAAGCAGCCTGATGGTTTCTCAAAGAACTCAAAACAGACCTACCATTTGACCCAGCAATCCCATTACTGAGTATGTAGATTAAAAAATAATAAATTGTTCTGCCAAAAAGACATATACACTTTCATGTCCATTACAGCACTATTCACAGTAGCAAAGACATGGGTTCAATCTAGGTGCCTATCAGTGGTGGACTAGTTAAAGAAAATGTGGTACATACACACCATGTAATATTATGCAACCATAAAAAAATGAAGTCATATCCTTTGCAGCAACATGAATGCAGCTGGAGACCATTCTTCTAAGTGAAGTAACACAGGAAAAGAAACCCAAATACTACATGTTCTCACTTAACAGTGGGAGCTAAATATTGGGTACTCATAGACATAAAGATGGCAACAATAGGCACTGGGCACTACTAGAGGGTGGAGGTAGGAAGTGGAGCAAGGGTAAAGAACCTAACTCTTGGGTATGATGGTAAGTACCTGGGTAATGGGATCATTTGTTTTCCTAAGCTCAACATCACACAATATGCCCAAGTAGCAAACCTACACAATGTACTCCCTGACTCCAAAATAAAAATTGAAAAAAATTATTTCTTAAAATAAAATGAGAAAAAATAAACACTTTTTAGCTACTATTACAAAACCTGAATTGTTTCTTCTTGACTTTGTATTTCTATCTTTCCTCAAGTCCCAGTATTTTATCCTCACCAATGTAATGTGTTTGTATATTTGAAATTCTATCTTCCAAATGATATCATACTTCTTTGATAAAAGAACAATTATATACATTTATTATTTGTTAAAATATTCTGTGGGTCTAAGCCTGTAATGGGTATTTTTTTCTGGAATGAATTATCATTACATGTTTTAGTAGTACACAATTGACAAAATCAAATAATACAGACGTGGTTTGTATTCCTATTATTTTAATATTTCATAGACCAATATTATATAGTGCTAGAAAGTCTTCAGCCTCTATAATATTCCTTTATATAAGAAATATTTTAATATAAATAAGTAGGTAAGAACAAATAATGTTTTATTTTAGCAATGCTACTCAATATTTTGATTTTTTCTTAAAGTTATGTGTCAAAATATAACATCGTTATACAATAAAATTAAATTTAGTAATCCATCTGTTTTTAGTTTATAAATTTCCTTTTAATTTTGTTGAAAACAACACATTGGACACCACCTATTTATCAAGACATCAAATTAGTTGTGCCTGCAAAACTTTTATTTTACTTTGTTGAGCTAAAATTAAACAAAACTAGGACAAAAGCCTTATCATATAATTGTAAATAGTGCCATTTAAGATACTGCTTACTGTACCGATCAAGTGTGAAAACATTTATATATTTATATATAATTATATATTCAGGCTTAGTTTTATTTTGTAGATTCTTTTAACATGTCTTACATTGGCACAACAAAAGCTTCTAGCTTCCACCTGGGATTTTAAAAACTGAAAATAATATTTCTTCCACTCTGACAACAATAACAAAGAGACAGATAATTGCGTAATTGCAACTTTTCTTAGCTTAGTTGGAGAGCTGAAGTTGCAGGGCAACAAAATAACCTTAAATTTGAGGGATGACAATTGCCAAGTAGAGATGCAATCCAAGCACTTGCTTACCAGTGTAGGATACAGCTGCTAGTAAGAAGAATTTAGCTACAATTGTTGACTAATTGCTCAAGGCTAAGTGTGAGAGCACAGAACACATTGCACTTCAGACATCACATGGCCACTCACAGCCTCTTCTCCACTGATCTCATCAAGTTTTTAGAGGAAAGATTGAGGTCTGGGAAAGAATCTGGAGAAAGCCTCCTGCAAGCTGTAGGTTGGATGTGGGGAAAACAGCAGAGTTCCTGCTGCAAAACCCAATTCATATTCTTCTCCCCTAATTTTAACCTTCAGCTCTTATAATTATATCTACAATCTGTTTTAAACGAAATGTTACTATGGATAATGAAAGAATGGGTTCAATTTTTTTTTTGCATTCAGATATCTACTTGAAATCAGTTGTTGAAAGATGACCCTTTTCATCTTGAATTGTTATGGTGGCTCTTTTGAAAATCAATTGACCATATGTGTACAGTCCAATTTTTGGCTCTCTATTCTGTTTTATTGGTTTATTTGCCTATCTTTATGCCTAAATCACAATATATTATTTTCTGTGGTTTTATATTAAGTCATAAAATCAGGTAGTGTATATTTTTGAACTTTACTTTTATTTTGAAATAAATTGTTTTGGCTCTTCTAGGTTATTTGCTTTTCCATGTAAATTATGGAATCAGTTTCTTAATGTTTATAAAAACAAAACAAAACAGAAATGCCTACTCAGATTTTATTAGAATTACATTACATACATAGGTTAGTTTAGGGACAATGTACATCTCTGTAATATTGTTTCATCCAACTAATGAACAGATATACGTGTCTTTTTATGCATTCTTTCCTCATTTCTCTCAGGAGTTTTTGGAGACTTTAGGGTAGAGGTCTTGCAAGTATTTTATTCACTTAGTTCCTAAGTTGTTGTTTTATTATTTAGTACTTTTAAAAAATTTTGGTAAAATATACTCAGTGTAAAAATGTATCACTTTAACCATTTTCAAGTGTGCAATTTAGTAACAGTAAGTACTTTCAAATTGTTGTGTAACCATCATCACTATCCTTCTTCATAATCTTTTCATTATCCCATGCTGAAACTCTGTACCTATTAATAATAACTCTCAATTTTCTCTTCCCCTCAGTCCCTGGTAAGCATTATTTTCCTTTCCATCTCCATGATTTTAACTATTCTAATTACTTCATATAAGCAGAATCACACAATAATTCACTTATTGTCTTTTTGTGTCTGGTTCATTTCACTTAGCATAAAGTCGTCAAGGTTAATCTATGTAGTAGCATGTATTAGAATTTTCTTCCTTATTAATGCTGAGTAGTGAATTTCATTGCATGTATTTGCCCTACTTTGTTTCTTCTTCTCTCAATGGGTATTTGGGTTGTTTCTACTTTTTGAAAATTGCGAATGATGCTACTCTGAACATTTCTGTAAAAATATATCTTTAGGCCGGGTGCGTTGGCTCACGACTGTTATCCCAGCACTTTGGGAGGCCGAGGCGGGCGGATCATGAGGTCAGGAGATCGAGATCATCCTGGCTAACATGGTGAAACTCTGTCTCTACTAAAAATACAAAAAATTAGCCGGGCATGGTGGCGGCGCCTATAGTCCCAGCTACTAGGGAGGCTGAGGCAGGAGAATGGCGTGAGCCCGGAAGGCGGAGCTTGCAGTGAGCGGAGATCCTGCCACTGCACTCCAGCCTGGGCGACAGAGCAAGTCTCCATCTCAAAAAAAAAAAAAAAAAAAAAAAAAAAAAAAAATCTCTAATCCCTGCTTTCAATTACTTTGAGTATGTGCCTAGAAGTGGAATTGCTGTATCATACCATAATTCTATGTTTTATATTTTGTGGAAGTACCATACTGTTTTCCACAGCATCTTTTTTAAAATTTTTATTTTATTTTACCAGCAATGCATAATCAGTCTGATTTCTTCATATCTTTGCCAAGGCTTATTATTCTCTGGTATCTCTCTCTCTCTCTTTTTTTTTTTTTAAATAATAGACATCCTAGTTGATGTGAAGTGGTATCTCATTATAGTTTTAATTTGCATTTATCTAATTATTAGTGCTTTTGAACATCTTTTCTTTTCTTTTACTTATTGGCCATTTGTATATCTTCTTTGTAGAAGTGTTTATATCAGTCCTTTGCTCATTTTTTAATCAGGTTGTTTGTTTTTTTCGTTGAGTTGTATGAGTTATTATTCTGTATAATACTCTTTTATCAGGAATATGGTTTGCAAAAACTATCTCTCATTCTGTGGGTTGCCATTTCATTCCTTTAATACTATCCTCATTTTAAAAAAAAAAAACATTGTAAATGGCAGTTTAACATCTCATTTTCAAATGTTTATAATCTCATTATTGTGCTACCTTTTGCACCACTGCCTGAAAACAGTTGCCTTATATGTGTTGTTCAGATTTATAATTCTTTAGAGTGGGAGGACTCATTCTACATCTTTGTTCTTTATGGCCAGAGGTAGCAGTTCAGAGATATGACATAGTTTTAAATTTGCAATTGTTGTTATCATAGTTTTGTTCTGCTCCACACTATACCTGAATTTAGACCAGGGGCCACAATACCTATTTCTGTGTACGCACTTCATCCTCAACACAAATGTGTCCAAAGCAAAGAACTAACCAGAGCGACCCTACCAGAGGTTTATGGGTGACTTCACTAGTTAAGGAAAGCTTCACTACTGCTCATTTCCAAGTCTACCTTTAGTTGGCGGCCTGGAGGCAGAAGCAAATAACCTTGAAGTTAATGGATCTCAAGTTCCAGAGCCACTCTCTTGAACAGACTTCTATAATTGCTTGGAGTTACTGTTGGCTGTAGATTGTTCTAGGAGAAGAAATGAAGACAGATTGCAACTAAGAAGCATTTCTATGTAAGTAGTTCTGGTAAATAACTTAAAGCAATTTAGTCAGAAATGGACCTGAACTCCAATGCACTAGCAATTACTTATGATTTATTTTCTTATTTTAAATAAATATTTACTTTCATACCTAATTTTCTACTTGCCATTTTGTATTCTCTTTCTTAAAGCAGATTTTTTTACCTTTTAAAAACTTCAATTTTCTCAAAATTGTGGTCTGTCAATGGGAAGAGCATTTTAAAAGCTGGAGCAATACACAGACGGAAATTACGGATGAATGAGAAAGATGACTTTCTCTTTTGAATGTGGGGATGGATAATTCAGGTAGAAAAGTTAAGATGGATGATTTGACATGTTACCTCAACAAAAGCATTCTCTCAAGTCAGGCAGAATACATTTAGTGTTTATGAAATTTGAGTATATGAAAGATGGGTCCCTTCAGCCAGCTGTACTTGTTTATACAAATTTATATAAGGTGTGCATCCCAGTTTGAGGAGCGTTATCCTGGACAACATTGTTTTGTGCCTACAGTCCTCTTAATGTGAGTATTTGAATGGCCTGACTACTCAATAATACTGTGATACATCTGTATACAAGATAGATATTGTTTTTCATTTTGCCATATACAGTCTAATTTGTGTTCATCAATTCTAAATAATTTTTTACTGACATGAACATTTTGTTCTGCTTTTTGGGGAGAATAGAAACATGTTTTAATTTCCTCATACTTATTGATGTCTCCTTTATTTCTCAGTAAAAAATACCTAGCATGATATAGATAGCAAATAACTCGGTAGAGTGAAACAAGCCAGGATTTGTTATTTACGTCTGTGCATGACTGTGTGACATTAGAATGGATGCCTTTCTGTAGTCTCTGTTTCTTCACTGGAATGTTATAAGAATTGCTTTGAGATGGCATCCATTTACTCATTTGTGTACTTATTACTGTATATTTACTGTATGTTGGATACTCTACAAAGGGGTAGAAACACTGCTTTACACTGAGTAAGAAAGCCATCTGTACTCAGGTTTTTGTCTGAGTTTTTAAACATTTTTGTCTATACAGTGTATGAATATACTTTCAATATATAATAGTGCTTCAAGGTTTATGTAGTTGCCTACCCTACCCCGTGCCAACCCCAAAAGACTAGAGACACAATCACTTTCAACTCTCTTGTGTTTGTGTAGATGACTAGGTTCTTAAATATGAACTTCGGATATTTTCTAACCAATTACTATGCCATAACGTAACTTGCTTCTCATACTTTCCCCCCATTGCAGACACATTGATTTCAGTCTCTTCCACTTTGCTAAATCAGTTACAACTAATCTATTTGTATTTCTTCTCCCAAAAGCTGTTTTTTTAATTTTCATATTTTTACTGACACTCTCTTCTAGTTGTCCTTTCTCCCTGAATTTTGATTCTGTAGTTTTGCACATTTTCCCATTCTTTTTTACTGCCATTTTACTTGAGGTTGAGTAGGAAATGATTATAGTACTTATATTTCACAGATGATTTTTAATGGGGGACTTCTCGATTACACAGGGTCGCACAGTTAATTCTATTACAAGCCTATGTAAAAATATTAAGTGCAAAAGCTGACATTAAAAGATATGTGATAAAAGCAAGTCTTTTTTTTTTTTTCTCCTTCTTCCTGGTTCCAACTAGAGATATAAGTAGTCTTTTAGGTTTGACGAAGCATCTAGTAATGGGTACCGCATTTCAGTATGGGCTCTTTTCCTGACATGAACAATTTAATGAGGTAACATAAAACACAAACCATGTTTTCTGGATTTAGGTGATTACAGGGAAAAAAAACAAACACAGCTGATTTTTACTTTGTTTGAAATCACCCGTAATAAAACCCTTGTGTCAGTTCAGATCAAGGCTTTCAAATACAGTATCTCACTGTTGGACTGAATTCACAAAATCCCATAAATTTCCTAATCAAATTATTGCTGGGTGTGACATAAAAGTGTAATATATCTATAATAGGATGATAACATATCAAGGCAAGCCAAACATACTGAAGTTTAAAATTTTCTGGAAAACTTTATATGTTTTATGGCTCAAAAGTACACTTAAAAGTGCACAAGGCTTTCACAATTCTAATTTTCAGTACTGTATGTTTATGTATTCATGAATAAAAAGTAATGTATTTTTACAAATGTATAACAAATAAAGAAATATTAAGATTCCATACCAAAATTTCCAGAGGCATGAATTGCTATACATTTTTTTCTCCATTTGTTCAAAAGAACCCAACTAAAATTATTTATTACAATATTTCAGATATAATAAAACCAGTGTGATCCATCAAGTAGCAGTCTTTGAGGAGTTATTTGAATTCTGCATGATGCTCATAGCTGAAACTGTGTGCTTGAAACTTGCTTTATAATCGAATTTCTATGAGTGGAATATAGAGGTTATAAAAAATGAGCTAAGATGTGAAAATCTTATGAGGTAAGAGGTATGATCTCTACACATTGATAATCTCTAATGAAGGATAGGGTGTAGGACCATTACTAATTTTTAGTGGTTTGAAGTTGTATATTATATTATGCATTTTCATTTTGATTCAGGCATAATTTCTAGGCCGTAGGTTTTAACTGGAGACCATGATTCAAAGGATTTTAAGAGGTGAATAAATCCATTGACCTTGAATATAAAAAATATTATGCACAGTAGAGTTTTTAAGATTCTCAACGAACTCTATAAAATGAAATATTTAAGAATTACTGCAAGCAATACATTTAAAATGATCAGTTGATGCTTTTATATTATTGATTAATATTAATAGTAGTCAATGCTAGAAATTACTCTATTTCCTATAAAAAAAAGAACTGTTTTTGAAAATCAGAAGTTAAGTATTTTTTTTCTATTTTGGAAAATACCTACCTTGTTGAACTTTGTATTCAGGGTTATGTCTAACATTTAGACTTTAAAAGTTAAAATAAATATATAACCAAAAATAACAAGCACTGTGACCAGTTGAAAGGGACTTTACATGATGTCACAAAGTATAAATTCCTTAGAAGATGAAAAGGAATGATTAAAAAAAGAGATCTCAATGAGCCAATATAATTTTCTCAGACTTTACTAGGAAGCAGCAGAAATATCCAATTGCTATCAATCCTTCACCACCACCGTATATCTCTAGTTTATAAATGAAAAAGACTTAGTATGAAACAGGAAAGGCATTTATTTGCTTCCATACTATACAGTATTAATTGTGACAAGTTACTCCTTTTCATAATGTGAGAGGAAAAGGGGGAGGGTGTTCAAATAAGAGTGGAAGGCTCTAAAATAAATTGTTAGTGGAGACGGAGAACATCTTCAGGAAGGAAAGACTGACATCTCTTTCCCTGAATAATTGCTGAGCTGTAGAACTTGCAAGCTCACCATATGTGGTCGTCAGAATGAAGCAGAACATAATGGGGGATTTCTTGGAAGAACATGCCATAGGTCCCTTACAGCTTAGGGGAAAATTGGCTCTTTGGGGAGGTGTAGAGACTTTCAAGTATTCACTATATTATTCTGAGACAGAAGGGCCTGAGGGATCCATGGTACAGCGTTCCTGGGAAGGCTACAGAAAGCATGTCAATCAGTTCTTTAAAACTCTCAGACTGGCCGGGCACGCTTGTTCATGCCTGTATTCCCAGCACTTTGGGAAGCCGAGGCGGGTGGATCACGAGGTCAGGCGTTCGAGACCAGCCTGACCAACACGATGAAACCCTGTCTCTAAAACAAACGAACAAAACAAAAACAAACAAAAAAATTAGCTGAGTGTGGTGGTGCGAGCCTGTAATCCCAGCTACTCAGGAGGCTGAGACAGGAGAATCGCTTGAACCCCTGAGGCGGAGGTTGCAGTGAGCAGAGATCGCACCACTGCATTCCAGCTTGGGCGACAGAGTGAGATTCCGTCTGAAAAAAAAAAAAAAAAGTAAAAGAAAAAGAAAAAAAAAACTCTCAGACCACGAAGAAGAAAGACCCATTAGATGCCATGTCTCAACAAGAAGCAGTATGGAAGTTAGAGAATGGGTAGGAGCTCCAATGCTGTTTTGAAAGCTACAGGATCAAGTGATGGGACACTGACTACAGGGATGGTGTTGGTGCATCAGCCTTGGCTGGGGGAAAAAGGAATAATAGTTGTGCCTCTCTAAGAGGATCCTCTGTGACAAAGAGACTGAAGAGAAGCTGAGCACCACCCCAAAGAAAAATAAACATCATTCACACAAAGTGATCACATAAGCAGAAGTTACCATCAACAGGCAAGATTAGATCCAAACTGAGTGAGGCCAAAAACATTTCTGTTTTCCTGAGTGGTAGCTAATTACACATTTCTGTTCCCTGACCTAACTCAAAAGGAATGTAAGTTTTGAAATAGGAATATAGTGGGAAGTAAGTATTTGGATCCAGATCTACTCAGACATCCCTTATAGGTATCCAAGAATCTACTTTTGAAAGGTGAAGCCAGCTGGGCTTCTGGGTCGGGTGGGGACTTGGACAACTTTTCTGTCCAGCTAGAGGATTGTAAAAACACCAGTCAGTGCTCTGTGTCTAGCTAAATATTTGTAAATGCACCAAATAGCACTCTGTAAAAACGCACCAATCAGTGCTCTGTGTCTAGCTAAAGGTTTGTAAACGGACCAATCAGCACTCTGTAAAATGGACCAGTCAGCAGGACGTGGGCAGGACCAAACAAGGGAATAAAAGCTGGCCACCCTAGCCAACAGTGGCAACTCCCTCGGTTCCCCTTCCATGCTGTGGAAGCTTTGTTCTTTCACTCTTCACAATAAATCTTGCTGCTGCTCACTCTTCGGGTCTGCACTACCTTTATGAGCTATAACACTCACCAGGAGGGTCTGTGGCTTCATTCCTGAAGTCAGCGAGACCAGGAACCCACCAGGAGGAACAAACAACTCCAGATGTGCTAACTTTAAGAGCTGTAACACTGACTGCAAAGGTCTGTGACTTCACTCCTGAAGTCAGGGAGACCGTGAACCCACCAGAAGGAAGAAACTCCAGACACATCTGAACATCTGAAGCAACAAACTCCAGACACATCATCTTTAAGAGCTGTAACACTCACCGCGAGGGTCCGTGGCTTCATTCTTGAAGTCAGCAAGACCAAGAACCCACAGGAAGGAATAAATTCCAGAAACACTTTGAACAACTGCTTGTGTTGTGGAAGATAAGATATATGCGATTAAAGTATTAAACTTTACTGAATTAAATCATTTTGAAATAAACTTTTTGAGGTATAATTTGCATGCATTAAAATGTACATATTTTAAGTATACATACAGGTAAGTTGTGATTAATGTATACATCACTATCACTACAACTGCAATCAAGACATAAGACATGTCAAAAATGCAAAAAGTTTCTACATGGTGTGTTGCAGTTAACAACTCCTTTACACACATCTTCACACCCAGTTTCAGGTCACTAATATGCATTCTGTGACCATAGATAAATTTTACTTTTCTATAATTATATAGAAATGGCATCATATTGTAGACACATTTTTGTATCAAGTTATTTTTACTTAGCATAATTTGTGATTCCTCCTCCATGTTGTTTCATTTACCAGTGGTTGTCCCCCTTCCATGGCTGTGTAATATTTCATTGAATTGATATACCATAAATTGTTTTGCCATTCACTTATTAATGGACATTTGGGTTGTCTTTAGAATTGAGATGTTGTTAAGAACACTGTTATAAACCCTTTGTATAAGTTCTTTTGTGAATATAAGTTTTTATTTCTCTTCAGTAAGTACCTGAGAGTGAATTAGTGAGTCAAATAATAAATGTATAGGAATTATTTTTTTCAAAAATATTTCATCATTTTGCAATCTGACAAGCAATGCACATGTGTTCCAGTGGCTCAGTATCCTCAGCAAACCTGGTATGGTCAGTCTTTCACTCTTTTTTTTTTTTTCTTTGAGACATGGTCTCAGGGTCTCACTTTGTCACCCAAGTTAGAGGGCAGTGGCGCAAGTTTTGCTCACTGCAGCTTCCTCGGCCTCCCAGGTACAAGTAATCGTCCTGCCTCAGCACCCCAAGTAGCTGAGACTGCAGACACATGCCACCAAGCCTGGCTAATTTTTCTATTTTTTGTAGATATGGGTTTTGCCACGTTGCGTAGGCTGTGCTCGATCTCCTGAGCTCAAGCAATCCACCTGCCTTAACCTCCCAAAGTGCTGGGATTACAGGTGTGAGCCACCATGCCTGGCCATTGTCAGTCTTTTTATTTCAACCATTTTAGTGTGTGTGTCTTAATATCTAAATATTAATTTCCAGTTCCTTGGTGACTAAAGAGGAACTTTTTGCATTCTTATTGGACATTTGTATATCTTCTCATATAATATACACTCAAGTTTTTTTTCTCTGTCTTCAGAAAGTCTTATTATTGACTTTCTGAAGAAAGAGTTGCTGTCTTATTATTGTTTTATAAGAGTTTATTATACATTCTGTTTGACTCCCAGTCTTTAGAATGCCTTTTCGAAAGTTGTACATTTGGGGAACTATCTAATTTTTTTTTTCCTACTCCAAGGTCACAAATATTTCTTGTGTTTTTTAAAAGTGAATTTTATACTTTTGAAATGATGACACAATCATAGTTAAATTTTGTAAGTGCTGAGTGGTAATTGTTGAGGATTATTTATTTTTCTATTTTGAATTAGAGTGGTTTCATTGCTATTTGTTGAAAAAATAATTCTTTCACTATTAAATCAATAACATGGTTAAAAATAGTTGAAAATATGTCCATGGGTCTACTTCTCAACTTCTTATTTTTTCTTTTGTATTGATCTGAATGTCTATCCTTATGCTGATTTTAAAAAAGGCCTTATTTACTGTAGCCTTATCATAAGTAAATCAGATAACGCAAGTTCTCCAAGTTTCCTTTTCTCCCACCAAATTGTTCTGGACATATTAGATCCTTTGAGTTCCATATATATTTAGAATAACCTGTCTATCTTTAAGAAAAGAAATTAAGCTACGTTAATTATGAATGATATTACATTAAACTTACAGACCAACTTGTATAAAATTGATTTTTTAACAATACTGAAAGTTCCAATTCATGAATTATATCAAATGGCTTTCATGTCTTTAATTTTTCTCAGTATTTTATATTTTTGACACATTTGTTAAATATATTCCTAAGCATTTTATATATAATGATGCAAAATAAATTGAACTTTTATTTAGCCTTCCTATTTTGTATGCCTACTATACAAAAATACACATGACAGTGTATATTTATTTTCTCATTTATGTCTGATAAATTCATTTATTGGTTCTCATGATTTGTAGATGTCTCAGAATTTTCTAAGTAATTATCTGATCTACAACAAAGTAAACTTGTCTTATATTCAAAATTTTCTTTTATTTCACATTGTTGCTTTATTGCAATGTCAGAGACTTCCATGAGATTACTATCCTGAATAGTAATGGGGAGGATAGCCATCATTAGCTTATTTGCCAATTTAGACAATTCCTTTCTAGCTAAATTTTAAAACCGCTATTAGGAAGAATCAGTTCCAATAGAAAGTCACATCTTTGTGAACATTTTCTTTGATACATTCAGACAAAGTAATTTTTATCTCACTGTACTTCTTCTTTAGATTCAGGTTCAAAATCAACTGTGTGGGTAGTAATTATACTTGCTTTGTGTCTGCTATTGTTCCATGTAAAGCCAAAACCATTGCCTAATTTAGTGCTTAGAGTTATTTGAAATAGCTTATTGTATTACAACTTTTAAATGGGGAAACTAAGAATAAAGGAAACTATATTTTTCCTTAAAGTTACAGTCATTAGGTGGCACAGGTAAAATTTAAAGTCGGCCTTTATTACCATGTGTAATGCTTTTTTTTTCCATTTTTCTTTCCTGCCATCCCTACTCATTTCTATATATGCTTGTAAAGAACTCAGTACATTACATTGTAATCTTTTGCTTATCTACTTGCTTCTCTAACCAGCTTCAGTTATTCAAGAACCATACATTATTTTTATTTGACAACTCAATATTTAGGTGGAGACTCTTCCCTTACTGTTGCAAGTTAAAAGTTTGCACCATGGAAAACTTGATATAAAATGGATTTGTGATAACAGATATTCAACCTTTTACTACTTTATTCAACTGTGTAGATATTTACTTAAATGTATCAAATTATATATAATTTTTAAGTATGCATGTAAATCTCACATTAAAATATTTTATATTTTTTACATCAAGACCAAGAATAAAGTCCAACAACAATACAAAATAAAATGATACCCCCAAAAGTACATCTTTGAACCCTTGTTATTATATAATCTCTTTTTGTGACACTTCCTGTCATCCCTTTTGATAGAATGTTTACTGGGTAAATGGATTTTTTTTATTCACCATTAACTGATTTATCCTTAAGGATGCAGTGCATTGATCTATTGTGTAGTCTCACATATATTGAATTCTAAGAAGTGGAAATATATTGAGCTCATGACAGGCACTGTTAATTAAGACTTTATTTAGAAGTCATATTTTAAAATAACTTGAACTAGCAGCACTTTGACATCTTGGCAAAGTACCATTGCCAAGTACTAACTTGGAAATATGTATATGTCTACCGTGTTAGGACTCATATGTATATATTATATAATATATATAAATAATGTACATTATATCTATGGATAATATATGATATACATGAAATTTAATATTTTCTGATAAAGAATTTTATCCAGAATGTATAAGGAACTCTTAAAACTCAGTATAAGAAAACAAAGAATAATACAAACAGCCAATATATTTGAAGTAGCACTGTTCAAATGTTTGTACTATGGAAAATGATATAAAATGGATTTGTGATCACAGAAATCATAAGCTTTCATTACTTTATTCAAGTGTGCAGATAAACTTGAATGAGTGATAGTTTATCTCTTTGTTGTGGAGTGGTGTTAGAGGTTGTGAAGGGAGAAAAAGAATATATTTATTATCTTGTTTATGGTGGTGGGTTCATGAATGTGTGTGTGTGCACATGTGTGTGTATAAACTTATCAAGATTTACCCTTTAACTATGTACAGTTAATGGTTATGCAGTTTATTTCGTGTCATTATAGCTGTGAAAGTCGAAAAAAAGAAAAAGATATAAAAGCTATTCTCAAGAAAAGTATAAAAATTAATTTATATCATTCCAATGGTTTGTGAGTGAATAAGGCACCACATAGCTTTAGACATCATATATATGATTTACAAATAATTGATATTTCTGAAAAATATGAATCTCATATATATACAGCTTTAGCAATTTATATAAATTTCAGGTATGCATGTAAATATTAAATATTTAAAATATTTTGTGCTATTCATATTGAGACCAAGAACAAAGTCCAATAACAACACAAAATCAAACACCCCCAGAAGTACGTTTGAACTATTGTTGCTATATAATATGTTTTAGTAACAGTTCTTGTCATCTTTTTTGATATATATATGAAAATATATATGAATATTTGTGTTGAAAACGTGTATATTATATATATACATTTACATATATATGAGCTCATAAAGCTACAAAGCATATTTACTCACTGACCCTTAGAATAATATAAATTAATCTTTACAATTTTCTTGAAAATTATTTTTATCTTATCTATTTTCATCTTATCATTTTGTTGTCTTTGATTTTAGCAGCTGTAATGACACAAAATAAACTGTGTAAACCTTGAACTGCACATAATTAAAGGCTAAATCTTGATAACTTTATACACGCACACACAAATTCATGATACCATCATCATAAACAGGATAATGAATATATTTGTTATCCCCAAAGTTTCTATTTGTTTCTTGACAACCCCAAACACCACTCCTCACCAAATGGATCATCTGCCCCTCATTGTACATTAGTTTGCATTTTCTAAAGTTGTATATAAATGGAATCATATGGTATGCAGATTTTCTTTTACATGAAGGTTCTCATTCAGTTTTGTTTGTAATAGTTCCAAACAAGAATGAGTTTTCTCTGGCTTATTTTACACACCATAATCATTTTGAGCTTCATCTGTTCCTTGTGTGTTTCAATAGCTTATTCATTAATATTATATGAATGGACAATTGTTAGCATTGTATATTTCATCCTTTACCTGTTGAAAAACATTTGGGTTGTTCCCTGTTTGGAACTGTTACAGATAAACCTGGAATAGAGCCTTCTCATAAAAGACCTTTCAAAGACATTTGTTTTTATTTGTTTCGGAAAAATATATATAAAAATAAAATGACTGGATTATATTGAAGGTAGAAATTTACATATTTACTGAACTGTCAAACTGCTATGAAACTTCTAGTTCATCCAAATTATCACCTATGCATTACAATGTCAGACTTTGAAATTTCATTTATTCTAATATACATGTAAGTGTATTTCATTGTATATTAATTTACTTAACCTTAATCTGCATATTTGAATTTCTTCTTTGGTCGAGTGTTTGTTTAAATATTTTGGCCATTTTTATTATTATTTGTTTGTTTCCTTATATTGAGTTTTAAGAGTTCTTTATATATTCTGGATACAAATCTTTATCAGAAAATATTAACTTTCATATATAAAATTTATATTCCATAATATAATTTTTTGTATATATAGTTTCA
This sequence comes from Homo sapiens, assembly GCF_000001405.40. Classification (NCBI taxonomy): domain Eukaryota; kingdom Metazoa; phylum Chordata; class Mammalia; order Primates; family Hominidae; genus Homo; species Homo sapiens. Next base: position 191,337,705 of record NC_000001.11, on the reverse strand, counting down.
AAATATTTTCTTTTAGTTTGTGATTTGTCTTTTAATTCTCTTAACAGCATCTTTCAAAGGGCCAATGTTCTTATTTTTGATTAATTCAAATTTGTCAATTGTTTTTGTGGATTATGCTGTTGCTGTCATATATAAAAAACATTTTTGGGGGAGATGGGGAGATACAAGATCAAAGTGATTTTTTTCTGTGTTTTCTTTTGGAAGTTCTATAGTTTCAGATTTTACATTTAGGGCTATAATCAATTCTGAATAATTTTGGTTTCATGGTGCGAGGTGTAGATAATAATCGTTTTAATTTTTTTTTTTTGCAAATAGGTTTCCAATATTTCCTGTTCTATGTGTTGAAAAGGCATATATGTTGAAATTTTAACTTAAAAATAAATGTTATTTTTTTGAATGATAAAAACAAAATACAGAAAACTTCTAAATCCATATTCCTAATATGGAATTTAATTTGATGGTGTCAGTTCAGGTAAGATACAAGGAAGCTGTAACAACACAGTGTTATAAGTGTTACACTAGTAGCATGTCCTAAGCACTGTGGAGCCAGAGACAACAGAAGAAGAAAAATTTATCTTACCTATGTGATTGAGGAGGGCCCATAAAGGTAGGAGCATATGCGTTAAGCTTTGAAAAATGAGTAGAAATTTCTCAATTGAAATAAATGTGACAGAGCTGGCATTTTTAAGGAGCAAAAAGAGCAACACTGGACGGTGTAACCATATATAAAACTGCCCAAAAATTAGCAATTTTTTTTGCTAGAAGAATTTGTTTCTAGAAATAAACTCTTTTTAAATGAAATGTGTAAGTGCTCTGTTATGAAATAAATGAAAAACCAAGTAGGAAGTTTGGATACTGGATGTTTAAGTTTGAATTTTATTTAATGGCTCCAATGAGGGTAATTAAAAATGACAAAAAATGTGATCATTTCAGAAAGCTTTTGGAACACTAAATATTCCACATTCTTAAGATGTTAAGATGATTTAAGTTATCTATAAAACTCATTTCCTAGATGGTATACATGTTTTAAAATAAAACAATGGAATTTTTATTAAATTAAATTTTAAATCATTCTCTAAATTTCATAAATTTCTTACATTTAGACAGTTTTGTAGAATCTGTGAATAATCAAGGTTTTGCTATTTTCTAATGTGCTATGTAACCATAATATTGTTTCCGTTCATCATTATATCACTAAGAAATGGACAGCTTAATATAGAATCCTGCAAATCAAGCAAACTAATTCCTCCATCAAGACTGATTTTTAACTTGACCTCAGTTCAATTTACTCTATTAGATATAATTCTCATTTTCCACTCTCTTTTGGCACTTCCTAATGAACAATTTGGGAAAATATTGTTGCACTATAGAAAAGGCATTTGATGAGACCTGCAGACAGAAAATCAGTCCCCAATACTATCCATCATTATCTTGTTTGTATTACTTCAAATATATTACTTAACCTCTTCTAGTTTCTATGCTCTCATATCTAAAATTATGCACCTAAATAATTTCTGGGATCATTCCAGGATGAAAATTCTATGATCTATGAAAATGGAGAGATTTTTCTCAACAATAAGAATTTTCTTTTAAATCCGTAGACACTCCAAAATTCTACAGTAATGTCAAAGTCAAAATTATATGAAAATATTTACCATATTTTTGTTAGAGACCCAGATGACTGTTAGCAAATTTATCCACTTTTTCATTAGAAAGGTGCAGCCATTTTGCTAAGTCAGAAAATAAAATCTTAGTCAATGGTATGAATAGTTTTGTATTTTATTAAGAAAGGTGACACTTTCATTATGATTTTTCCTCTTTTAAACTTACTCTTTATTCATTGCCCCAAAGGCAGTTATACAAGATATTACATATACTCTGCAAAAGTTTATTAATATTACCATTCATTCTGTTACACTATTCATTAAGCTTGAACTACTCTTTATTTATGCCTTTGATGGCACAAATATGACAGAACATTACATCAATCTAGAGTAGTTACTGCTTTACAATTGTCAGTCCTCAGGTGGATTGTGATAATTGCTTTATTATGAACTGAGCATCTACTGGGTAAATACAATGTCATTTTACTGATAACTGCAGTTGAAAAACAAATCAAAGGGAAGTATAAATAAGTACTATAGAATATGTTGTGAATATCTTCAATTTAATTTTCTGATAATGTTCAGATATTTTAAATTATCTCTTCTCAATTAATACATCCATGAAAGTTAATTTTTAAAAGATGTCTTCTGTAGTAGAAATTTCATGAACTGTATTAGAGTAGAAATTGAAAATCTTAAGGCAGATAGAACTTTGTGGCACCCCTGAGAATACACACTATTTGTAGATGTCTCTTTCAGAAAGTTATCTCTGCATAACTTTGAACATAAGCCTGGGATGAAACTGAAGTCACAAGGGATTTTAAGATATTAAAAGCAGAGTTTCAAGGAGAGATAGCAAATTAATGTTTCATTGTTTACCTAGAAAGAGAAATTCGTCTCATCTGTGTCACAAACTTACTCGAAAATTATTAGTTTGCCACAGAAGAATTATATTACCTGGCAATTTAAAAAGGTATAAAATTATAAGTTTCCATCCTCAAATTTTGTTTCATAATATTTTTATAACTATATAAAATTGAAAAAATAAATATGCAAAAGGTGTAAACATAAACTTATAGACTCCAATCAATTATGGAATAACAATAAAGTCTCCCCCTAAAATGGATAGCTTTCTTTCTAAGAAATGTTTTATTAGAAAAGAGTGAACACTTGCATGAAATTATAAAAAATAAAAATAAAAATGTATAACTTTATAGAAGATATTTATTTCATCATCTAAATAACACAAAACAGAAACCTTTTCACAAAGCACCCCAAATGAGACTTTAGAGAAAGATATCACAGTGTGTAAAAGTAATGAGTTTTCACATATATTTCTCAATATCATTTACTTATGTAATAGTTATAAAAATATGTCCACTTTAAACTGGAAACTGGAATATCTGAATTACATAATGAATGAATTATAAGAAATATATTTAGTCACAATGTGTTATAGTATTTAACAAGTATAAATAAATATCTAGAACTATTCAAAATATTTAAGAATGTGAAATTATATACACCTAAAGAATTATCAAATGTAAACCAAAAAAACTTATTGGAGCATTCTAAATATAATTTTTATAAAGTAATATTTCTAAATCTCAAAAAGAAAAGAGCTTTCTATTTACTCTACCAAACTGTGGAAGTAACATGGAAAGATATTAGGTTCCTGGAGTTCGTTTTTATTTTTCCAGAAATTAAGCTTTTCTTTTTCTTTCTTTTCTTTTTTTTTTTTTTTTTTTTTTTTTTTTTTTTGAGACGGAGTCTCACTCTGTTGCCCAGAGCAGAGTGCAGTGGCGCCATCTCAGCTCACCGCAGCCAACTGCCTCCCGGGTTCAAGGATTCTCCTGCTTCGGCCTCCCGAGTAGCTGGGCTTGCAGGCGCCCACCACCATGCCCAGCTAATTTTTGTATTTGTAATAGGGATGGGGTTTCACCATGTTGGCCAGGCTGGTCTCAAACCTCTGACCTAGTGATCTGCTCGCTTCGGCCTCCCAAAGTGTTGGGATTACAGGCATGAGCCACCAGGCCTGACCTACTTATTTTATTAACCAAAAATAGTGCTTAAAGGTAACTTGAAACAAAGTTACTGCTTATATGGAAGACATGTACTTAAAATCTCTGGTAATCTTCAAAGATTTTGACATTCTTTCTATTTCCTCATAGTGAAAGATAAGAATTTTTAAGTTATTGACCAATAAATTGTCAATATGAAATATAAACTTTCTGCTAATATATACTCAATTTAAGTCTATAAATACTCTTAAAAACTAAAATTAGCAATTTGAAAGTAAAAATAGTTTGTATATTTGAAAGTAATTTTTTTCTTTGAAACTTATGCTGATATCATTATGTAAACGGTAAAGACTACAGTATTGTTTGCTTGTAAGCGCGAAAGCAAAATTCAAACTTCTACATAATACTAATAAGCAAACAGTTTCCAGAAAATAAACTTTATATATTTCTTCTCACTTGAGACTTTAGAGTCATTGTTCTTAAAGGTGATAAGAATTTATATCATTTTATTATTGACAACCCTTTAACAAAGTTTAAAGGACATATCATGTTACATATGAATTATGTCTTGTATATAACTAGGGGATTGTTTTTGGAATGAGTCTGAAAAATCAATTACTAGATTTTCAAATAATTAATCAGTTGATTAATAGAGATAGTACATATAGCATTTTTTGCTTTTTCTTTTATTATATTCTTTTGAAAACCACATTTAAAAAAAATTACAGGAAGAATACCTTGCAGTTGTTTAATGAAGATATCCTTAAATAGGGTTAATTGTTCATAAAACACATGTAAGTATGATCCAGAAGTTAGAAAGTCCAGGAATGCTAGCTGAGTTTCTGTTTGATTCTTCGTTTTGACACTTACTTATCTTGTAATGTCTGGCAAATCTCTGTGCTTTAATGATACAGATATTTCAGTGGTAGAAGATATGTGCTCAAGTGGCAAAATTATTCCGAGTTGTAGCCTAAAGACAATAGCCAAAATTTTGCTTATCATAAATTAGTTAATACTCTGAACTTGAAGACATAAAAACATTACCTCTAGGGGCAAGTTAGGTGCTTAGTTAATAGGTGTTTGATCTGCCTTGGGAGTTTTAACAAAGTGAAAGGAAAAATAAAAATTATGAAGTGAATCATGCCAGCAAAATTTCACTCAAGACTCAAGAATTAATTAACCTTAAGCTCTACATTACTTTTTCAATTACAAAAATCTACTAATCCACAGTGTACAGAATGTGATTATTCAAAATTACTGTGTCAGGACATTGTTATTACTGGTCCACACATGGCTCTTAATTAATTAATAATATAATATAGTGTGCACAAGAGAAGCTACCACCCAACATAAATGTTGAAATTGGACACTCATAGGGTCTTACAGTTTTATTTTAGTTTTTAACTTTTAAAATATGGTTTGCTAATACATGTACTATTGGGGACTTATTTTTCTTCTTAATAGTATACTCCTAAAATTTATCTATTACTTGGCTGCAATTCATTATGAATTTGGTAAAATATTTCATGTTTAACATTCTTTCTCTAACTTCCCTTTTTATAGACATTTCAGTTTTTTCATGTTTTTGCTGATATTAAAAAGTGATGTCAGTTATATATTTATAAAAAGTTCTTGGTGGGCATGTGTAACAGTTTCTCTATAGTTTATACCTAAAAGATAAATCTTTACATTGTATAGTATATACAATATTATAAGAAAATGTCAAAGTGGTTTCAAAGTTATTTTGAACCGTTTTTATTCCTATTGGTAACGTTTAGTAGACACTGTGGATCTACTTTCTCCATGTAAGTTGGTGTTGCAAGATTTTAAAATTTGTCCACTGAATTGATATAAAATAATATTTACTTTTAATCTTCATTTGCATTTACATGTTCACTAATAAGATTGAAATTGACTTCATACGATTGTTTGTCATATTAATTTAATACAACTAAATATTTCTGACAAAAATCATACTATTTTTTAGGAAAATGCAAAGCAAAGATAAGTACTTTATGAGGCACTATCAGGTTGATTATGAACATTAAGATTGAAATATTTTCAAAGTGCAAGACACCAGAACCTTGCACAATAATAGAGACTGAGTAACTCATAGATGAGTCGAATTTGTTTAAATGACCTGGATACTTTGGCTTTTTAAAAATTTCTTCATTACAGAATTTTTTATATTTTTCATGTACACAATGCACTTACCTGTATTAATTTTTTATACTGGAGAAAAACATATGTTTCTTCAACCAACATTTTTAATATAAATAATAAATAGTCTCTTGTTTTTAAAAATGATTTCTACTTCGCTTGTTTTGTTATTGCAATTGACTCCTGTCTTGTTCACTGTGCCTACAGTTTTGAACTCCTTAGTATTAGTCACATTGCTAATAAAAATGGATAGCTGGGCTGGGCACGGTGGCTCATGCCTGTAATCCTAGCACTTTGGAAGGCTGAGGCGGGTGGTTCACAAGGCCAAGAGATCGAGATCATCCTGGCCAACATGGTGAAACCCTGTGTCTCCCAAAAAAAAACAAAAACAAAAAAACAAAAAACAAACAATTAGCCAAGGCTGGTGGTGCACACATGTAGTCCCAGCTACCCAGAAGGCTAAGGCAGGAGAATCGTTTGAACCCAGAAGGTGGAGCTTGCAGTGAGCCAAGATCCTGCCACTGCACTCCAGCCTGGGCGACAGAGTGAGACTCCATCAAAAAAAAAAAAAAAGGAAGGTTAGCTCGTTCTTCATTTTATCATTCATTCTTCTTCACAAACTTAATTGTGACATTTTATTCTGTACCCCATCAATTTAAACATCTATTTTAATATTCTATTTTTAGAAATATAATGTAGTCAGAGAAACAGTAACTTAGGTTTTCTCCTTTTTTAGCCCCTAAGATTCATTTTTAATTTAATTTTTTTATTATTATTATTTTGCCCATGAAATTTTTAGCACTAGTGTGTTATTAAGAGTGTATGCTTTTGGTAAGGGAGATTTTGTCAAATTGCTGATTAAAATTATGCTCTTTTATGGCACTTGTATTAATGGCATAGGTAAAATGCTCAAAGATCAAGTTTAGAATTCCAGCAGAAGAGCAGTAACTACTGAAAGAAGAGGTTCTCTGCCTTGATGCATTGATGCCCACATGTAAACTTGGTTAATAAAAGTAATTACAGACTGAAATGATGAGGGATTGGGATTACCTTTTGCCAGTAGAGATGTAACATTTACAGATGTCAGCGTGTTTGGGTCTGGGAACTAGGATCAAAGTTTGGCGCATCTACCAACTAACATGTTAGTTGTAGTTGTAGCCCCTTGGCAAAAACCAGTAACCTTGGTAAAAAGCCTTGTAAGTGTAAATCATTGAAACTTTTTTCTCATTAAAAAATGATCATCTCTAACCTAAATTACATCACATAATTCAATGTTTCCAACAAAATTTATAGATCCCTTTCTCATTTATAATATCCACACACTCAACTTTTATTACTCCTAGTTTTCCTCAAAACACAGCAAAGTATGTACAGACATCTTGTAAGGGAAGGGATTATTTTTGCAGACATTATGTTAAAGGATCATTACAAAACAAATACAAATATTCTTGACTAAAATAATTGTCTCTCCTCTACTCTGACTCCAAACCACCTTGTCTACTCTAAGACAGGCAGCTGCCAGGTTTGGGCTTCGAGTAGATTCATTCCCAATTTCCAAAAGAAACCAGACAGAGAGACCGTGCTCAATGTTGTCGTCTCCTAGTAAGTAGAAAACACCAGAGGTAGATTGTGCAATCTGGAATGAGATTGGATCCAAAAGACACAATGATCAGTCAAATTAAAAGTATACATTGGCTATTGAGAAAATGTATTTCTCTGACATGCAAGGAGAGGATGAGTAGATGAAGAGGTGTCTGCAGCTTTTCTACTTCTGAGGCTGTGAAAAGCTCAGGAAAGATGAAACCAGTGAAATGTATTCCTTGTACTTCAAGAGAGAACTAGTAATGTGATGAATAATAAACCTTTAACCAAGAGAAATAGGGAACAGCACATGTGAAGGGGCCCAGCAGCCATAGATGTGAATATCAGGTGGAACTCTAAGAACAATACTCTTAGGAAACACATATATGTATATATGAATATGTATATATGTGTGTGTGTTTACATATAAACATGTCTATGTGCTGTGGAATTTCAAAAACAAGGTAAAAACAATATTCAAAAATTAATGTAAGTTTTACAAAGCATTCAGGAAAGGAAGAAGGCCACTGCCATGTTAATTGATGTTTTGAAAAACACTCTGTGCAAGGCATCTCTGAAAGTACAAAAGGAAAACATCGAAGCTAATACTTTACTAAGAAAAACAAAGGGGCCTGCGGAATTATCCAGGGAATCAATTGGAGAAAAATTGGAGAAACGCTCAAAAGGAGAAAATAGAATTGATGGACATAAGACCATTGTATTGGACAACTGCAGGGGAGAAAATCTGTGGGGCTGAGTTTGATGACTCTGAATGGAAAAAAGACAGCATTAAAGATATAATACAACTTATTTAAGCTAAAGAGAATCTGATATTTAAAGGTAAATCTACTGTTCATTAAATTCTTATGAGGATTGACTATGAAATACACATACATAGCCGTATCCTAGTAAGATAACTGAATTCCTTGGGAAAAGTAAAAAAAAAAAAAAAAAAAAATGCAAAAAGAACTATTTTAACACAAAAACAAAATGTAAACTACAAAGGAAAAGAGTCAGGCTTATATCGGACACCTATCTGCTGAAACTTGGTGATATAAGAGCAAGGCCATTAAGAGAAAAGAGCAGTAATCCCATAATCCTGTACCTGGATGAAGTAAAATGAAGAGATTTATAAAGAGGAAAAGATTCACAGAATATGTCATCCATACACTCATCTGAGAAATGCACTTGAGAAATAAATCAGTTTAGGGGCTATGTGATGTATGAGGAAAAGGTCATTAGTGATTTTGTCTAAAAAATATTATAAAACTAGAATTTGTAATACAATGCAAATAGTTTCCGTGAATTATAAGAGGCTTTTAAAAATAATATCCAGAAATTAAAATATTCTTCTTGGGTATCTTTCTCTTCAGGTACCCTATAACAATTGCAGCTCTTTTTAAACCCAGCAATCCCTCAGGATCTTCAACTCAAAAATTCCTATCACTTAGATTTCAAACATATTTACATTCTCAATATCTATAAGCTGCTTCACTTCATCTTTTCTACTTCCTGGGGAAGTTCATCTTAGCATCAAGAACACACCTTCTACATTTGTAATCCTTGCTGTAACTGATAGAAATGCTAGGTACCTGGTATGTGGTGTCGTCTACAAACTGGCTTGGAAAATATTTCATACCCTGTGTAAATTTGTAGGAAACCTGTGTCTATCTCCAGAGAATTAGCTGCTCCTTTTTTTTTTTTTTTTTTTTTTTTGCCAGGTGTTTAAAAACAAAAGTAACTTGGACTATTTTGAATGCACTGTAATGGGTATTTTTCATGATCAGCCAACTGTATTTCACCTTTTTGGTGAGAAATTTTTCCTCTTACTTTTTATGATAATTGTTTTTAATTTTTTAATTCTTTTTACTATACTTATGCTAAAATATATTTTAAGCAGAAAAGATGAAAAAATCTATCAAAGCTTCTGGTAAACTTCAGAAAATAAATTCGAAATAAAAGTTGCACTAAATTGCTTTTAGCAAAAACATTCCAAAATTATATAAATATCTACTAAAATGTAGCATGCCCTAAAGGAAAAAAAAATTGTTTATATAGGTAATCCCCTTGATATGGCTTGGCTGTGCCCCCACACAAATCTCACCTTGAATTGTAATAATTACCACATGTCAGGGGTGGGGGCAGGTGGAGATAATTGAATCATTGGGGTGGGTTTTTCCCCATACTGTTCTGGTAGTGAATAAGTCTCAAGAGATCTGATGATTTCACAAGGTGTTTCTCCTTTCACTTTACTCTCATTCTCTCTCGTCTGCCATGTAAGACGTGCCTTTTGCCTTCTGCCATGATTGGGAGGCCTCCACTGCCATGTGGAACTGTGAGTCCATTAAACCTCTTTTTCTTTGTAAATACCCAGTCTAGTGTATGTCTTATCAGCAGCGTGAGAACAAACTAATACACCCCTCATAATGGGGACTTTGAGGATGAAAATGAACGACTCCAGTAAATGTTTTAAATGCAGGAAATGTGTATTTCCTAAAATAAAAATAAAGATACATAATCTTATGCCATGAAAAAAATTAAGTTCATACATTGATAATTAAAGAGGTTCATAAATATGTAATTTCAAAATCTTATATTGTAGGGTTATTCAGCATTTTAAAATATTAGCAATCAAAAATATCTTTTACATTAGCATTTTAAAAATATTTGGTAAATAATTTAGATTCTACAACATTACTAGCCTGTCTCCTAAAATATCAAGTCTAAAACTCTCATTTGTCTACTTCATTCTGGTAAATTCTGATTGGATTATTATTATATGTTTGATAGCTATAAGCATATTTAGGGGCAGTGGGGAAAGAAGACATAAGACATATGTTCAGATTGGAAATAAAGACTCAACTAAATGACACAAATAATTTTCATAATTTTATACTTTTTTTTGAAAAATTTTAAATGGGAGATTTAACAACATAATCTGTTTTGTAGCTTCTTTAGAAAAACAAATTCCTTAAACGTCAACTTTTTACTTAACAGGAAATCAATTAGTTGAAAAGTAGCATTAATTTTATTTTGCTTTATTTTTTATTGACATATGAAAATTGTACATATTTGTGTGGTACTTAGTGATGTTTAGATACATATAATATATAGTGATTAGATCAGGGTAATGGGCATATCCATCATCTCTAATATTTATTATTTCTTTGAGATGGGAATATTCAATATCCTCCTTCTTGCTATTTTTCCCCTTATATTCGTCTAAACACTTCTCATTTATTGCACTATCTTTGATAAAAAACATTGTTGCATCTCAAGTGAATAATTTCACCTTCTAACCTTTCAATTATTTGTTACATTTATTTCTTTTGTTGTCTTTTTTCCACCTGTGGAATGTAAAAAGTTGGGGGTAAAAACCTTTGGTTGTTGTTGGTAATCATATGTCCTAAGAATTTAAAGAGGGCTGGGCACATAGGAAACACTTAATAAATGTTAGATAATCAAACTTAATTAACAAATGAATGAATAAGGAAACTTTGATCTGCTTCATTCACTTGTCGTTACTGCCCTTACATTCAAATTTGAGTCCTCTATTTTAGACCTTATTGACTCTTTTGCATAGTAGAAGTTAGGGCACATAGTGAAAGTGATAAAATACAATTAAAATATATAATACTGATACAAAGAAATATTAGAATGGTAATAAGTATATGGAGGTATTTAATAGCTAAAATATACAATTCTATAATCAGGTTTTTAAAAACTTTTAAAAAAGCATCTTATTTACTTTTGTGTTTTTAAGTTGGCACTGTTAAAAAATATCATTTGCATTTTGTATTGAACATTTATTAATTGACAGAGTAAGTGACAACTGCAAATACAGAGTAGCCCACTGTATCAAACATTAGAATTATAAATGAAGGGTCATAATTTTTACTTGTTTATATTTAATCAAAATTGTTTCAAAATTATGCCTCTGCATTTAAGGTTTTAAAAAACTAGAAAATCAGAAAATCTAGAAAGCAAAAAAGAGTAAATGTTTTTTTTCAGAAAATATAACAGTAAGAATATTCAAAATAAATTATTTAAAATATATTTATATACCTTTTAGAAACTGAAGGCTTATTTTTTCAAGTATTTCATAATTGTATAAACTTTAAATAGTGATTATTTGAAAACTAAGACCTTAACATTTACAATATGTTATGTTCATTAATTTTCCCATCAGTTTGTTTAACTCTATACTATTTATTTTTAATGAGGTATGCAATGGTTCACTTCATATATGAATTCATCATTAGCCTCTGCTAATGGCATTTTCATCAAAAGATTAGTTTTTAGAAAATCAAATTATAGCTTAATTAATACACATTAACAACAACAACAACCAAAAAATCCAAAGCAAGGGTGATTAGATATAATTTTTGAGCCATTATTTACAAAGCAATACTGATGGTACTTTATGTTAAAAGTGTTTTTCTTAAAATGTGTTACCTTTTGCAAAATTAAGGGCAAATTAGTAACTATTGTTCTATTTGGGATTTATAGTAATGTACTTCTTGAAAGGTGCTGTGATTTTTAAAATTGAGATATCCAATCAGGTTGGTTTCCAATGAATATTTGACTCTGTCAATGATATATTCAGCCAGTCTTTATGGAAAAGAGAATACTCTTCATAAATACTAGTATTTTTTATGTACACCATTGTATTTATCAGGGTTCAAAAACTTTCCCTTTCTAATATTATGTTTCTGTATTCCAATAATACACCTTTAACAATAGCTATGCCATGTTAAAGGTAATTCCCGGAATGCATCATGCTATTTGGTGCTTTATGCTTTTGTCTGTAGTCTTTTGGCCTGAATGGCTGCCTCTCATCTTCTCTATGTGGACAAGTCGTACTTGTCTTTCAGTATGCCCAAATATCTTCTTCCTCGAAGTACACTACGTTTTCATTCAGATTTTCTTTTAACCCAGGTCTGTATTTCTTTACAGTCTCCGTATTTAGTGGTTGCTATGCTGTTTCATGGTTGTTGAATTACTTTCCTGTATCTCTCACCTCATTTTGACATGGATTCATTAGCTCATGACCAGGCTCTATTTGGCTTTATGCATATAAGAAGAAATAGGCATCTGAAATGAAACAGTCAATTGATAAAATTGTACTGAACCAACAAAATATTAGGTTTATTAATTTCATTTGGAATTTTAAAATCTCTACATAGCAATTTGTCAGTTCCTCATTGCATTTGATTTTTAAAATTACAAAGAAATACATGCTTTTCATTACAAGTAAAGATATATCAAGATGTGTAAAGAAAACTTGATCACCAGCCTCCTTTTTTCACAAATTAAAGAGGGTTTGTCAGTTTTCTGCTTTATAAAACTAAAATTTGTCTATTGTTAGTATGATGAATCCTAGAAAAAAAGTTATAAATTAGTCATAGACAAGTAGCTATATGACTTACTTTTTATCCTTTTTGTATTATCTTCATCAAATAATACTACCATGTTGAAATTGTTTATCTGACATTCTAAATATGCTTTTAAGGCATTTTACCTTAATTTGGTAGCTTAGATGCTTATGGATTTTATATTTGTACATACTGTGAAATAGAGGTATATTTTTATTCTCTTCCAATGTCCCTTAATAAATCACATTATGCATTGAAAAACTGCTTATATTGTATAGTAATTTCATTTATGTTTTCTTTAAGTGATTTTTATAGATTTTTAAATATTCTGCTGACTTATTGTAGAAAAGAATCAGCAGAACCAGTTTTGATCTATCAACAATTCACCTCCATGAGCACAGACAGTGTTAGGCTCATATTTCCTCCTTCCAGTCCTTCCCACGTATAAAAAATCAGCCAATCAAGGATAGAATCACTCTAATAAGAACATTTTTGAGTGACAATGCTTCAGTAAAACTGACCTTCAAGTAACCTTACTTCTGTAGATAATATCAATCCACTTACATCTCTGATAGTCTTCGAAAAATCCTATATAACAATGCTATTCAAGAGAACTTTTCACAATAGTGGAAAATAAGTGTATTTTAACATTCAATGTGTTAGCTGCCAGCCATGTGTGGGTATTAATCATTTGACATGTGACTAGTGTGGTCACAAAACTAAATTTTAAATGTATTTAATTTTCATTTTTATTTAAATTATTTTAAGTACATTGGTTAATTGCTATGGCGCTCAGATTGGACATCTCAGCTTATAAGATCAACAATCTGTTCTGCCTGAAGAAACTTTGTCTGACAAGCTTAGATCTTCCATATTATTACAAGAGATAAAGTCAAATGTCTTGTTAGATTTTATATCATTTAATGAGAATTATGGAGGTTACACTAAAGATTCATTTAGGCCTGGTGCGGTGGCTCACGCCTGTAATCCCAGCACTGTGGGAGGCTGAGGCGGGCGGATCACGAGGTCAGGAGATAGAGACCATCCTGGCTAACACGGTGAAACCCCATCTTTACTAAAAATACAAAAATTAGCCGGGCATGGTGGCAGGCGCCTGTAGTCCCAGCTACTCTGGAGGCTGAGGCAGGAGAATGGCGTGAACCCAGGAGGCGGAGCTTTCAGTGAGCTGAGATGGAGCCACTGCACTCCAGCCTGGGCAACAGAGCGAGACTCCATCCTAAAAAAAAAAAAAAAAAAAAAAAAAAAAGAGATTCATTTATAACACTCATTTGGCAGAATTGCAGGAAATCCTTGGACCAACAAATGTTCACAATAAATCCCTTGTGCCCAGATTTCTTTTGTCCTTTAGATAGGTTCCCAGGTGAATCAGTCTAAACTGCAATCTAAGCTTAGATTTGTTTGATTGACTCTGATTGCTGGGTTTGTTCTGTTTGAGATTTTGTAACCAAACAGGTCTTTTTTGTAAGAATCATTATTCATGGGGTTTTGTATAAGGCAATAAGACCTAGAGATTTTTTAAATTGAGTATTAGTGTTAGTTAAGTAAGGTCATTAGATACTTTTTCTTATTAAGCTGCTTATTTTCTTTAGTTTTGCTTTTGTTGTCTACTTGTACAAAGTTGCATTTTGTTTGGTTCTGGATTGTCTAGAAAATTCTAATGACACATTTTGACTTAATATCGTTTGTTAGTGAAGTTTATGTTAGAAATCATCATAATTTTAAAATAAAATACCAGGCTTTAAATTCAGTAAGTAGTTCAGTCTCTTCTAAAAATCCAATTCTTTATCAGAATCCTTATTGTTCAAATGACTGGACTATGGCCCTTTGTAGGAAACATCAAATTACTAAAAGAAACATGTGAAAAATATATACAAAATAAATGTATATAGTTATACGTATTGGGAATATATATAAAATTTGTGTTCATCAATGTCAGCTTTTAAAATATGGCACTCATTCTAAATGCTATAAAAGCACAGTTTGTTTAATTTTAAGAATAAAAGCAATTCTGAATCACCTAATATTTTCATGCTATCCTAAATACCCTGATTTATATAATAAGTCTTCCCCAAGGTAAAAGTTCAGAAGCTACTCTACAATATTATAAAAACTACTGTAGAAATGTCATAAATAATTTTGGCTCATGCTAAATATGCTGCTCTGTGCAAAGTCTTTATAAAGGATCTCTTATAAAATAAGATTAAGAAATGATAGGAAATTCAATCAGATACTTAAAGATTCCATTATAGATACATAAAATCTGGCCTGTTGAATTCTTTTAAAATTACATTAGGAATTTTCAAGTTGTAAAATCCATGAGGATAAGACTGGGCAAAATCAGAATTTCCACCTAATAGCACCAAATCTCAACTGAACATGAAATAACTATGGCATTAGGTGCAACCTAACACCAGTATTAAACACTGATGGAGAAATTTCTTTTCTAGGGTGGCAGGAAAATAGTGTTGGATTGTGTTCTTTCTACCTAAAACATTTTTACTTTTCAATCCAATGTTATGTTATATATTTAACTAGCATTGCTTTTCATAATTTTGACTTATGTCAGACCTTGTCCTTTACTCAAAATCCTTTTTGTCTTATCATTTAAAATCCTCTGAAAATCTAAGGGATCCTAACAGAACCCGGACATCACTCCCGTTAAAGAACCTAAATGGATGTTTTCTGGAGAACCTACAGAAGTAAAGGATTCATGAGGTTGATTGCTAGCCTAAGGTCCCCAGAATAGTCAGAGGGCCACATAAAACAGACATCTTGCCAAAACCATTAGAACAAGTTATCCTATATATTTAACTCTCCTTTATATATTTTTGTTTGTATATTTTCTTTTTTTTAATTTTATTATTTTTATACTTTAAGTTTTAGGGTACATGTGCACAACGTGCATGTTTGTTACATATGTATACATCTGCAATGTTGGTATGCTGCAACCATTAACTCGTCATTTAGCATTAGGTATATCTCCTAATGCTATCCCTCCCCCCTCCCCGCAGCCCACAACATTCCCCGGGGTGTGATGTTCCCCTTCCTGTGACCATGTGTTCTCATTGTTCAATTCCCACCAATGAGTGAGAACATGCGGTGCTTGGTTTTTTGTCCTTGCGATAGTTTATTGAGAATGATGGTTTCTAGTTTCATCCATGTCCCTACAAAGGACATGAACTCATCATTTTTATGGCTGCATAGTATTCCATGGTGTATATGTGCCACATTTTCTTAATCCAGTCTATCATTGTTGCACATTTGGGTTGGTTCCAAGTCTTTGCTATTGTGAATAGTGCCGCAATAAACATACATGTGCATGTGTCTTTATAGCAGCATGTTTTATAATCCTTTGGGTATATACCCAGTAATGGGATGGCTGGGTCAAATGGTATTTCTAGTTCTAGATGCCTGAGGAATCGCCACACTGACTTCCACAATGGTTGAACTAGTTTACAGTCCCACCAACAGTGTAAAAGTGTTCCTATTTCTCCACATCCTCTCCAGCCCCTGTTGTTTCCTGACTTTTTAATGATTGCCATTCTAACTGGTGTGAGATGGTATCTCATTGTGGTTTTGATTTGCATTTCTCTGATGGCCAGTGATGATGAGCATTTTTTCATGTGTTTTTTGGCTGCATAAATGTCTTCTTTGGAGAAGTGTCTGTTCATATCCTTCGCCCACTTTTTGATGGAGTTGTTTGTTTTTTTCTTGTAAATTTGTTTGAGTTCATTGTAGATTCTGGATATTAGCCCTTTGTCAGATGAGTAGATTGCGAAAATTTTCTCCCATTTTGTAGGTTGCCTGTTCACTCTGATGGTGGTTTCTTTTGCTGTGCAGAAGCTCTTTCGTTTAATTAGATCCCATTTGTCAATTTTGCCTTTTGTTGCCATTGCTTTTGGTGTTTTAGACATGAAGTCCTTGCCCATGCCTATGTCCTGAATGGTATTTGTCTAGGTATTGCCTAGGTTTTCTTCTCGGGTTTTTATGGTTTTAGGTCTAACATGTAAGTCTTTAATTCATCTTGAATTAATTTTAGTATAAGGTGTAAGGAAGGGATCCAGTTTCAGCTTTCTACATTTGGCTAGCCGGTTTTCCCAGCACCATTTATTAAATAGGGAATCCTTTCTTTGCTAATTTAAAGTTAGATACTCTGAGTTAATGTATCATGCTCCTCTTGGTATTAACATCACTTGCTTACATCTAAGCTTTAATTGCTCTAGGTAATCACCAACCTAACTCAATAATCTAGTAGTCCCAAACTCATTAGTTATCTGTTGCTCAGAGTCAGGAATGCTTTAGCACAGTCATGGTCCCCATAAGTGATTCAAATGGTAATCTAAATAGTAAAATACAATAAATTCATATTTATCAATATGCAAGGTGAAAATGAAATCTCCACAGATGAAACTTCATTTTCAATATAAATGAATTATGGGAATGAAGATTGGGACAAATTTTGTTGTTCTTTCTGATTTGGTTGACGAATGAATACAAAAAGGGGTCACAAACATTGAAAAAGACTCACTGGTCTGGAGCAATATAAACAAGTAGTCATTAGAACCAGATTTAAACCTGTTCAATTGACCAATTCACCTTAGTGAACTCAGTCTTGCAAGCAGCCAGTGATAGGCTGTCACTGCTGGAAGCTTGCCAATCAGGAACAGACTTACTCCAGAAAACACATCTCTAAGTGTCACTTAGTCATTGAAATTCTCACCAGAGTAACCACTCTTCTACAGATGGTATCAATCTGTTTGCACCTGTGAAACTCTGCCAATTCGTTCTTCAGTGTAATTCTACCCTCTTAAATTTATTATTTTCTTAATTCAGAACAGTAGTTTCTGACAATTTAAATTTTTTCCTTAAATTATATCCTTTCATCATAAGGACCCCTTATTTAGTGCTTAAGTGATATATGACTAAGTATACTAACATTATCCATTCCGAATGTTTTCCCTCTCTTTATTTTATTTTAGCCTATCTTCTGATTTATGTATTGTTTAGTTAGATTTATTTGTATTTTAATTCAAATATTTTTGTTTGTAATATATTCTCTCAAATTATTTATTTTATTCTGATCTATTGTTATTTTATGAGTATTTATCTCACAGTATAGTATTAAATCTTAAAGTAATTTTTATTTGTAGAGAACTCAGAACTTGGGACATGAAAAAAATGTTTATTTTGTTGTTGCTGTTGTTTTATGAATTTTAAAAATTATTTTTATTTCCTTTATTAATATTTTAGGCATCACTCCTTTATATATACATATTGGTATAAAAACTCTTATTATACATTAGTACATAACTAATTTTAAGTGAGTTTATTTATGTCTGCATACTTATACACACATATACACACATGTATATTCTCTATATATATACACACAAACACACAAGCATTTATATATGTTAAACACTTATATAATATGTATAATACTGGGTGATAGAATTCCAAGCAATCTTAATAATTTTTGCTATTCTATTAATTTTTAATTGATTAGAAATGAGCATTTGTGGCTGGGCGTGGTGGCTCTTGCCTGTAATCCCAGCACTTTGGGAGGCTGAGACAGGTGGATCATGAGGTCAGGAGATCAAGACCATCAAGAGGCTAACACAGTGAAACCCCGTCTCTACTAAAAATACAAAAAATTAGATGGGCGTGGTGGCATGCACCTGTAGTCCCAGCTACTCGGGAGGCTGAGGCAGGAGAATCACTTGAACCCGGGAGGCAGAGGTTGCAGTGAGCTGAGATTGCGCCATTGCACTCCAGCCTGGATGACAGTGTGAGACTCTGTCTCAAAGAAAAAAAAAAGCACTTATTGATCATTATTTGTAACCAAGAGAATATTTATTTCCCCGGCATTTGGTGTATACAATATAGAAAAATAAAATAATAAACCCAAGTTTATTTTTAAATTATATAGTTTGGGATTATAGGTCTCGAGAAATAATAAACTCCAATAAAGCAAGAAGCACAGAAGTGCAATAAACCTTTACCTTTATAAATAAGAATATAAATACCAACTTAACTTTAACATACTTAAACACATTTGCTTACTTGAAGGTGAAGAAAAATGTAAGTAGTACCCCTTGAGTGCAGATTACCCAATTGAAAATATTTAAAAGAAAGTCTAAGTAATATAATATTCTCCTGCTCTCAATAATAAGGAGAAATTATCATAACAAATGTAATGCTGACAGTTTTTTCTCTTGAAGGATAAATAACATGTTCATGTACCCTTGCTGATAGCAAGTATCTCGTATGTTCAGATTGCTGATAGCAAGTATCTCATATGTTCAAGAGGAATTTCTATAATTAACTTTTAGAATTTCTTACATAGAAGGTAATAGAAATGATAATAGTAATGCTTAAGAACTCAAGTTCTACACTTCCTATATGGACTGCATTCAAATTCTAGTGGTTTGAAACATTTTTACTATCTCCTCCAAAATGAGAAGAAAATTTGTTCTTTCGCTCTTACTGCTTAGAGAAGCATAACATATTAAGTGGAAGGGAGACTAAGAGAAGGCCCCCTAGCTGATATATAGTATGGTTCAAGCAGGTCGCCTGGATGGCTCTTAGGACTTGCATATGGCACTGCAGAAATTCTGTCTAGTAGATTAAAGGTAATATATAGAATTTGTGGAAAGCCTTCATGGGAGAATCAGATATGAGGATCCTAGGTGTTGGAGCACTTCTTTTTTTTTCCCTCAGAAATTAATTGTTTTTCATCTGATGAGTAGATCTTGGTTTTCTAAGCCCTTGAAAAATGTAAAAGCACCTGAATGTAGATAACTCATCAGCTACATGAGCTAAGGTGCTGATCATGAACTGTGTGTTATTAATGCATCAAGTCAGCAATTTACAGTAGCCATCAGTACTCAAAACACGTTGGCAGCCCACTCTCCCAGTGTGTCAACTCCTGCCACGCAGCCATCCCTCCCTTGATGCATATGCTCACACATACCTGTAGGTGCAAAACATGCAAACACACTACATGTTTCAGATATTTCTTCTAGGACAAGATTACAAATCTTCCCAGCAGTGGAATTCTAAGTATCACATAAACCACCTTTTCTCTGGAAGAAGATATATCCTTAACTATTACTCCAACAAATTCTGTTCAGTACTAAAAATTTGAACTAGGAGGGAAAAACAAAACAAGCCTTAGAAACTGCAGTGAAGTTATGGGGAATAGTAGATAGTGGAAACCTTAGAAATAGTATGGGGAGGCAGACTATATGTGACCACTTTAATGCACTGCAGAGTTTCTGTGTGGTTTATTCATTTACTTGCTATCCCAGGACACCAAGGACTGAGGAGACCTCAAAAATATCGACTTAACTTTACTAAGCTGATGAAATTGTGTTCAGTGACGTGTTAACAGATCTGAAATCTTCATACCCCCTAAAATTCAGCAAGTCTTTTGCTTGACTCTTTATCTTATGGGATCATTCTCATGTCGTAGGGGAAAATGGTTGTTGTTAATTAACAAGAATCACATATCCTTGATTTGCTTTCAACTTCTGCAATGCTTCTGTCAGTAATATCTCTAAGTAATTAATTAACATATTTTTATCGTTATGGTATCCCACACATTTTGCTTCTGATTATTGCACTCAATTTAGGTGAACAGAAATAAAACAATTTTAAGGGTCTCATACAATTCACTTATCTTGCTACAGCCCCTTTTATCAGGAGGCAGCTGCTTTTAGTGAATTAACAAATGGTTTAATAAAATTCTAGCACTCTAATAGTTGAGAGAAAAACCTTACAAATTTGGGGTGTAGTATCACCCACAACTAAAAATGGCTTTTTTTCTCCTACAATCAGAATATATGTGCCGTGGATCAAGAGGGTATTATAGTTTCAATTAACATTAACACAGAAAATGAAATTGAAAATGGTCTCTTGCACCATTTTATAGGATGATACTTGCAAACATTTTCTCCCTAAAGCCATGATCCTGATATATATCTATAATCTATATGGAGTAAAACAGTAAGAGCTAGAACATACTGAGTAGTTGGTGTGTACAAAGTGTTCGAATGATATCCATATGGAAAAATTCATTTCACTCTCATGAGAACCACATGATGTATTTGCTGTTGTCTTTCCATTACATAAGTAAAGAAACTGAATGCTGTAGACTTACATATGTTATTCAGGCACATATCTGTTAAATTTTAAAGGCAATCTAAATATAAATATCATGCTTATAGCCACTATACCAAACTACTTCTCAAATAATTGCATTTCTTAGGGTGTGAGCAGTTCACTGTTGTTGGTTTTATAGTTTTTGCTATTTGTGGGATGTTTAAGTACGAAAAAGAGGTGCACATTTATATTGAACAAGGAGCAGACATTAGCCGTTAATCATATGTCTTTTTTTTTCTGTATGTGTTTTGAATACCCTTTTTATTTGGGAAGTGTTCCCACATTGTTATTTGCTTCCTTAGGAAAATGGAAATTTGCATTTTTTTTCCTTCCTTTAAAATAGAATACAGGTATGTGACCCAGATTCCAGAAATCAGATATATGATTAGGAATATGTTTTAATTTGTTTTATAAAGAAATCTTATTTTTAATTATGTTATATAATTTTATTTATAACATATAGCTTATTTAAATGAAAAATAATTTTTGACTATGTAGTTGCAAGTTTTATTTTTTATTATTGCCAACCCATGAACACTTTTATAGAAAGCAAGAAATATGAGTTCAGTTTTTTAAAATTTTAGAAATCAGCAAATTTTTATTCTCTTATGCAACTGATTGCCTTCCTTCCTATTTGTTACTATCAATTTCTCTGCTTTAAACTTTTCTGAAGAATATTCACAGTGACATAGAAAAACAATAAACAGGCATATAGTTTGAGTAAACCCAAAAATCTAACATGAGTATACTGTATGTATTCTCAATTTAAAAATTTATTACATCATGATTTTCATTGGTTATACTAAAAAAGAGGCTGTGCTAAACTAAAGAAGCTAAACTAAAAAGAGAGACCTCTTTTAAACTAAAAAAGAATATATTTGTTTAAAAATATATTTATTGGAGGCTGAGGCAGGAGAATGGCATGAACCCCGGGAGGAGGAGCTTGCAGTGAGCCGAGATCGCGCCACTGAACTACAGCCTGGGCGACAGAGTGACACTCCGTCTCAAAAAAACAAAACAAACAAACAAACAAATATATATATATATGTTTTGTCTAATATGTAAGATTTTATCCTATCTTACATGTTTTAATTTCTTGCTAATTCTACACATTCAGTTTTTCAAAAAATGACACATTTCAGGTCTTGTCTTGCCTGGGCTGCCTGCTATATTATTCTTAATTTTCAGGTAGCCCTTGAAGACTGCGTGGGTATAGTAGAAACTGGACCGACTTTAGCTTGTGTGGGACCAAGTCTGTGCTAGAAAAGGAGAGAGAAATGGTTTCCACAAAAGAAATTATAAATTTTAAAAGTCTAGAAAAAAATCGGAAAATAAAACACACCTTAAGGAAATCTCTCTATCTTAGGCAATGATGGTATTATGATGATTTTTTTTCTTTAGAGGTTGAGAAAGGAATTTATGACTTTTTAATTCTTTCATGTAGCATCTATCTATATGTCTCTATCTCCATATCACGACTTATATCTCTATCTATCCATCTATAAGTTTGCTATTTAGTGAATGATATACCAAAGTGCTCTTTGGTACAGTTGCTAAGCAACATTTTATCTGCTTTATTTTACAAAGGAAAAATTAATAGGACCTTTGTTTATTTCAGGGTCTTAATTAAAAGTCTATGAGATTTAAACAATGTTAATATGGATATATAAAAATTGCATGTAGCTATTTTATATATACTACAAATCTTTGTTTGACTTTTCCAGCAGAGCTCACAATGAGTTCTTCCAATAGTTCTATAAATTATACCTAGTAGATGATTTTATTAGGGGGGAACAAACAGAAATTAACCATTAGTTTTTATTTTCCTAGTGTATTTATACATTTATACTATCAATTAGATTTTAGTGACAAACAGTGCATTTATAAAGTATACCGAAACCTGAAATAAATAAGTGAAATAAATACATTTTAGCTAGCTCAGAAAAATCAGCTGTATATTATTAAATATTTATTGAGATATAAACACATTGTATTAACTATGAATTTGTATATTTCAATCATTCATATTAGGATCTAAAACTCATACACTGTTGAGTCATATGGTGTCTGCCACTGACAAGGAAGGTTATTGTCATTCCCATAATCTTAATATTTAGTTAATATTTTCCATTTCCTTAACATTTTAGGCTCCAGAGTGACACCTTCTTACAGAGGCAATTACAAACTTGGATATCTGTGACTTACTTCCATTCTTTGCTTTCTTAGACTTACTATATTCATGTGACCCTAAACAATATTTTCTTCTTTTGGCCTGTGTGTGATTATAGAGGTGAAAATCCTTCACATATTATTCTGTGACTCTCTTCTTCAACTCAGTTTTGTACTATTGAGATTCAGCCATGTTAACTAATTCAGCTTTAATTCATTTGTTTTCACTGTGGTAAATGGTTCCATTTTTGTTAAAATAATGCAATTTATCTTTCCATTCTACTACTTATGATCATTGGAGTTGTTCCTTATTTTTTTCTATTGTGGATAATGCTATGGTAAACATTCATGTACATAGGTATGAGCATATGTGCTTGTGTTTTCTTGGAGTAATGCAATTATGAAACCACTGGGTATGCGCATTTTACTAAACATTTCCAACTAACTGTGCAAGGTGCTTATAATCTCTCATGTTAAATGCTCCAAAATTTAGCAATTTTGATATTTTCATATTTAATTTGTGTTAATCTGATAACTGTGAAATAACATCTCACTTTTGTTGTGATTAGCATTTCTATAATTCTTACTAAATTTGAGCATCATGTCATATATGTGAGGTCATTCATAATTGTATTTATGTGGCATGCTTGGTCATGTTTGTCTTTTTGTTCTTTTTTATTTCTTAAGGACTCAATTTTTAATATACATTCTGAATACTAAACAATTTTTTGGTTTTATAAATACTAAATATCATTTTGCTTATTAAAAATCCACATATAGGTTATAAAAATATACTGCCTGTATTTTTTCACTCACTTTATGGTTTTTTTAAATAAACAAAAGTTCTTAGTATAATGTAGCTCAGTTCACTCTTCTTCATTATGTGATTTGTGCTTGCTGTGCCTTATTTAAGATATCTTTTCTTACACTGGTGTTATAAAGACATCCTTGTATGTTATTTTCCAAAGATTTTATACTCTTTGGTATTTATATCATCAATCTTGGCTACTGTTTAGTCTGTAAAGTAGAAATCCAGTTTCATTATAAACCACGATGGATACCCATTTTCCCAGTAACTTTTATGGATCATTACATTTTTATCAAACTGATTAACAATGCTCTCCCATGATATATTAAATGACTGTATATGAGTACTTACTGCTGCAGCTATTGTTTCTCTGTTATGTTTTTCAGGCTACTTTTCTATTCCAGCACTAATGCCACATAAACCTTGGTTTGGCAAGGGATACTGCTTTTGTCCCTCATAGTAGGTATAGAGTTTCTAGTATCCAGTTTCATGACTGTGTGTTGTACAGGTTTGTTCCCTAGCCCTACAGAGCCCTGCACAGTCCTCAAGATCTTGGATCCCAGCCACATGAGTAAATTCTAATTTAACTCTTAGGTTCTATAGACCACTGAGTTTAAGAGTTCCTCAAAGTTTGGGGTTCATAATTGTGGTTTTTTTTTTTTTGTTTCTGTTTGTTTGGTTTCCACTACAGATTTCTACAACATGGACTCTGACATTTTTCATTCTTCTTTTATGTGTGGGCTATCATTTTGGTGTATCTGAAGTGAATAGAAGAAGAGGATTTCAGCATATACTTGATCTGATGTTTTAAAATTAAACCCACTGTAAACCTTTCATTTGAGTATATAAAAATATGATTAAAATTTAGTTATGTTTATAAAATACATATAAATTTAATTTAAGCATGTTTTCGGTGGGGCACTGTAATCATATCAAATTGCTACGTACTTATATTACCTCTGCAATAATAAATTAATATTTTCTTTCAATGTATTTTCTCCAAATATGGTTTGAATTCTGGAAATATTTTTCTTTCTTAACAGACACATTTTTATTTAAAACAGTATTATCCACCTTTCTAATTCACTTTTTTATTCTTCCTTTTTCAATTTATTCTATCAATTTTTATTAAACATGAGCTTTTAGTGCCTTTAGATTGTGTCAAAATATTAAAATTTCCCACAAGATACAGATTTCAATGTAATCAAATACTATAAGGAGAGTAAGGGTATGTTCATAATTTATTTTATGCAAGGTGGCATCATAGAAATATAAAAATACCACAGCATCTTACATGAACTATTTTAAAGATAGTAATATCTTTATATGTATCAGGCCATTCTTGCATTGCTGTAAAGAAATACCTGCGACTGAGTGATTTCTAAAGAAAAGAGGTTTAACTGGCTCACCATTCTGTAGGTTGTACAGGAAGCATAGTGCTGGCATCTGCTTGGCTTCTAGGGAGACATCAGGAAGCTTAAAATCATGGCAGAAGGCAAAGGGAGAGCAGACACTTCATATGGTGAAAGCAGGAGTAACAGAGAGAGAGAGAGTTGAGGGGGAGTTGCCCCCACTTTATATGATCAGATTTCTTGAGAGCTCACTCGCTATTGCAAAGAAAACACCAAGCCATGAGGGATCCGCCCCCATGATCTAAACACCTCCCACCAGGCCCCACCTCCAGGATTGGAGATTACAGTTTAACTTGAGATTTGGGTGAGGCAATATCTAAACTATATCCATTTCTACATGTGCTTTCAAATGTGGTTTTTTACTAGAGTCTTCTTATTTTACAATCAGAATTCTCAAAATAACTGGAAAGAACATTAATATATTTTTTCAGCCTTCTGCCAGTTTTCAGAAGAGATAATATTTGCTTAAGATTGTTATTTTCTCAGAAGGAACAAAACGGTTTCAATTATTTAAATCCAATTATGTATATTTTACATCTAAATTCATCCTCAAAGGAAAATCAGTAAATTAGGGGTATTATTATTACTAGATAGAGATTTCTCAGTTAGCAATGGAAGCTCATTCCATCACCCAGGATAAGAAATATCAAGCACCACTTTCAGTTAATAGATCTGGCCTGCTTCAGATCATCTTGGCACCTGCTTGACCTTACATTTGTACCCATGAGATTTAAAATGAAAATTTCATTGCTTCTGGAAAGAGACGTGAATTCAGTGTGTGCATAATGGTAAAATTGAATGTCATAAGGAGTAAAAAATAATGTTTTTGAGAAATAGTATGACAATGTATAATACGTACCTTTGTTAATGTCTCACTGAAATAATGGGACACTTTCACTGATAGCTCGTTTATATGTATTATTGAAATTTAAAATGGTTAACTTATTAAAATTTAATAATAGAGATCATTGTCACTATGGCCACAGAAGGTTACAAATTTTGTTTCCAGGAATAACTCATAATGTCATTCTGTTTTTTGGTAACTTATATTTGAAGCTTTTTGATATTCCATTGAATAAAATTTGAACATTGTCTTTATGTTCATTCACGCAGTAACACATCATTACTCTGAATGTTAGTTATGCAGGTTTCATTATGCAGGACAGAGCCAAAAAGCTTCAAAGATAATTTTTTTAAAAAAATCCTTTAGTTTTCTATTTGGTAGTCATGAAACAGTGAGTTATTCCTTGCTATGATAGGTGCCGCTAAACAAGAGAACATTTTTTCATTATTAGGCAATTTTTATCCCAGGAAGAAATAGAGATATCTTAGGGACTCAACAACAACCGCAAAAGAAAGAGGAAAATGTCCAGGCAATTATCCATGTAAAATATTTTGTTTTGTGTACTAAACCAATAATTCAAGAAGAATGAGAAAGGAAAAAGGTTGCTTATGGAAGTTAGATCACCTGAAGTTCTTATGTTAAATCTATTGTATTGCAATAGGAATATTATTAATCCTATTACTATGTTCATTAAAAGTCACAAACCTCTGAATGCTTGGTTATGATGCCACAACTGTGCTAAATGCATCATCCCACACAATTCTGTCATATTAACGTCACAATAGTGTGTAATAAATAACATTATTGCCTTTCATTTTATGGGTCAGGAAAATGAGTCTCTGAAAGAGTCAGTCATTTGTCTGAGTTATATGATTAATAAGTATTACACATGGACATCACAACCAGCGTAACTCTGGAGTCTGGCCTCTTTACAATGGAGAAAACAGAATTATAAGAGCAACAGACATAGAATAGATGAATTTTGTAGGTATACAAAGTATTAACTCTGTTATTTATGTTAGTTATGGAAAGGTAGTTATGAAAGAAGCCAATGCCAGTCTGAGTAGACCTATATACAACACAGAAATGAATGGAATAGCCTGCAGTGAAACCTTAAAAGCACACAGTAATAAGGACTTGATAAAGAAATTCTGATATTGCTCTTTCTTAGCAAACCACAAGAACTGTTTTGTTCTTCCGAGTGCTAGTGTCATCTTCTACCACAGGACATTTTCACGCATGATTCTTCTGCCTAGAAGGCTCTTTCCTTTCTCTGCCTGGTAATCCCAATTACTCTTTTATATACTGGCTCAATACTAACCCTATTAAAGAACCCTCCAGGGAAACCAAAATTAGGTCACACCCCCAATTGGCACCTGCACGTTTCTCATTTTACCCTCTCCCATGCTTCATTTCTTTGCATCACTTAACACTGCATATTTTATGTATTTGGTGTATTTTCAGACAGCACAACTCACATGTCCAACAGATACGTTTGTCCATGTTTGCTCACTACTGCATCTGCAGCATCTTGAATGTGCCTAATAACTCATGAATGTTCAATATTTGTTGAAGGTTTCACTAGGTGGAAGTAGTTGTGGGAAATTTCACACATATGTCTATCTCTTCTCTTAGATTATAAGTTCGTGAAGGAAAAGACTACATGGATTTTTGTTCACTTACTACAGTTTCAGGTACATACTAGGCCCTCATTAAGTACTTAATGAAAGAATGAGTATTTTTTTCAGACTCCAGAGTGCAGGACTAATTCTCAAATGACCTTGGTGGTCCAGTTCTTCCCTCCTTTCTCACTGTAGTTTTCAGAATGTGCTGAGAATGCAACATCCTAAAATAAAGAGGAACTGGCCCAAATAGCCCAGGCTGTGTTCCCATCCCTGCTAGAACAGAGTGACCTGCAATGCTTTAGCCCAGAGGCCAAGTTGCCCCTGCGTATAAAATA